>NW_025791756.1:1258148-1572686 GCF_000001405.40 Homo sapiens
TGTGTGTAGGGGAATCAGCTTAATGTGTCTGTCCATGTCTGAATTTATTGCAGAAATTGAAAAGAAGGGGAAGGGGAAGAAAAGAAGGGGAAGAAGATCAACGAAGAAAAGAAGGAGAAGGGGAAGAAAAGAAGGGGAAGAAGATCAAAACCCACCATGCCCCAGGTAACTTTCAGCAATTGTGGATGCTTAATTCTGTGTTAACACCTGGAGGCAACAGATTCAGGGAAACCAGAGTGTGTTTGATTTCATGTTTTCAACGAAGGCTGAATTACTCCTACTGTCATTGCTGTTGGTTTTCATTGCAGTAGATGTTTAGGTTTCCATTTCTTCCTCCCCTTATCATTTACTAACGTACCATAGGATGACCATACTTCAAAAGCTGTACTCTCATGGCCACTGCATCGAATTTTGAGCATATTTTATGGAAAACTATTGAGCTCACTCTTTTCATGATCGCAGTGTGCTGTGTGTCATGAGGGCACTAACTCAGAGTGTCCTTTTACTCCCTTACCAGTATGTCACCTGGCCAATTCACTAGCTCACTTTCTCTCTGTCTCTGTCTCTGTCTCTGTCTCTCTGTCTTTCTCTTTCATTGTTTTCTACCTGGCCCTTTTCTATCCCAACATAAAGGCAATAATTTTTTTTTTTTACCTCATTAATGGATCTAATGGATCTATCCTTTTCTTTTCTTACCACTTCCTTACGTTACTTCTGAAATCTAGTGGGGCTCTGTGGTGTCTGATTTTCCCTGGCTGCTTCTTTAGTTTTGTCTGCTTTTCCAGGCTCAGCGGTGTGCTGATGGAAGTGGAAGAGCCTGAAGTCTTACAGGACTCACTGGATAGATGTTATTCGACTCCGTCAATGTTCTTTGAACTACCTGACTCATTCCAGCACTACAGAAGTGTGTTTTACTCATTTGAGGAACAGCACATCAGCTTCGCCCTTGACGTGGACAATAGGTTTCTTACTTTGATGGGAACAAGTCTCCACCTGGTCTTCCAGATGGGAGTCATATTCCCACAGTAAGCAGCCCTTACTAAGCCGAGAGATGTCATTCCTGCAGGCAGGACCTATAGGCACGTGAAGATTTGAATGAAACTATAGTTCCATTTGGAAGCCCAGACATAGGATGGGTCAGTGGGCATGGCTCTATTCCTATTCTCAGACCATGCCAGTGGCAACCTGTGCTCAGTCTGAAGACAATGGACCCAAGTTAGGTGTGACACGTTCACATAACTGTGCAGCACATGCCGGGAGTGATCAGTCAGACATTTTAATTTGAACCACGTATCTCTGGGTAGCTACAAAGTTCCTCAGGGATTTCATTTTGCAGGCATGTCTCTGAGCTTCTATACCTGCTCAAGGTCAGTGTCATCTTTGTGTTTAGCTCATCCAAAGGTGTTACCCTGGTTTCAATGAACCTAACCTCATTCTTTGTATCTTCAGTGTTGAATTGTTTTAGCTGATCCATCTTTAACGCAGGAGGGATCCTTGGCTGAGGATTGTATTTCAGAACCACCAACTGCTCTTGACAATTGTTAACCCGCTAGGCTCCTTTGGTTAGAGAAGCCACAGTCCTTCAGCCTCCAATTGGTGTCAGTACTTAGGAAGACCACAGCTAGATGGACAAACAGCATTGGGAGGCCTTAGCCCTGCTCCTCTCGATTCCATCCTGTAGAGAACAGGAGTCAGGAGCCGCTGGCAGGAGACAGCATGTCACCCAGGACTCTGCCGGTGCAGAATATGAACAACGCCATGTTCTTGCAGAAAACGCTTAGCCTGAGTTTCATAGGAGGTAATCACCAGACAACTGCAGAATGTAGAACACTGAGCAGGACAACTGACCTGTCTCCTTCACATAGTCCATATCACCACAAATCACACAACAAAAAGGAGAAGAGATATTTTGGGTTCAAAAAAAGTAAAAAGATAATATAGCTGCATTTCTTTAGTTATTTTGAACCCCAAATATTTCCTCATCTTTTTGTTGTTGTCATTGATGGTGGTGACATGGACTTGTTTATAGAGGACAGGTCAGCTGTCTGGCTCAATGATCTACATTCTGAAGTTGTCTGAAAATGTCTTCATGATTAAATTCAGCCTAAACGTTTTGCCGGGAACACTGCAGAGACAATGCTGTGAGTTTCCAACCTTAGCCCATCTGCGGGCAGAGAAGGTCTAGTTTGTCCATCAGCATTATCATGATATCAGGACTGGTTACTTGGTTAAGGAGGGGTCTAGGAGATCTGTCCCTTTTAGAGACACCTTACTTATAATGAAGTATTTGGGAGGGTGGTTTTCAAAAGTAGAAATGTCCTGTATTCCGATGATCATCCTGTAAACATTTTATCATTTATTAATCATCCCTGCCTGTGTCTATTATTATATTCATATCTCTACGCTGGAAACTTTCTGCCTCAATATTTACTGTGCCTTTGTTTTTGCTAGTTTGTGTTGTTGAAAAAAAAAACATTCTCTGCCTGAGTTTTAATTTTTGTCCAAAGTTATTTTAATCTATACAATTAAAAGCTTTTGCCTATCACTCTGGACTGTTGGATTGTTTTTTACATTCAGTGTTATAATCTTTTGTTATGCTGATTGGTTTTGGTGGGTACTGATGTGAATTAATAAAAACATTTCCATTTCCCTGTTTATTTTCTAATCTCTTCCACCTTGTAGGCTATGTTTACCATATGTAGCAGAATGCATTTACTCCATTTCTTGGTTCTAGATATTTATATTCTTTGTGAGAGTGTGTGTGTGTGTGTGTGTGTGTGTGTGCCTCTGGCATTTAGGAAGGGTTGTGTAGCTCATGTTTGATATTGATTAAAAATGTTTCATAGTTTTCCCCCCTTTGAACTAGACACACTTCTAATATTTGGTTTATACATTTTAAATTATGACTTTCAACGTCAAATATTTCCATATGACAGTCAGTTACATGATGTGTTTTCTTTTTCCTACCTCCTTTACCTGCCACTTCTCATAATGGTATTTGAACCTAAACATATGCCAGTGACATTCTGTGGTTGTCATCTTGCCCACACCTTGGTTTTTGGTTTAGATCCACAATTAAATATATTAATGCTCATGAGCTGTTCAAAAGTGAATGTCACAGTCATCACTTGCTGAGTGGTACTCATCCTTAACAGAGTCCTCATGAGGGAATCAGGTCTCGCTGAGTTTAGCATGTTTAATAATCTTCCTCGTGGTCTTGATACATGGATCGCATTACTGGATATAAGGTGTTTGCCCAAAATGATTTTTCTTGCATTTTTAGGAGCTATTGTCTTCCTTGCGGGACATACATGCTGTATGTTCTCATTGTGGGATTCTATTTTGTTCTACCAGGACCTATAATTTCTGCCAGTTACTTCATTTGTTCTCTTCACCATGAGTCTCCAGAGGATGCTTCCTTTGTCCATGCCTCCCCATCTCCCAGCAATTCTGCGTTTCCAAGACTGGCACCTCTGGTCCTCTGCATGGTGAAGCCCCTTCCTTTCAATTCCCCAGTAGCCAGTGCTCTAATCCACCAGGTCTCAGGTATGATCTGTGTTTCTCCACATGCTCTTTCTGAGGATAGTTTTACCTGTGTTCTGTCATGAACAGGCCCTCCCTGCTGTCCTGGCCTCGATTTGCTTAGTGTTTCCTGCTCCCTCTGCCCTTGTGTGGCTCCCAGACCAAGTGAAACAAAATCACCTGAGGGCCACAGTGTTCCCTAGCCCTGGCGTTTAGGGGCAGGGTTATGGGTGGGATTTTTGACTCTCTAAGTTAACCCCTAGGGCTTTGAAGTGTCTGTTGAGAAATTCAGCTGTTATCATCCTAGGTGGACTTGCTCTCTCCTGTCCTCCTACTTCAAATGCAGAACTTCAATCGTGTACAAAAGAAGACTGAGTCATATAATAGAACACACCCTTATTCATTGGCTGGCTTCACCAATCATCTCATGGCTGAACTTTTAAAAATACAATCTTAGCCACATACCTATGAAATGTATATGTGTGTGTATACATATGTGAATTTGTTTCTGAGATTATGGAGGCTGAAATTCCCAAGATGGAAGGAAAGCTGGATACCCAGGAAAGCATTTGTTTCCCATTAGGCCTCTTAATTCTCTCCTGACCTTTGATTGATTGCATGAGTCCCACCCCCGTTAAGGGGGGCAATCTGCTTCACTTAGTCTGCCCATCCCGATGTTAATCATATGTGAAACACTCTCTGGAACACAACCAGAATCACATTTGGCCGAATGTCCCGGCACCCTGGTGCTCAGTCACAGTGACACGTGCAAGTAACTATCACACTTGTCCTTTGTCACATTTGTCATTTCCCCTGTTTTTCTCCCAATCTGCAGCTTATATTTGTTCTCTTAATACTGTCTCGTGTTGAGCAAAAACTTTTACTTTTTATAAAGTTGAATTTATCAATGTTTTCTTTAATGGTTTGTGTTTCTTGATAACAAAGAACACTTTGCCTAACTGTGTCGTGAAGATTTTGTCTTATATTTCCTGCTATACTTTTTCTACTTTTATAGTTTATATTTAGTTGCATAATCCATTTTGAGTTAGTTTTTGAGTCAGTATTGAGGTTCAGGTGAATCTTTTTCCTTTGGGGATATGCATGTCCAGTTGTTTCTACACAATTTGTTGACAAGAGAATGCCTTCTCCACTGAATCATATTTGGACCTTTGTCAATCCATTGGGTGGTTGAGACTGGTCTGAGGGCTGTCCTGGTGTTTGGACAGAGAGACAGGGCATGAAGTAGGGTGGTTCTTATGGGAAAAATTAAGGAAGGCACATTATTCTATGAGGCATAGGAAGCCCCAAGCACAATTGGGGTACCTTCTACCAGCATGTTGTAGCACATTCATCTCTGCTGTCTCTACCTCTCCTGTTGCAAAAGCTTGGGTGTGCATAGACACTGAGGTTGAGTGGTGTCTTTGGGCACTTTTGAGCATTGACACCAAAGCTCCAGCATCAAATCTTAGAATATCAAGCAGCCGGGTGGATCACCTGAGGTCAGGAGTTCACGACCAGCCTGACTAGCATGGTGAAGCCCTGTCTCTACTAAACACAAAAAGTTTAGCTGGGCATGGTGGTGCATGCCTGTAATCTGAGCTACTTGGGAGGCAGAGACAGGAGAATCGCTTGAGTACCTGGGAGGCAGAGGTTGCAGTGAGCTGAGATCACACAATTGCACTCCAGACTGGGCAACGAGAGTGAAACTCCATCCCCCCAAAAACAAATAAATAAAAATAAAAGAATATCAAGCAGTCAAAGAAGCAGGAAAACATGACACATACTGAAGAATCTAATAATCTGGTTGAAATTGACACACACGTTGGAAATAGAAGAAAAGGACGTTACCGCAATTAGTATAATTGTATTTTAATTAAATGGAGAGGTTGAAGATTTTTTAAATATCAAATTCTGTAGATAAAAACTATGATTTACAGTGTGAAATGGAAGAAGGCACTGGATTAAATATTGCAGAAGAGAAGATTATTAAACTAGAAGGAATAGAAGTTGAAACTAACATAAATGAAACACACATTAACAAATGACTTGAAAACATATAAAGACCATCAGCATCAAAACTTTAAACACCCTAGTATAGGGCTAAATGGAATCCCTGAAGGGCAGGTAGTGGAGAAGAGAGACAAAGATATTTAAAACATACTGGATGAAAGATTTAGAAGCTCCATGGAAATCATAAACTTCAAATATTACAGAAATATGATTATCCCAAGAACAAGAAACATGCAGAAAACTTCACCAAGGAACACCTTAATCGAATCCATCAAAACCAGTGATAAAAAGGAAATCCTAAAAGTAATAAAAGGGAAAAGAACATGTTACATACAGAGCACTAAATATAAGGATGGCATAAGATTTCTCATAGCAGACTTTACAAACAAGAAGTTTGCAATAAAGTACTTAAAAAAAGAAAAACTGTCACCTACAAGTCTACACCTGGCCAAATTATCTTTCAAAAATAAACATGAGAAAAAATATTTTTGAACAGAAAACAAAATGATCTCAATTTGCAGATGGTGTGATCCTATGTATAGAAAATCCCAAACAATACATACAAAGGCAAACACACATACATGCACACAGACACCAGACACACACACACACACACACACACACACACTATCAGAGTTAATAAGTGAATTCAGCAAACTTTCAGCAAACAATTCATTGTGATGGCAATGAGCTATCTGAGAAGTAAACTGACACAATGATTTCATTTATAATAGCACCTGTAAGGATAATATGCCTGGGAATAAATTTGTTCAAGAAGGTGCAGTACTTGTACACAGACAACTACAGAACATTGTTCGAGGAGACTAAGGAAGACCTAAATCAATGGAAAGACATCTTGTGTCCACGGGTTGGAAGTTGTAACATGGTTAAGATAAAAATACAACTCAAAGCAATCCACAGACTCAATACAATCCTATCAAAAAGTGGCTTTTTTTACAGGAATGCCTGAGAAGAACTTCATGTTCCTAAAAAACAGCAAGTGTCCCCCCAAAACAAAAGCAATCTTGAAATGCAAGAAGGAACGTTCTCTATTCCAAAGGTCTTTAACTGCTCTCAGTAATACGTGGTAATCTTCAATATACAGGCTTTCACACCTTTTTTTTTTTTCTTCTTTTGTTTCTAGACACGATCTCACTCTTTCACTCAGGCTGGAGTACAGTGGCAAGATCACACAGCTCACTGCAGCATGGAATTCTCAGGCCGATGACATCCTAGGGCCTCATCCACTGAGTACCTGGGACTACAGGCTCACACCACCACAGCCGGATAATTTTTCTGATTTTCAGTAGAGATGAGGTCTCACTATGTTGCCTAAGCTAGTTTCAAGCTTCTGAGCTCAAGCGACCCTCCTGCCACGGCCTTCCTAAGCGCTAGGATTTGAAGCTGAGCCTGGCTGGCTTTCACATCTTTGCTATGTAGTTTATATTTCTTGGTGTTATTGTAAATGTTTATGAAAGGAATCTTTTAAAAATTTTGTATTAAAATTATATATTTAAGGAATTACATATATTATATATATTTAAGGAATACAACCTGAGGACTACATATACATATACACATACACATACACATACATACACATACACATACACATACACATACACATATACATATACATATACTTATACATATACATATACATATACATATACATATACGTATACTATACATAATGAACTAATGCTTACTAGGTGAGGGGCTGCCTTGTGAGCAAACCCAAAGTCCTTGGCTCACAAAGCCTTGTCTAGAAAGATGGAGGGATCAGCAAAGTGGGCACACAGCAGGTTCTGTCTTTAGTGCGGGCACCTGCCCACTCGGGTCTCTGGCAATCCTGACCAGGCTTCATGATGGGTGAGGTGAGCTAGGAATGGGAAAGTGGATGACCTCAGATCCAGAGACTGCAGTTGTCACCTGGGGACCTGGCATGTGCGTGGAGGAGTCTCCCACTGATTTGGCCCTGGATCAATGCCCAAACATGCACAAGGACAGGACTGTTGGCCTCAATGTTTTAGGAGCCACCAGTCTTCCAAAGAGGGTTTGTGGTGGGGAAGAATGTTCAACAAAACAGAAGAGTTATGGGTACTCTAGCTTGGCAACAGAGAATACTTCCTTGTGCTACTAAATGACAATATTTGACAATTATGGATGACACAATTGAGCAACAGCTTTCACTGTTTAACAAGCAGGGTCTCTGGAACACTAGGTTAGTGCTGTCGGAAGTTGACTGAAAAGTCGGTGGTTTGAGCCCATCCAGTCGCATTAATGTTTCTAGCTGATGTGACCTTCCCTCTGAAGAGTCTCTTCCTTGGACCAAATATATCTTCAAGCTTCTCCTCTTCTTGTCTCTTGTCTATTTTCCAAGGTGCCTCTTTGTTGCTTGAGGCAAAAAAAGTTCATTATTAATCCACACCCAGCAAACATCTACCCTTACTTATCCCGGTTTTTAGAGTTTTGAGTTTGTTTGTTTTCTCAGCTTCTCATATTTGGAATACTGGGAATTCCTAAAGTGGAGAACAACAGAACCTGAATCACACCTATGGTGAAGCCACAGGCCCTGGGTGAAAAACCTAATCTGCTCGCGTTTAAAGATAAACCCATTAATTTTCTGTGCTTCCATTTCTATCTGTCTAATGGGCTAAATCAGAACACTTAATTTGTCCAATGTTTAAACGAGCAGTGCAGGAAAAGCGTGGAGCCAATGCCTGTCACGTAGCAATTGGTCAACACGCATGAGCTCCTATCAGCGTCACGGCCTCCAGCATTTCCATCAGGCTTTGATCTTTGAAACGTCCTTCCTGATATGAATGGGTCATTCTTCAAACATTCTCTAACCGATGGCCATGACATTGTTCCAATGTGTATTATTACAAATACAACTGCAGAGACCAGACTGACACATGTATCTGTCGTGCATCACTTGTCTATTTCTCCGTAGATACCTGGAGATGGAATTGTCAGACCAAAGTATTTATACATTTCTGATTTTGCTAATTTCTATCCAAATTACTATGAAAAGAAGCTGTAACAAGTCATACTTTTAATATTTTATGAGAATTCTTTTTTTCTCCATCTTCTGGCCAAAACTGGGAAGTACTTGCCTACCATTTCCTCTGAACTTACTTTTGCCAACATTTCTGTAGTCACACAGTGGGATCACATTGCATGCATGACATCAAACTCAAATCCTAATTGAAAAGAGGGGTTCACAGGACTCTATAAAAATTTATATTCAAAATACAAAAATGCAAACATATATGTGTATACAAATACATATATATACACATACATATATGGGAAAGGAATTTTTTTATTTGGATACCTTATCAAAGTTATATAGACTGGAAAATTTGTTTAGTAAAACAGCAGTCCCCTTGTGTACTCCCAGAGTTTCATCACATAGAAGCAAGTATTTAGTTATTTATCTCCTTATGTCTAAATAGATATTATTCCTTTTTGATTTTCAAGCGTAGGCACTATCTCTCCTTCACATACTTGCTCATCACCACCACCCCCAAACATGCCTCTCACTACCTTACCCTCTAACATGTTTGTGTCCTAGTTTGAGGGCCAACTACTACATTATTATAACTTGTATATGTTATTCAGAGTTCAGTCACACTGGATATACATAGCAGGAAATGAAAGGCCAGTATCTTCAGGGACTCTCTCTCAAGTGGATAAGCTTCAGAGATTTTTGTAATCTTTGGTCACCCTCTCCATCTTTTTCCTATTCCGGGTAAGTACTGGATCTGATGGGCCCAGCTCAGGTCAGGCACTCTCTCCTTGAGCAGGGGAGAGCAGGACATCTTCATGTGTAGTACCAAGAAGACACTGTCCAAAGAGGGACAGGTAGTTCTGAGACAGAAAAGTCAATCTGGGGTATGGGTAGGCAAAACGAGGACACAAAAAAAAACCCATGTCTGTTCTGTGAGGGGAGCATGCAGTAGAGGGTGGATTCAGAGTGGGAGGGGAGAGTTTTGAGAGATATGGGCCATGGATAGCCCTCTGTGGGCTGGAGCCACGCAAGGCTGTTGGGGTCTCTCAGGGGCAGGGAGCTGAGGAGAATCTGCCCTCCCCAACCTGGGAGACTGGTGAGGGGACTGTCCTGGTCACCAGACAGAAATGGGGTCTGGGCCAGGGCAGTTCTGGTGGGAAAGAAAGAACAGGACATCTTCTCCTTAGGTAAGGCTCTGAGTTCAGGTCTTGGTAGGGAGGGAGGTTACCTTGGGCATTGGCCACTGAAGATGGTTGGCCAGATGAGCACACTGAAATCTATGTTCTATAAACTTGCAGTTCTAGTAAAAGAATGACTGCAGTAAAGGGTCTTTAGGAAGAGGAGGTGGAAGACCTGATTTGGGTTGGGGGCTCCAAGAAGAATGTCTGCCTTGCTGTGCAGAAGCCTGCTACACAACCTCCCTGGTCCCCTTGCTCAGTCTCCCGGCCAGACCCCCAGAGTACCTGCCCTGTGCACCCTGGAAGTACACAGTGAGTTCAGCCAAGGCATCTCCAGCCGGGACTCATCCCTGGGCATTTCTGTGGCCTTGGGTGCCCTGGCCTTCTCCAGGCCCTGTCTTGCAGGCAATCGTCCTGCAGGGGAATGGGAGAAGGAGGCTACTTGACAGTTGACTCTGAGTGGCTCCACAAGTTCCTGACTTAGCTCCTAGTCACTTGCAAACCTATATACCCCCATCTCATCCCCCAAATGGTGAAAAAGAAACTTTGCCAGGACTCATGCCAGACAAATAGAACAGAACCGTTCCATAGAGCCAAGGTCTTAGGACATCAATAAGAGATGGAAACCACCTGCTAGAAGGTGCCACAGTGGGAAGCTTGTTGGAAGGGAGCAGTCACTGAACTGTCAGGGTGAATCCTGGCTCCTGGCCCTCACACGCCCTTTCTCCCCTTCCTTCCTTCTCTCCTCCCTCCTGTCTGCTCTTTCCCCTCTCTCCCCTGCATCCCTCAGGTACCTTCCATGGGCCCTCACCCCTCCTTTTCAGAGGCTCCAAAGTGAGCCCTCAAAATACTTGGTAACCTTGGGCATTTCCAAAACTGGAGAGATTTGGCCACACCATTTTTAGGAGCTAGGAACGTCCTCCAGAGCTCTTGCCTAAATTTTTCTGCTGATGAGAAGAGAACAAAAGAGTTTCCATCTGATCTGGTCCTAAGGCAACTGCTCCTTGGAGCAGAGTCTGGGCAGGAAGAAGGGGGTTGCCCAGGGCCCCAGACTTGCCCCTCCCAGCTGCTGTGCTCCTCTCCCCTTCACTGCGGGAGGCTGGCCAGGGATCGGGAACCTCTGTTCTCCACAGTTGCTGCGATCCCAGGCCCAAATCTAAATATTGGCTGATTTAGGAGGCTAAGGGAGGCAATTCCCTGGAGAGAGGTGTCAGGATCTGGGACAAGAGCAGCATCTGGTTGCCATCCACGGAGACCCCAAGGACAGGAATCCAGTGGTAGCCTGTTGGAGGGGATCCCATGACAATAAAATGAAACGTGTGCATTAGAACTGGAGCCAAGACCAGGAGCTGAAAAACCGCGCCGTCCTAAGGGATGAAGGAATTAGGGAATCCCGGAAGTAAAGTTTTTCATATAGGTCATTTCTTCCAAAGAGACACAGGGCAATGGCCCAATGACATGTATAAAAGAAAACTCAGGGTCTAGGATTGAGGGGAGGCAGCCTTTTCAGTGGAGGAGACCTGTCACCTGGAGGCCCAGGGTCACCCTGAGAGGGGAGGGGTCTTGCTGGGTCGCTGGGTCTAGGACTCCAATTGCACACAGCCAGTGGCCTGGACGGTGGGTGACCATGACTGGGGCAATTTCCCCCATTCCGCTTAGGGAGCAATAGGAATATCATTGGCATTATACAGAAAGGTCCCACTGAGACTTGAACGCTGATCACCGTACTCAGAGTCCAAAGCGCTCACCATTACATCATGGAACCTCACAATAGCTCGTAACTGGAGGGCACTGAGTTCACAGAGCAGCCGTAGTTCCCACGCACCTCTGTTCATGTATTTCCTCTGATCCCTCAAGCAACACCGAGGAAGGTGGACCTGAGATGGAGGAGTCGTCCTCTTTCTTTCTCTGCCCTCTCCTTTGATCAACTTTTACCATTTCCTTTGCATCTTAGAAAATGAGGCAAAATCCAGTTTGGGCTTAGGGCCAGAGAAGAGCCCTTGAGGCCTCCCTCATGGAAAACATACTCTCTCAGTTTACCAGAGTTTCCTGTACCAAGGGGAAATTTCTGCAAACAGTAATGTTATATTCTTTTTGCCTTCCCTCTTTTCCCTTTGCCCAGGGAGGCCAGATGATTGTCAGAACAGGACTTGGGCCTTCCTGGGTGCCTCGCCCCCTTCCTCCATGTAATAAATAATAGCTGACACCAAGCAAGTGGGATTGGGAGGCAGGGAAGCTTTCATTTTCTTTTTGATATACTTTTATGCATTTGCTTGGTTGGTTATGGCAAGATTTTCTCACCAGAAATGGAGATTTGTTGGATTGAAAATAAAAAGTAATCAGCCATGTTTTACATTCAACATTTATTGAACCCCTGCTGATAAAGCACTTGCCAGCTTCAGTGGGTCTGCTAGAGATGAGAGTACACAATCCCTGACTTACAGATACCTTGTCCCAACTAAGGCCTAGGTTATCTGAAGGGGAGATTATCAATGGCAAATGCAGGCTCCTCCTGTGGAAAGAAATTCTGCTTCCTGGAGCTGGTGGTCTCTTCTCCCACCAGTTCAAAGAAGCTTCTCTCGCACTGTGGATCTGCCCTCCCTGCCCCACAAGGTTAGGGTATGTGCCATTGGGGCTCAGGGCATATGTGGGAAATTCAGACATTCTGTAACACCTGCTGTCTCTTCCCACGCAGGTGAACCCTTGCTGAAGCAGGACAGCAAGCAGGTCCAGGTGGACCTCCACGACCTGGGCTATGAGACTTGTGGTCAAAGCAAGAATGAGGCTGAACAGGAGGAATCCACCAGTCCCGGTAAGAGCACAGGGTGTGGGGCTCACCTTCCCTCCCTGGAGTCAGCTGTCACATTTGGGTGCTGTTGGCCAATTCCACACCTGACAAGTAGTGGGGAAGAGGAGGACAGGAGGTTAATAGGAGAACTCTTACCCAAAATGAGGCTGAGTATAAGTTTGAATTTCTACAATGAGTTTGTGGCATACTGCTAATAATAATAATAATCATATGAAGTTCTATCCAACTGATTATTATAGAAATACTAAGGCCTACTTAGAGACCACATGAGGTTTTGGAAACATGCAAACCATAAGTTAAAAATAATTTTGGTTTGCATTATAAAAGGACTACAACTATAGGGCCACCCACCACATTCAAAACGAGAAGAGAAGAAAAACACAGTCTCTCTCATTCTTGAGGAAGTGTACTGTGGCAGTTAAGAGAAAAGATCCTGGGGTCAGACTTGTTGCTTCAAATCCCAATTTGTAAACTTTCCTATGCCCCAGTTTCTTCAAATGTTAAAATAGTAATAAAGGAACTACCTACCCCATCAGGTACTAATGTCAATTAAATGAGTAAATTCTTATAAAATGCTTTAGAACAGTGTCTGGCATCGGGTAAAATGCTGTGGATTAGTTCTCATTCTGACTACCACTGCCCCAATACACTGATGTTAACATGCTGATATATTTATTCAAACTCTTATTTTCCTTTGCCTATTTTTCACACAGTTATAACCCAATAAACTTTTAAATTATAGTAAACTTTAGAGAGCATTAAACTTGCAGCATGCAGAAATAGCTTGTCCTACATTCTTGTGGCTATCCTAACTAGATAAGGCCATGTTAATGTCTTGAGAAACATCAGTGTGTGTGGAATGAACACAGGATGTTGGAGGATTTGAATTCAGGCTCTGCCACGTGCTAGTTTGAGTGATCTAGAACAAGCTGGTTTACCACCTCTCTTTAAGTTTTGGTTTCCCCAGTCAGTAAAATAGAGAGTGGTGAAACCTAACTTGTGGGTATAAGGAGGATAAGAAATACTGTATTTGAATGCCTAGTACAGTGTCAGGGTTGAATAAAGTACGACTTCACCTTTTTCCCTAGTAATTATTGTCCTCATGACCAAACCTGCCTCCTCTCAAAGGCAGTGGCCACAACAGCACATCCAACTTTTATTCAGGAAGACATCTTTGTCTTTTTTCAGAGCATGAGGAGCACAGCAGCCGCAAGGAAATGGTCCTGGTGGAGGGGCTGTGCTCTGAGCAGGGGCGCCGGGGCTGAACGCTGGCTAGTTCCTCTGAGAGGAAGCCCTTGGAGAATGAACTAGGGAGGCAGGAAGAGTTCTGGGTATATGGAAAGTCAGAAAACATCTGGGTCCTATGAAAGGACATCAAAGATCTGAAGGCCCAGCTGCAGAATGCCAACAAGGTCATTCAAAACTTCAAGAGCCGGGTCCAGTCCCTCTCAGTTACAAGTGATTATTCATCTAGTCTGGAAAGACCCTGGAAGCTGAGAGCTCCTGACACCCTGGAGGGGTCTTCACCTCATAGTGTCACTGATGAGGATGAGGTGTGGCTGTCTGATGGCACTGGGGCTTTCTACTCTCCAGGACTTCAGGCCAAAAAGGACCTGAAGAGTCTCATCCAGAGAGTATCCCAGCTGGAGGCCCAGCTCCCAAAAAATTGACTAGAAGGGAAGCTGGCTGAGGAGCTGAGATCAGCCTCATGGCCTGGGTAAGGATGGCACTGTCTGGGCACTTTCTGGATTGAAAATGTGTAAGTTTGTGCTTGGTGTAGGGTAGCTCAGGCAGTTGGAAGAAACAACATGTCTGGGTATTCACAAGGACACTGATTTAAATGGTAGATATAGGTCTGTGGAAAAGACAGGTAGGCAAGCAGGAGGGCATAGGATGATGTCCCAGTATCTGGGAGATACCAGATCTCAGGGATTTCCTCTTAGGGATATATCAGTAAAGTAATAGTACATATGGTATGGTATAGTATAGTATAGTATAGTATAGTATAGTATAGTATAGCATAGTATAGTGGTAATACTGGAATCAGACTGCCTAGCTCTGATGCTTACTACCCATGCAACCTTCTTAACCTTTCTGAGCCTTTGTCATTACCTATTAAATGAGGATGATAACAGAACCCATCTCAAAGGGTGGATATTAGGTTTAAATGAATTAATACAAGTGCTGGCCAGGTGTGGTGGCTCATGCCTGTAATCCCAACATTTTGGGAGGCTGAGGTGGGCAGAACACCCGAGGTCAGGAGTTCGAGACCAGGCTACCCAACATGGTGAAACCCTGTCTCTACTAAAAATATAAAAATTAGGTGGGCATGGTGGTGCACCCCTGTAATCCCAGCTACTCAGGAGGCTGAGGCAGGAGAATTGCTTGAACCTGGGAAGTGGAGGATGCAGTGAGCCGAGATGGTACCACTGCACCCCAGCCTGGGTGACAGAGCAAGACTCTGTCTCAAAAAAAAAAAAAAAATTAGTACAAGTGCTTAGAATGGTGCCCAGCATACATTAAGCTCTCAATGCTATTTGCCATAGTTATCAGTGTTATTGACACTTTGTGTTGAAAACACAGACATTCATCTTGGTATGTGTCCTGGTTATCTACTGCTAAGTAAGAACCACTCTAAAACTTAGTGACTTCAAACAGTACTTTATTATGCTTCATGGTTCTGTGGTTTGACTGGGCTCAGCTGGGTGGCTCTCACTTAGGGTCTCTTGTTTTGGGTCTCATCAGTTGATGGCATGAGAGTTTATGTGATGGCCATGATTGCAAAATACAGTCAGCCACAGTATCACAACACAGAAGAAATTCAGACATCAGGTGGTGGTTAAAACAGAAGACATGAAAGGTCCTATCTAGACTTAGGATGAGATGAGTCTAATTATTCATTGAGTATCTGCTGTGAATCTCTGTGATGCTGGTGCTGTAAGGGATGTGAAACGCAGAACTATCTTCATTCTCACAGACCTTACGATTTATCTAGGGACATATAATTAACATATATAGAACAGTTGAAGAACAGTGGCATGGTAAATTTTTTGTTTTGTTTTGTTTTGATACAGAGTCTCACTCTGTCACCCAGGCTGGAGTGCAGTGGTGCCATCTCGGCTCACTGCAACCTCTCCCTCCCAGGTTCAAGCAATTCTCCTCCCTCAGCCTCCCAAGTAGCTGGGATTACAGGCATGTGCCACCATGCCCAGCTAGTTTTTTTGTGTGTTTTTAGTAGAGGAGGGGGTTTCACCATATTGGCCAGGCTGGTCTCGAACTTCTGACCTTGTGATCTGCCTGCCTCAGCCTCCCAAAGTGCTGGGATTACAGGCGTCAGTCACCACGCCCGGCCCATACTAAATTTTTAGTGCAATAATTTATCAGGGTAGAATTTACTCTTAAATACCTCCTATGGCTTACGTGCCAGAATTCAGTTTGGGGGAGTTCCTTAGAGATGTTCTCATAGAAATCTCTACAGAAGCCCCATAACTTATCATCCACCCTTTCCTCTTCTGTCCTGCATTAGGAAATATGATTCCCTGATTCAGGATCAGCCCCGGGAACTGTCTTACCTACGGCAAAAAATACGAGAAGGGAGAGGTGTTTGTTATCTTCTCACCCAGCATGCAAAAGATACAGTAAAATCTTTTGAGGATCTCTTAAGGAGCAATGACATTGACTACTACCTGGGACAGAGCTTCCGGGAGCAACTGGCCCGGGGAAGCCAGCTGACAGAGAGGCTCACCAGCACACTCAGCACCAGTAAGTTGGCCACAGGGCTTTGGATACTCTCAGTCACCCCACAGTTCCAGCCCCTGGTGGCCACCACATCTCCACTGCAACTTTTTAACGTAGGGTCCTGTTTCTATTTCATTTCCTGGGGCTAATACAGGATCAAGACTGCTCAATGGGGAGCATGGAGAGGAACACACAGGGCTGGAGATGCCATGGTTACAACTCTAGAAACTTCACCACTCATGGAATGTGACCTGTGGGGCAGGGGCGGCATCTCTCTGGTGCTAAGAGGGAGTAGGGGACATGACATGGAAGGGCCTTGTTATAGGAGGAAGAGCCGTGAGCTAACAATTGCAAGACGTCGAGGCGCTGAGGCCAAAGGGTCCGTGAGGAAACAGGCGCAGCTCGCGCCCCTCGGCCTACGGGAGGGAGGGCAAGGAGAGTCCTACGGTTCCTGGGAGGACGAGAAGAGCCAAGAGCCCCGACGGCCGGCGCCGGGGAAAAGGCCCCGAGGCGGGGTCCGCATCCCTGGAAGGGCGGCGTCCACCCTCCTGAGAGGCACGGGGCGCCCAGGGCTCGGACGCTCAAAGCCCGCCGGCTCCTGCAGCTTCTGGGAGCCGAAGAGTGTCAGCCGGGAGGATCCCGCACACGGCGCTTAGTTCTGGAACTGCATACCCAGGGGAGGATGCGGGAGCCCGAAGCCCGGGTATGTGTCCCCGAAGCCCGGGTGTGGGTCCCCATGGTTTTCGTGTTGGGGGTGGGCGCGGAACGCTAAGCCTGGGCCTATTGGGAGCCATAGTCTTCTTGATGGCTGGTGCTTATTGGGCTTTTTTCAGTCGAATTTCGAAATGCAGTTGAATTTCTTACTTTGGAAACGATAATAGAAATGGCTGACCTAAGATTTTCATGATGATATTTTGCCTTTTTTGGTGTATATGCAGTTTCTGTGGTGTAGTGGTTATTATGTTCGCTTCACATATGAAAGGTCTTTGGTTCGAGACTGCGTGGGAACATCGTGTTTTGTTTTGTTTTTTTGTCCCTAAATTTAGTGAGTTTAATCGAGGTTGGGAAACAAACAGAAAAGTAGTTGAACCTGTGGCTACACTTTAGACCTCCTCAATCTAGACAGATCGTTGACCAGGCTACAGTTTCCACTGGTCTGCCAGCAAGAGGCCTGCTTAATATTAGCTTTGGTTCCAGAAATTCCTTCAGGTTCTCTTCATTCTCTTCTATCGCCTGTATTTTCACAGGCTGACACTGAAAGTGGATGACATCTTAGTGCATTTCCTAAGGGTCCCGCTTGGCTTCGCTTTACTCTGGTAAGTTGCAGATCTGGCTGATTTGCAAGACAACAAAAACAAAATATTTTTTAAAAAGGTTCTAAATCTGCATCTGGAAGTCATAGAGTCAATATTCCTAAATCACATGAATTATGTGTATACATTTGCATGCATACCCCTTCCCCAAATAATCCTCAGAAAACCGGTTAAGTTTTAGCATCTGTGACTCTGAGATGCATATGAGGCCTTTGTAAATTTAGAAGTTAAGAGTAGAAAGTACAGGTTTGTATTTTAGAAGGAGATTTGGGAATAAATATAGCTCTGGTGGATATAGATCATATGTTAAGGTTTGTTGGCCAGAGCTGGTTTGTGTCTTGGGTGTTGGGCAAAGAACAGAGAACAGCCAAAGCTCTGCGAGGTCAATGTGAAGGGTGATTTCCTTGGTGGGCTCAAGTTTATGACGCAGCCTGGACCTAGCTTGGCTTCTCAGCTAGAGAAGAAGCATGATTCCATGTCACAGCTCCTGTCTTTGAAAAAGTCATAATGACTCCCAGACCCAACATATGGAGAAAACTCTGGATTTGTCTCTTCAGTTGAATGTTTCCAGAGAAAATTGAGGAAAGAAATCTCTCTACTATTTGAACTTCATCAAAAGACTAATATGCTAATATTTGACCGTCAATATTTCCTTAAACTAGTCTACTCCTTACATAGCTAATACATCAAAGCATATTAACTTAGGAAATGGGATTCTCCCAAACAATGAAACATTGACGGCAAGCGTTCTTCATCTTTTCATATCACATTTCCTTCAAATGCTTTATACATCTTCAAGCAGACAAATAATAGTATTATAATGATTACGAGACTGATCGTTACTCTTTTGCCAAAAAAACCAGCGACAAAAGACTAACTTAGTGGACCAACCTTTATTTCTTCATTTTCTCTACCTTGGTTCTGTCCTTTTATTTCCTCTTTCTTCTAATTCTGCTTCTGCTACTGATTTCCTCCCTGGATTTGAACTTTACTTACCTAAACTACCAGTTAGGTTACCTTCTTAGAACCTCTAAGGCAGCAGTTTGAGGTTGACGATGGAAGATTTAGGATTAGAAAAAAGAAACGTGAATGAATTTCTGATGTTTTATTATAGGGGTTTGTAATGCAGGTAGAAAGAAGGACCTTTTTCAGAGTTAAGAGTTTGATCCGACAAATGAGCTATTTTGATATTTATAACGTTGTCTAGTAAAAGTTTCCTGTAAAAACACATTTGGTTTGGATGTCTTTGTTAGCTTTTAGTCGACACTTGAAAAAACCGCTTGGAACGGTTTCTAAGTCTTTGTGGATACTCTTTTCTGTTATCCTCCAGGCGGTAGTTACGCAGAGGCATTGGTGGTTCAGTGGTAGAATTCTCGCCTCCCACGCGGGAGACCCGGGTTCAATTCCCGGCCAATGCAAAAGGGTCTTTTTCACCCCGCTGTTGCTCTTTATCTGTCTTTTACGCTGAAAATCATACTGCATAACCTAATAGTGCATTTAGGGGCTTGGCCACCACAAGGTAAAGTGACGACAACACTCACGAAAGTAGCGGCAGGAGACTAACTCAGGACCCCATGCAGTTGTTGGACTCAAACAGCTTAGCAAGCTGACAAGCATGAAGTGTTTCCGGTGAGTCACTGCAGTTTTCATACTGGTACCTGTGACTTTCATCTATTCACTGGAAGGATCCCTGCAAACCCGAAGAACCATCAGGTTCCTGATTCGCGTGCTGGACCTTGGGCTTACCGTTGAGCCACTATGGAGAGGATCAAGAAATGACGCTCTTGGAAGGAGAGAAGCTGCGGGCAGGACAGTCACCTCAGAGGTCCAAGAGGCGTCAGCGGCCCAAAGAAAGGGGTGGTGTGTGGGCAAGAGTCTGCGTGGAGATGAGGGGAGCGGCGGAGACTGGTCCTTGCGCAGAGGTGGCCAGTAGACCCTCAGGGCTGTACCCCAGACACCGTGAACCGAATTTGCTAACATCGTCAGCGACCGCGGCCTCCGCGTGTTTTGTGGGCCCATCGGTGTTCCCCGAGAAATTCCGTGTGTCTGGCAATGTGTGTCAACAGGTGTTGGCCTGAAATTTGGCCGGGCACGGTGGCTCACGCCTGTAATCCCAGCGCTTTGTGAGGCCGAGGCGGATGGATCGCTTGAGGTCAAGAGTTCAAGACCAGCCTGGCTAACATGGAGAAATCCCGTCTCTACTAAAAATACAAAAATTAGCCAAATGTGGTGGCATGCACCTGCTATTCCGGCTACTTGGGAGGCTGAGGCAGGAGAATCGCTTGAACTCAGGAGGCGGAGGTTGCAGTGAGCCAAGATCGCGCTACTGCAGTCCAGCCTGGGCGACAGAGCGAGACTCCGTCAAAAAAAAAAAGAAAAAAAAAAAAGGAGCGAAAGAAGGCAGAGATGTCAATGGGACAAAGAGACCTCCCAGGAGGCTTGTTGTAGAGGCAGTGGCCGGATCCTGAGAGATGAGATTTTTTATTTAATTATGTAGCAGAATGGGGAGAGAAAGGGAGAAGCGCATGAAAGACAGAAAAGCACGAAAATCTGCGGACGTCCAAGAATAAAGCAGATAAAATAGTGTGAGTGTTTTTACATTCAAAAAATAGAAGAAGTGCAATGCTTGTCAGCAGGCTTTGTGGTCGTGTAGTGGTTAATACTTGTAGTTGTGGTTGCCACAACCTGGGTTCTAATCTGAGTCACAGTAGTGTTTTCTAGCCTGCGATTGTGGCTAATAGACCTGTCGTTTGCTTTGCCTTTAATCCTAGCAGCCTCCAGAGAGCAGAGTAAACCTCTGGCCCCGAAGGGCGCCAGCTTCTGGAGTTTAGCCCACAGCGCAGAAACTAGGGGGCGGCCTGGCCGATAGGAAAACTTGGACATGCTCTTTGTCTCACAATTGAGCAGGAAAAATTCCCGTAGGTGAAGATGCTGCCTCTCAAGGGCCCTTTGTCTGTAGCTTCCACTGATGAAATAATGCGGTTATAGTCTTTTCTGGTAGAGAAAACGGCTGTATCAGTGGAATTTTTTAAAAACACAAAACGAGAACGAGTTTTTAATGAGCTGACAATAAAATCTAAACTAGTTGTCATGGTCTGCACCGGCTTGCCTCCATTCCCCATCTGCTAATTTTTATGAGAACAGTAAATTATTACTATTATCATTATTTTTGAGACGTAGTCTTGTTCTGTCACCCAGGCTGGAGTGTCATGGCTCAATCTCGGCTCACTGCAACCTCTGTCTCCCAGGTTCAAGCAATGAGAACAGTAAAGAAACTACAGTTCACATAAAGTGCACAAATCTTTAGTGCAATTTGTTTAGTTTTGATCAATGTTATCACCACCCAGCTCAAGTTATAGAAAATTGCCATCATCTGAGAAAGGCCTGTTAGAGCCCCTGTCCAGGTGATTCCCACCCTGTGTCCTCTTAGTTATCACTATTCTGATGTCTATTCCCACAGGTTACAATTGCCTGTTCTTAAAGTTCACATGAGTGAATGTACATGTTTTGTGTCTGGCCTTTTTTCTGCAGTTACATTCATTATACTCATGAGATATATCCATGTAGTTTCATAGATCACTTCTCAATTTTGGGGTTATTGATTTCTTGTGCTGAATATTCTTATAACAGTCTTTGTGTGCACTTGAGATTCATGGAAGTCCTTCAATTGCTGGGTCATGACCTGAGTATAAGTTTAACATCAGTATAAATTGCCAGTCTTCTAGAATGTTTTTTCACCAGCGATGACAGTTGAAGTGGCACCAAATTCTTGTCAGCATTTGGTGTACGAACTTTGTTAAATGTAGCTATGCTCTCAGACCAATCTGGCCAACATGGCGAAACCCTGTCTCTACTCAAAATACAAAAATTAGCCGGGCATGGTGGCATGCACCTGTAGTCCCAGCTACTCCGGAGGGGGATGTTGCAGTGAGTCAAGATCACAGCATTGCACTCCAGCTTGGGTGACAGAATGAGACCCTGTCTCAGAAAAAAAAAAAAAAAAAGTAGCCATACACTGGTGAGTAGTTAGTGCTATCTCAGTGTGGAATTAATTTGTATTTGCCTAATGAGCAATCCTATGAAGCATACTTTCTTGTGGCTTCCAGCATATAAGAAACTCTCCTTTGCAAAGGCCTATTCAAATATTTTGCCCTATTTTATTTGGCTTAGCTCTATATTACTGATTTACAAAAGTTCTCTTGTATATTCAAGAATTGAGTCTTTTTTTTTGACTTTTTTTATTATACTTTAAGTTTTAGGGTACATGTGCACAACGTGCAGGTTTGTTACATATGTATACATGTGCCATGTTGATGTGCTGCACCCATTAACTCGTCACTTACATTAGGTATATCTCCTGATGCTATCCCTCCCCCCTCCCCCCACCCCACAACAGGCCCTGGTGTGTGATGTTCCCCTTCCTGTGTCCAAGTGTTCTCATTGTTCAATTCCCACCTATGAGTGAGAACATGCAGTTCTTGGTTTTTTGTCCTTGCGATAGTTTGCTGAGAACGATGGTTTCCAGCTTCATCCATGTCCCTACAAAGGACATGAACTCATCAATTTTTATGGCTGCATAGTATTCCATGGTGTATATGTGCCACATTTTCTTCATCTAGTCTATCATTGTTGGACATTTGGGTTGGTTCCAAGTCTATGCTATTGTGAATAGTGCCGCAATAAACATACGTGTGCATGTGTCTTTATAGCAGCATGATTTATAATCCTTTGGCATTTATAATCATTTATAATAATCATTTATTTATAATCATATAAATCAAATAAATATATAATTTATTTATAATCATTTGGCTTTTAGCAGCATGATTTATATACCCAGTAATGGGATGGCTGGGTCAAATGGTATTTCTAGTTCTAGATCCCTGAGGAATCACCATACTGACTTCCACAACGGTTGAACTAGTTTACAGTCCCACCAACAGTGTAAAAGTGTTCCTATTTCTCCACATCCTCTCCAGCACCTGTTGCTTCCTGACTTTTTGATGATCGCCATTCTAACTGGTGTGAGATGGTATCTCATTGTGGTTTTGATTTGCATTTCCCTGATGGCCGCTGATGATGAGGATTTTTTCATGTGTCTTTTGGCTGCATAAATGTCTTCTGAGAAGTGTCTGTTCATATCCTTCGCCCACTTGTTGATGGGGTTCTTTGTTGTTTTCTTGCAAATTTGTTTGTGTTCTTTGTAGATTCTGATGAATCTACAGATGAGTAGATTGCAAAAATTTTCTCCCATTCTGTAGGTTGCCTGTTCACTGTGATGATAGTTTCTTTTGCTGCACAGAAGCTCTTAAGTTTAATTAGATCCCATTTGTCAATTTTGGCTTTTGTTGCCATTGCTTTTGCTCTTTTAGACATGAAGTCCTTGCCCATGCCTATGTCCTGAATGGTATTGCCTAGGTTTTCTTCTAGGCTTTTTATGGTTTTAGGTCTGACATTTAAGTCTTTAATCCATCTTGAATTAATTTTTGTATAAGGTGTAAGGAAAGGATCCAGTTTCAGCTTTCAACATATGGCTAGCCAGTTTTCCCAGCACCATTTATTAAATAGGGAATCCTTTCCCCATTTCTTGTTTTTGTCAGGTTTGTCAAAGATCAGATAGTTGTAGATGTGTGGCATTATTTCTGAGGGCTCTGTTCTCCTCCATTGGTCTATATCTCTGTTTTGGTACCAGTACCATGCTGTTTTGGTTACTGTAGCCTTGTAGTATAGTTTGAAGTCAGGTAGCGTGATGCCTCCAGCTTTGTTCTTTTGGCTTAGGATTGACATGGCAATGCGGGCTCTTTTTTGGTTCCATATGAACTTTAAAGTAGTTTTTTCCAATTCTGTGAAGAAAGTCATTGGTAGCTTGATGGGGATGGCATGGAATCTATAAATTACCTTGGGCAGTATGACCATTTTCCCGATAGTGATTCTTCCTACCCATGAGCGTGGAATGTTCTTCCATTTGTTTGTATCCTCTTTTATTTTGTTGAGCAGTGTTTTGTAGTTCTCCTTGAAGAGGTCCTTCACATCCCTTGTAAGTTGGATTCCTAGGTATTTTATTCTCTTTGAAGCAATTGTGAATGGGAGTTCCCTCATGATTTGGCTCTCTGTTTGTCTGTTATTGGTGTATAAGAATGCTTGTGATCTTTGCACAAGAATTTTGTATGCTGAGGAGTCATTTTTAAAATAAATATATTGCAAATGAATTTTCCCAGTCAGTGAAAAGTCTGACTGAAAGCTGTCAACTGAAAAATCACACAATTTATAAATTTAGAAGGGAGATTTTATTTTTTATAAATGGTTACAGCCTGCAAGGTGGCCATTCCCACAGACTGGGAGGCATACCCTCCTGCTGAAACCGAAAAGTAGGTTTCCAGGGAGGGGAGGGGGGAACAGGGATTTATGTTGATCTGGTGGGCCACATATGCATATTCAACAGGGAATAGGAGGAGCTCTGAATATTCATGAAGGGATCGTGCTGCATGCATGCTGAGTAAACAAGCCTGTTACATGCAACCCATGTTCACTTTGGGGTGGAGATGACATTTAAATACATTATAATTAGTCCCTATGCTTCAAAAGGGGAAGCAGGGACACAAAGGCAGTCAAGTGCACAGCCTCTGTAAACCGTCCAGAACCCGTCCACAGCCAGTGCTCTCTTATCAAGGGGAAGTTACTGAAATCAGTCTCTTGTCCAATCAAAGCTGTAGTTATGGCTTGTGTAGGGAGGGCTCAGTCAGTTTATGGTAATGGGTGAGCTGCAAGTGCTTCAGCATTGCTTATCTCAAGGCCAGTGCTTGTTTAGCTAGAGAAAAAAAGGAAGAAGAAAAAAACCTGTGGCAATTGGAACATAGTTTATTCTTTAAGTTGAGGGGTGCATGACTCCACCTTGCCTGGCGTGGCCTTAGGTCTCGTTTATCATACCATATCTTACTACTGCAAGGAGTCTGTTCTGTCAGTCTTAGGATCTCTATTTTAACAATAATGCTGGTCAGTTGTGTCTAAACCACAAAGGGAGAGAGTATAAGGAGAGGTGTCTGAGCTTCCAAGTACTGGCCAGGAACTCAGTATTTAAGACTTCTCTGGGGTCTCCTTGGCAAAGAAGCCATCTGTCCAGCTAGTTCGGTGGCTTCAGATTTTAATTTTAGTTCTGAAAGCATTTAATTTGATGAAATTTTGCCATATTTTTTCTTTATTTTTAAAGCCCGTCATGTTCTATAAAAATCTTTCTACTCAGGATGTGAATGGATTCTCTTAATTTTATCTCTCTATGAGTTCCAGAGTTTCAGTTTTAATTTTTAAATTGATGACATCTAAAATTCTACTCCTAACCAAAACATTTTTGGGGGTGACTAAGGACAACTCCAAAAATCTTCCATAAATGGAAGTAAGACTTACTCCTTAAAGAACTTTCTGGGATCCTGAGCTGCGGGGCACAGTGGCTTTAGTGCACCTCTGCTCTTAAGACTATTCAGAAATTGTCTTTGTGAACCCATCAGGCTGTTTCAAAATCAGCAATTTAGGGCTTGCTTGCAACACGCAGTTAAGCAGCAGCTGTTTTTTGGATCTCATGAGTGCCTGCATGCATACTTCCCTGGGAATTTTCTAAATTTGAATTCTCATGGTATTTCAAGTGGCATAGTTGTCTCTTTCTTTTGCCTACAGCCACATACATACCACCAAATCCTGCACTCCAAGCTTCTCCTTCCTCACCCTGAACTCCCAACCTCCAGTTAGACAATCCACATCTTCCCACACCTGCCTCAGGCTCCATCAGGCCACTGTGCCTCCCGCAGCAACCAGGCCAGGGGGAATCTGGATTCCTATTACACTTCTGAGGAAGGTGATCAGGGGGCGTGGAGGATGTGGGTGGGAAGGGGTGAGATTGAGGGCAGGAGTACACTGTGGTCTTCTGTCTTCTACCTCATTGGCCCAGGTGCTGCTCTTCCTCCGGTTGTCTGCTTTCAGCCCTGTGTAGGGAATCAGGTCTGCGCCCTCATCTTCCTGACTCTCATTTTCTGAGGAACCTGAATGGATGAGCCGTCGCTCTTGTCCCACACATTCTGTCCAAAGGTGCCCTCCTCTCTACTTGCTCCGGTGCCTGCTCTCTGAGCTCTGACACTCAGGCTGGGATGCCGCCCAGTACAGAAGCTCTGCAGCCCTGCAGGGCTCTGACTGTTCCACACCAGCAGGATAAAGGCCACAGGGCATGCTGTGGTCGAAAAGCATTCAGAGGTGTGGGCTGAAGGCCTCTCTTTCCACAGTCCCTTTGAACACCCCATGGAAGTCAGCACCCCTTTGAGGAACGAGGTGGCCCAAGGCCTGGCTTCACATGCAGGCCGTTGGGTCCCAGTGGGTCCTCTCTGTGCCTGGTATAGCCAACGGCTTCATGCATCTTACCCGGTTTCCTCTCCTCCACCACCCAAGCTCCTCCTTGACCCCCTTGCTCAGCTGTTCTCAGGACAGCAAGATCCCCAGCCCTTGGAAAAGCCCATCTCCAGTGCTTGGGGAGGGAGTTGGGTTCAGGTCGTCTAACCACAGAAGGACAGAGAACTTGAGGCAGGAGGAAATCCCTTCCCTTGCTGGGTCTCTTGGCACAGCCCATCCAGGGGTCTGGGTCAGGGTCCAGGTATACTCTACCCTCCTATAGGACCTGGATTTTTAGGCCCCCGAGGTTGGTCAACGTGGAGTCTTTCCCACTGTTCACCTGGGAACTGAAGGAATATCCCATGGGGCCCTCTCTTACTCATTAGAGACACCCAGAAAATACTCCATTCAGCAGAAACTGCGTGCAGTGTACCAGACCACTATAATTATAACTGCAGGGTGTGGAGGTCAGACACGTTTTGTGGCTATTTTCTCTCTGTCTGTGACTTGCTTGCCTTTTCACTTTCTTAGTGGTATCTTTTGATGAGAAGGTGTGGCTAATGTTGATGAAGTCTCATTTATCATGTCTTTCTTATATATGTATTTTTTGTGTCCTGCTTGTTGGTAGGGTGATCTTTGCCTACCAACAAGTCACAAACTATCCTTGAAATGCTTTATATCTTTAACTTTTACGTTTTGGTGTGTAATGTACCTGAAATTACTTTTGTGTGTAGTGTGAGGGAGAATAACATTGTTGGTCTCCCCACATTCATATAAAAGTCCATTAATTGAAATGATTTATTTTCTTTTATTGAACTGCTTTTATTGAAAACCCATTTATTGACCGTATAGCTGTGGATCAGTTTCAAGTCTCTTAACTCAGTCTGTTTATCTATTTGTCACTCCTGATGCCTCGTCTGTAATAGCTTATAGTAAACCTTAAAGTCAGATAGTACAAGTCCTTGTTCTTTTTTACACATTGCAATAATTTTTGAAATAGGTAATAACTCATAAAACCATCACACACATCAGGATATGCTGTCACTTCATCCCTTTCTGACATGGTTTGGCCGTGCCCTCACCCAAATCTCAACTTGAATTGTATCTCCCAGAATTCCCATGTGTTGTGGGAGGGACCTAGGAGGAGGTAATTGAATCATGGGGGCGGGTCTTTCCTGTGCTATTCTCCTGATAGTGAATAAGTCTCACTATCTGCTGGGTTTCTCAGGGGTTTCTGCTTTGGCTTCTTCCTCATTTTCTCTTGCTGCTGCCTTGTAAGAAGTGCCTTTTGCCTCCCGCCATGATTCTGAGGCCTCCCCAGTCATATGGAAATGTAAGTCCAATTAAACCTCTTTTTCGTCCCGGACTATGTTATGTATTTGTCAGCAGCGTGAAAACGGACTAATACACTCTCATTTCTGAGTGGGACACATGCTGTCACTCACATATGCTGGTTGCTGACTTGTGACGGAAGATTCTCTATTGTACCCTCTGGGGACAATACATCTCCAGTTGCCTGCGGGGAGGATGAACATGCAAAAAATCCACAACACTCAGCACAGAGTCTGGATTTAGTCCCATTAGTCTGAATGGGACTAATGCCCTTATAAAAGGGACCTCGGGGAGCTCTCTCGCCCTCTTTCTGCCCCCTGAGGATACAATGAGGAGGTGGCAGTCTACAACCAGAACAAAAGGCCCTCACCATAAACCTACCATGTCGGCACCTTGATCTCGGACTTCCAACCTCCGGAACTGTGAGAAATCAATTTCTGTTGTGAATCAGCCACCCAGTTTATGTATGGTACAGTGTTAGAGAAGCCCGAACTAAGACACAGATGGAATCCCATGGAGAGTCTCTAATTTGCTAAGCTGGTCATCAGGCAGGATGTTGCCAGTTAGAAACAGGAAAAGCTGACATTTTGTGTATATGAAAGAAGATAGTGGACAGGCCCATTGTGTCGGCTTTGTCTGCCTTGGCAAACTGGAGACGGAAACTCGATTCACCATCGCCAGCCACGGGAGGACTGGGAGGACCTCCAGAGGAGGTTAGGTTGACTTCATGGTAACTTTAGATCCTGAAACCTCCCAGGATATTTCTTGTCTTCCCTTTGATCGCTCTTCCGCCTACCCAACAGGACAGGACTCGACGCCTTTCTTTCCTGGCAGCAAGAGGTCCGTTGCGGACAAGACCAAAGTGAGCAGCTGGTTTCCCCTACGTGTCCTTCCGGGCCTGGGCGTCTCTGGAGCTCAGGCTGACCCGAGACCTGACTCCCGGCCAGTGGGACCAGCAGGAGCCTGGAAGAGCGCGCCCACCGGGGTGGAGGTTGGTCGCCGGGGGTCGAGAACCGCAGTCAAACCCTCTTCTTCCCCGGGCACCGCGCACCTGCCCCCGGGGATGCCGAAGGAAGTGGCCCATAAAGCTTCTCTGCAACCGAAAGAGGCCTGAAGCTCCAGGAGGGCCGAGAGGAGCCTCGTTGAGCGAACCCAGCCCTCTGCCTGGCTGGCCCTGGTCAACAGGCTCGGAAGAGGCTGATTTGGAGGACAGAACGGAAGAAAAGACCTAAAGGTTTCGAATCTCATGATGTAGAGATGTTAAAAGCCTCCAATCCTAAGGTCTGACTGTGCGGGGGAGCGAGGGGGTCTCAAGCTGGATGGACCCCTGAGCCTTCATCTGGAGAGTCCTCTGCACAAGCTCAGACAGCAGGACAACGCGCATCAGTGGTTCTCAAGAGGGGGCAACTTCGCCCTTACACGCCTCTCACCTCCACGCTGGGACACTAGGTCACGAATGGGGGAAGCGGGGAGGGAGAATGCTAACCCCCTGGCATGTATCTAGTCAGCAGAGGCGACGGCTGCTGCTAAACACCTTACAATCCACGGGAGGGCCCCTCCCCTACCCCGAAGTAGCCATTCCGCAGAGGTGGAGAGACTCTCGTGTAGCTCAATGCCCACGCACTTAGCCGATGGGAAATTACGAATTGATGACCAGTTGGCTCTTGGATCTGAGGAAAAAACTCCAGAGTCAGAGGGAACTCTCGAAGTTTTGCCCGGAGCAAACGGAAGGGTGGCGTTGCCATCGCCTAAGATGGGAAAATGGCAGGTGTCACAGGTTGCAGGGGAAGGTCGGAGACCAGCTGAGGGCCCCGGAGCCTTCCTGGAAAGAGTTTCCCATCCAGCCCGTCTCGGTTTCCGCATCCGTCTGATTCCTTATGATGTTGAGGGTGCTGGCGTCTGGGTCCTTTATGATGCTGAGGGTGCCCCCGTCTCACCCTGGGCGCCTCCGCGCTCCCGCCTCCTCCTGGCAACCTGGTGCGCGGCTCCGGACCTGGCGACCCACGACCGGCTGGTCACTTGCTGCCACCTCGCAAAGGCGCATCTCTAGTTCAGTGGTGAGCTGCGGCCGGGTCGCTGCAACTCGCTCCAGGCCTCCGGACTCGTGGCCTCGGTGTCCCTCGCGGAGCCCTCGGTGTGTCGCTTGCAGGCTCTTTTTTTGAAGAAAGCAGGGAGGGAATGGCCTTGTGAGAGACTCCAGGAGCAAAGAGCGACCCTCACAAGGCCCAAGTCCTCCCAGAGCTCAGGGAAGCTGTCGCTTCTGACAGAAGAAGGGAGAGAAAGCTCCCTCCTGTGTGTCCCTGGTGGTCTAGTGGCTAGGATTCGGCGCTTTCACCGCCGCGCCCCGGGTTCGATTCCCGGCCAGGGAATTGTTTTACACTGGCCGCCCTCCCGCAGGAATCTTCCTTCACTACGCTGTCAGCCGGCCTGCTCCAAGGGCCAGAAGCAGAACAGTCTCCGCAGCGGGGTTAAAGCCGGGCGAAGGAGGGCAAGTGCTGGTGGACCACCTCTCACGACACACCGTTCCTGTTTATCTCAGTGTCCGTCATCCGCGGGAGCAGCTTTAGAGAGCGACTGAGCGTCTCGCTCCGGTGTACACAGCCCGGCAAAGATGCCAGCCCCCGTGGAGCTGCACCCAATAAGCCCACCTTCTTTCCCGTCGCCACCCCGGAGACGCCCATCGGGCTGAGCTGCGAATAACTAAGAGAGAGGCCAAGCCAAGTCGTGGCGTTTGTGGCAGCCCCGGACACGGGCACCAGCCAGTCAGCGGAGCCTCCTCACCTCCGTTGCCAGCGAAGGCGCTCGTTAGGCCTTGGGAAGAGGCGACCGGAGGCGATGCCCGCGAATTTGTTAGGGGGGTAAGCGGCGGGTGAGGTCCTCGAGGGCGGTCCCGTTTGCTGATTGAGCGGTAGACGGAGGCGATGTTCGCTGACCCAACAAGGACAGCAGGTGGAGTAGGCACAGATGGAAAACTGCTGCCGGTGCCCTAAGCAGAAGGCAGGTGGAAAAATCAGCACTAGGATGTCGAAGCGATGGTACCACAGTCAAATCCCACGACGTCTACACTCTACCAAGCACTTGCGCACGCTCCCCCTTTTCCATTCAGTACTCCCAAGAGGGGTTCGGAAGAACCCCGAGTCCACTGTAAGCTCAGGGGAGAGCGGGAGCCAGGGAGGTGAAGTGCGCAGACTCGGCAGAGGCGGCGGGCAGAACCGCGGGGGGGTGAGAGGGCGCGGTGGCTGCGGGGCGGGAGCCGCTGCTGAGAGGCGGCCTGGGTTGTCTTGTGGGGTGACTGTCGGTGGAATCTTTGGTGGAGAGTGGTTTGGAAGAATGGCGAGGGGCGGCAGTGGGGAGGGTGGTGACCCTGAGCGACCGGCCAGGGCGAGGAGGCTGTGCTGTCCCTGCAGGCCATGTGCTCATTTCCACTTACCTGGCAGGGGAGAGACCGTGGTCACGAAGGGGGTTCTCCCAGAGTGAAGCTTCTTCATCTCACTCTAGAGTTGCTGATCCCTGTGATTTCCTCCATGTGGGAAACGGTGTTTGTGCTAGAAGAGGCTGCGCTCTTTACCTGACATAACGGGGTTCAAGACTGACAACGCCTCACGCCCACCCGAAAACGTTTACATGGCTTCCTTGTCTCTTTTTTTTTCTGTCCTAAAGTCGCCTCATCTTCACATCCCCTCTTTTTTTTCTTCCACACTCGAGAGTGTCTCTCTCTCTCAGTAAAAGCTCCACCAAATATTTGAAATATCTCAACCAGAAAGACTGCAATAAATACATTATTTCATTCGTGGAAGGTATAGACCAGCTAGATTGAGAGTTGCTTGATATTTTCTGCTAAACGGTGAGGCATAGAGCACTTGGAAGGTTTCTCTTTGGGCCACTGTTTGTGTACTCTTGGGTTTCCTTCTTTTCCCCAGACAGTATGGCGCTGTGGGGCCAGGGGTAAACCCTGCTTTCCGGCTTTCTGGCTGCAGATAAAGGCCTCAGCTGGTGCAGGAATCAAAAGCAAACCAAAAGACACGTGGGTTCGCCCCAGTGGGTCCAAGATAGAGTCTGACTGTACCAGGATTCCGATTAGAACAGAGGTTGCTGCAGGCACAACGCAGACTACTAACCACTAGAGAATCCCAAGGCGCCCCACACCTACTGCCCGTCGTTTTGCTTCCCCACCCCTCTATTATTTATTTGTATATTTTTTTGAGAGACAGAATTTCGCTTTGTCGCCCAGGCTGGAGGGCAGCGGCACGATCTCGGCTCACTGCTACCTCCGCCTCTTAGGTTCAAGCGATTCTCCTGCCTCAGCCTCCTAAGTAGCTGAGACTACAAACGTGCACCACCACGCCCAGCTAATTTTTGTATTTGTGGTAGAGACGAGCTTTCACCATGTTGGCCCGGCTGGTCTCGAACTCCTGACTTCAAGTGAGTGATCCACCCACCTCGGCCTCCCAAAGTGCTGGGATTACAGGCGTGAGCCACCGCCCCTGGTCCCCCGATTTTTTTTATTAATGCAAAAACATTATGCGATTTTTACTTCTTTATTCTTGGGCAGCTACAGGTTCTTGTGATTTTCTCTCACATCTTCTCCCCATTTCCCCCTCTCCATTCTGATACATGTCCCATCTTCTCTGCATCCAGCCGGTGCCCTCTGCACGGGCATCCTGGGCTGTCCCATTGTCTAGTCCTGGTCTCCCCTGCTTCTCCCTCCTCCTTGTCACGTTTTCCCTTTTGACTCCCCTGCCTCTTTCCCGCTCCCGCCCCACCGACCCCATCTACTGAAGCCGAGTTGAGTGAAGGGAGAGCAAGCGGAACAGATGATTGCCTGAAGGCGGCGCAAAAGAACAGAAAGAGCTACCATGAGAGCCGTCGGGGAGTTCAGCTTCCCTTGGGCCCTACTTGGCTCAGGCTGGGGTCGCAGATCCAGGCATTTCCAGAGGCACTGGCTTCTGAAGCAGGCGAGGGTGAACGCAGGGTGAAGGCCATTCGGCCGCCCTTCTGGCTTCAGAGTCACGCAATGCACGCGTTTCTAACGTGCAGCAAGACGATTAGTCGACTCAGCCTCTCCGGTTTTCTGAAGCTTTGTAGTCTGCACAGTTGTCCCGCAGAAAGCGAATGGCAACTCCTAGGGTTTAGTGATTGCTTAATCTATATAGAGATGAAAGCAAGCGATTGAGGTTGTCTCTGTGGTGCAATCGGTTAGCGCGTTCGGCTGTTAACCATAAGGTTGGTGGTTAGAGACCACCCAGGGACGTGATTTTAAATGTTGGTTGTGACCAGGCGCAGTGCCTCACGTCTATTAATCCCAACGCTTTGATAGGCTGAAGTAGGGGAAGCCTCCACGGAGCTCAGAAGTTCAAGACCAGTGAGAATCCCACCTCATTTAAAAAAAAAAAAATGCAGTTGTATCTATCTCCTCAGACCCTTCAATGTATTTAAAAGTGAAAGACTGTTCCCTTGTGTCTTGTGCATCCCATGAGGACAGACAGCAGAAGGTCCCCCTCCAAGCCTCCTAGAAAATGAGATCTCTGCAGAACAAACTAGCTTGTATGTACGGGAAACGGAAAGTATTTGAAGAAACAAACTTCAAAAATTCTGCCTTGCTTTCCACAAAAATTAACCCATCACAGTCTGCCTTCAAGTGGCATCATACCTCTTCCCATGACTCCTCCCCCTGCCTTTATGCTATTGTCATGCATTTTACTTTACACCTGTTATAAACCTTACAATCCATCTCTATTACTTTTGTTTCAAGAGTCAGATGTGTTTTTGTTTGTTTGTTTATTTTTGTTTTTTTGTTGCTGGTGGTGGTGTTTTTAAGACGAGTCTCACTCTATCGGACAGGCTGGAGTGCAGTGGCACAGTCTTGGCTCACTGCAACCTCTGCTTTCCGGGTTCAAGCGATTCTCCTGACTCAGACTCCTGAGTAGCAGAGACTACAGGCTTGGGCCACCATATCGGACTAATTTCTGAATTTTTAGTAGAGAGGAAGGTTCACCATATTGGCCAGGATGGTCTCAAACTCCTGACCTCAAGTGATCCACCTTCCTTGAATCCCAAAGTGCTGGGATTCCAGGCGTGAGCCATCGTGCCCGGCTAAACAGTCAGATGTTAAAATTATATATTTGCCTATGTACATGTCATTTCTAGTGTCTTTTTTTTTTCATCCAGATTTTCATCTGGTGTCAGTTTCCTTCTGCCTGGAGGACTCCTTTAACTTGTCTATTAGGTGTCTTAAACTTGCACTGTCATTCACTGATGCTCTGTTCATTTAAAAAAAAACTTGTTGGCCGGGTGCGGTGGCTCACGCCTGTAATGCCAGCACTTTGCGAGGCCGAGGTGGTAGATCAGGAGGTCAGGAGATCGAGACCATCCTGGCTAACACGGTGAAACCCCGTCTCTACTAAAAATACAAAAAAATTAGCTGGCTGTGGTGGCGGGCGCCTGTAGTCCCAGCTACTCAGGAGGCTGAGGCGGGAGAATGGTGTGAACCCAGGAGGCGGAGCTTGGAACCTGTCAAAAGGCATTCTTAGCCTTAAAAGAAAAGCCAGGGACATCCCTTGCCTCAGGACTCTCGAACTTAGAAAAACCTTTCACCCTCTATGTGGATGAATAACAAGGGACAGCTTCAAATGTTCTAATTCAAAGGCTGAGGAATTGCTTTGGACCAGTGGCTTATTTCTCTAAACAGCTAGACCAGGTGGCAGCTAGGTGACTAGGAAGCTTGAGATCTGTGGCTACCATCACTTTATTGTTAGAAGAAACCAGTAAGTTTACCTTGGGACAAAAATTACATGCCATACCACCCCACCCCCACCCCCTGCCACCCCATGAAGTACAGTACAGAGGGTCCTAGAGGCAAAAGTACACCAATGGCTAACAGGGAGCCAGTTACTTAAATATCAGACCCTTCTGCTTGACACCCCAGATGTTACCCTGAAAGTATCCTGATTTTGAAACCCTGCTACTCTGTTGCTGCACCTCACATCTCAAGAAACAGATCCCAAACTCATTGACTCCTGTGTGGAAACCACGGAAGAGCTCTACTCTAGAAGGCCCAACCTTGAAGACAAGCTCTTGTCTAACCCAAATGTTGAGTGGTTTAGAGATGGAAATAGCTATATTCATGAGGGAGTAAGAAAGGAAGCTTAGCCAACAAGAAGTCATTGAGGTCAAGGGTTTACCTTCTCAGACTTCTGTTCAAAAAGCAGAATTAGCTGCTCTAATTAGGGCCTTCCAACCATGAAAAGACTTAAGCTGGACACGGTGGCTCACGCCTGTAATCCCAGCACTTTGGGAGGCCAAGGTGGGTGGATCACCTGAGGTTGGGAGTTCGAGACCGGCCTAGCCAACATGGCGAAACCCCGTCTCTACTAAAAATACAAAAATTAGCCGGGTGTGGTGGGGGGCGCCTGTAATCCCAGCTACTTGGGAGGCTGGGGCATGAGAATCCCTGAGTTTGCAGTGAGCTGAGATTGCAGTGAGCTGAGATCATGCCACTGCACTCCAGCCTGGGCGACACAGCAAGACTCCGTTTCAAAAAAAGAAGAAGAAAACCAAAACCTCAAGAGTCAATGTGTTGACTGACTCTAAATATGGGTTCCTGGTGCTCCATGCTCATGCAGCCATAGGGAAGGAAAGGGGACTATCAAGAGCCAAGGGATCCCCCACACAACTTTACTCAGATCTTGGAACTTTTAGATGCTGTCCAACTCCCAAAGAAATAACAATTACTCACTGCAGGGGACACCAGAAGGGAGACACTTTTATTATTAGAGGAAATTCCCTGGTGGAAAGAGCAGCTAAGGCCACAGCTAAGGAAACCCTGGTATTTCAGGCTGCTGCGCTACTACCAGGTACTGCATCCGTGTCAGTGACACCATACTATACCCCTAAGGAAATTAAAGGGACTGAGTAAAAGGCTTCCAGGGAGACCCCTCTGGATGGTTGCTAGAAAAGAACAAACTCTATTCCTGAGGCTGACAAATGGGAAATAATTAAACATTTTCATGATTCCTCACATTTGGGACAGGATTTTCCATTTAAATTAGTTTCCTAAATATTCTTGCGGAAGGGACTGTTCCAAACTATAAAAAGGGTTACCACTCAGGAAGCCACCCCATACCCCGATCCCTGCTTAAACCTGTACAACACCAAGGAACATACCATGGTGAAGACTGGCAGACAGACTTAAGCCAGATGCCACCTTACAGGGGAGTACAAGATTTGCTAGTATTTATAGACACTTTCACCAGGTGGATAGAAGCTTTCCCCACAAGGACAGGAAAAGTACTGGAAGTGTCTAAATTCTTAAAGAAATCATTCCAAGATTTGGATTACCAAAAGGTTTGCAAGGTGACAACTGACCTCACTTCACAGCTAAGGTGACCCAGTGAGGTCATGCCTCAGCCTTAGGCATTACCTATCTTCACTCCTCATGGAGATCTCAGTCTTCAAATAACATAGAAAGCCAATTGCGACATTAGCAAAACTCTTTCAGTTTGGGGGCTTGCCTGCCCTGCGTCACTATCATTGTTTCCTTGGGTTTCCCAGGAATGTACATGTGTCAGACTGCCGCCCTGCTTATAGATCTGTTTCCCTGCAAGGAAACAGGAATATGTTGCCTGTGGCTTCCAGAGTTGGAGATACATGTAGTTGCACCCCTGAGGGCTAACATTTAATTTTGGAATCAAGTGATGCATTCAGACTGGTTGTTATCATTCTGTGGTATATATTTAGTGAACACATTCTGATTGAGTTTCCTGCTTTTAGCTGGAGCAAGAAAGTTTAATAATTGTGATTTGTATGAAAAAAATCATAGGCAAGGGAATGGGTGTAAAATAAACTTTATTGTCAGAGGTTTCTAAAGGCTCATCCTTCAAGGAAAACGGACATATGCTGAAGAGCTGATAAACCGTCTACAGCAGTGTTATTCTAAGCTAATCTTGATTCCAAGTTCTTGCCATTTTCCTCCAGCTGCTGTTGACTCCAGTTATATATAGGATGGGGGAAAGGGGATTATCTATGAATGTAGGCATCACTCTCTCTTGGGCAGTTATCACATTGGCAGACTGAAGGGATGTGATTTCTACAGTCAAACTATCCATTTGGAGTACAAATCTGGAGTGGCTGTAAAATTCGGTTCTCAGAGATGAACTTGCAGATTCAGACTTTCAATTGTTCTGTTGTTTTAGTTTTTCTCATCAACTGGGGAACTGTTTGTGACTAAGCTTTGTTAAAAGTAGAGAAGAGTTTTTCATAGTTCCAACATTAGTTGTTACCCGAAACAAACAAAAACACACACACATACAATTAAACAATAATCTTTGGTGAGGTCTTGCTGATACCTGAGGCTGGAGTGAGAGCTGACTGGTGATACAGGCCAGGTGCAAACTGAGTGCAACTAAGTGGATAATCTCCAGTAGTGAACTACAGTCTAGAAGAAGATAGTAATAATAGATTAAAAAAAAGTCTCCTGAAGTGAACCAGCTGGCGTGTGGTGTAGGACACAGGACCCCACCCACCTTATGATTCTAAGAGCCTTGCTCAAAGCCACTGCAGTTGAGTTCGCTAGGTCTCTACCACCTCCTCAGCATCAATTGACTCTCCATAATACTCCTCTGGAGAGAAATAAGGGTCTTTCAACCTCCCAGGAAGGGATTTGCTTAGCCTCAAATATGCACATTCAGGAATAGCTTGTCGTAAGAAAGAGAGGATAGTTTGCAGAGAAATAACCCTCCTAAGTCCACATCCTATTCCTTTTAAATAAGAGAGTGGTGACAAGGGAAGAGCCCTAGAATGTCAAAGCCAACAGGGTGCTCAGATACCACCCAAGTACAGTTCCATCTTTGGCCATAAGGAGACAATGGTGTCAAGAGGTTAAGGCCGTATGATCTGTAGGTGAAAAATCTGGGATGGGAATCAAGTCCTCAAACCTTTTCCACTACATCACAGAGTTTAGGAGCAGTTAGAGGGAAGGCTTCAATCTGGAGAACACTAACAGGCTCTAGAGATTATTGGGTCATGGTGGCTGGGACAGAAATAAGGATTCACAGAAAGATGTTTATAGTAAATGTTCTTTTGGGATTTTGCTTGATAAAAAGGCTGAGCAAAAGTAAAAATTTATTTCTTTTCTTTTCTTTTTTTTTTTTTTTTTTTTGTTTAGACAGTTTCACTCTTGTTTCCCAGGCTGGAGTGCAATGGTGCAACCTCAGCTCACCACAACCTCCACCCCCTGGGGTTCAAGCAATTCTCCTGCCTCAGCCTCCCAAGTAGGTGTGATTACAGGCATGCACCACCACGCCCAGCTAATTTTTTTTTTTTTTTTTTTTTTTTTTAGTAGAGACAGGGTTCCTCCATGTTGGTCAGGCTGGTCTCAAACTCCCAACCTCAAGTGATCCTCCCAAAGTGCTGGGATTACAGGCTCCAGCCACCACACCCGGCCAAAAGTAAAAATTTTCTAATTGCAATTCTGAACCACTTAGGGGTTGTGAAATCAATATAGTGGACTGCTTATTACTACAGGCTTTATTTAAATTCTAGGTAGGGTGGATTACACATAGTAAAAGATTTTTTAAAAACTGATCACAGGACAGGCGCGGTGGCTCATGCCTGTAATCCCAGCACTTTGGGAGGCTGAGGCAGGTGGATCACGCGGTCAGGAGATTGAGACCATCCTGGCTAACACGGTGAAACCCCGTCTCTACTAAAAATAAAAAAAAAAAAAAATAGCTGGGCATGGTGGTGGGTGCCTGTAGTCCCAGCTACTCAGGACGCTAAGGCAGGAGAATGGTGTAAACCCGGGAGGGCGGAGCTTGCAGTAAGCCAAGGTCACGCCAATGCACTCCAACCTGGGCAACAGAGCAAGACTCCATCTCAAAAAAAGAAAAAAAAAACTGATCACAAAGAATTGTATATTTCTCACTGCATCTTGTGGTCAGAAAAGTTTGAGAAACTACTCTACATAGGCAAATTACAGGTCCAATCTCTCCATCTACCTCTTTATCTCTTCTCTATTTCCACGCTATGCAGACAAGACCACGGAGAGAGGAAGGCAAATTCCATCAATGGGTGCTGTTAAGCCTTTTCTATGAGGTAGCTGCACATTTGGGGCACTTCAATACTGGTTACTTGAGATTCTAGTAGACAGATTGTCCTTTTCATCTCTAGCCACATGGTAAAATTACTTGGGAGCTTTTTAAGACTACTAGTGGCTTCCACCCACCTGGAAGCATTTAAATCAGAATCTCTATGTGTAGAGTCCAGGCACTTGTGTTAGTTAAAACCTCACCAGGCTTTATAATATGACAGAGTGGTTTAAAGCTACGGAGTAGACCCACCCTATTTCCTACCTTTCTCTTTGTTTCTCTTTCACCATAGGCTTCTTTCCCATGAGAAAGTAAAGATTTTAGTCTCTGTTTTCAGAGTCTCAAGTAAATCACTCTCTTTCTCAACTGGACTTCCAAGGCAAAGATTTCTTTCTATTTATCTATCTGCATTTTTACAAAGTTGGCCTCTGGATTCCCTTTTCCCAAACCTAATTCACCACAAAGGTGCCCCTCAAGTCAAGGAGCTGGGCTTTCATACACCTGCACCTGTCAATCATGGTAAATATTTTGCAGGCAGGGTTGCTGGGTGCTGTGGGATTGACGTAAACTCCCAGGTATTGCCAGCTCTGAGCCTCAGGCAAGCTTGTGACTAAATGACTCCAGTAGTCTGAGGATAGTCCTTACTCAGAAGGGTCTTTGGAAGCAAAAGCAAACATAGGCATGAGAGGGTAAAAAAAAAAAAAAAAAAAAAAAAAAAAAATCTCATGTCATCTTGGCTTATACCTAACAGAACTTGTGCAAGAATGGATATTAAGGTGGGTATTGTACAGAGCAGAACTTAATAAATACCAAGTCTGGAGTTTAAGGGATAGGCTGAAGAGATTTTGCAGGTTTGTAAACATTTTTGCCAACTTGAACACACTTTTGTTTGGGTTTGGTTTTTCTCCTCATTGGTAAGAGCTACGCACAATAGGGTAGCTAAGATATTATAATTTGAATCGATACATTTGTATTTTGCCAAGGATCAAGATGAACTATGATGATTTCCATTTTTTAGTACTTTATTTTCATCAGTTTGAAAATTAGGACTTTTGCTCCTTTTTTGGCTTGTGGCACCTTTTTGGTTTTCACACTTTCTCAAAGACCAGTAACTTAGAATCTAAATTATGATTGCTTATTCTTTCAGTACTCTAGGGGAAAGTTGATTTAATCTTGACAAAATGTATTCAGTTAAAATAATTGTTCTCTTAAATCTTTCTTTCTTTCTTTCTTTCTTTTTTCTTTTTTTGGAGATGGAGTCTTGCTCTGTCACCCAGGCTAGTGTGCAGTGGCACAATCTTGGCTCACTGCAACCTCCGCCTCCTGGGTTCAAATGACTCTCCTGCCTCGGCCTCCCGAGTAGCTGGGCCTATAGGCGCATGCCATCACGCCCGGCTAATTTTTGTATTTTTAGTAGAGATGGGGTTTCACCATGTTGTTCTCTTAAATCTTTTCACCTTTTAAGTTTGTCCTTCCTTTCTCCAATTTGCAATAGGGGAGTGTGGCTCGCAGCTAAATAGTAGACTTCTCAGAGCTACTTATTCCTGGAGCCTGGCAGTCTGCAGGCCTGGAGGGGGAGCATCTAGAAAGCAGCCCTCTCTAAGTTGAGAATAACTATGAGAATTGTGGGTTATAAGGCTTTGAGCAGCTCTGGCCTCCCCGTCCTCTTTTGTTTCTACTGTGGGATGTGACAAGAGAAGGAACTCATCTGAGAGAGACTTCATATTGTGGCCTTTCACCGATTACTTCTGGAAATTTGATTCAGGCAAGCCAGGGAGAGTGTCTGGTATTCTTCTCTGAGAAGAAGAATTCATTATACAGCTGGACAATGGAATCTATGATCTGCCTGTAGAGGTTAGAGGTGCATCCTGTTCCGGGAAATAATTACAATTTAGGCAAGTTATACATGTTTGCTTAAGAGAATGCTTTCTGCACATTTCATGTTCTTCCTTTCTATCTTAGCCTAGGGAGAAAACCGTGGGGACTCAGGGCTGGAACTTTAGTGTGATGGGGCAGAAGCTTAATTTTCACATGATTCTCAACAAATGGCAGCATATCCCATGTATTATCATGTCCAATGGCTGCAATATGAAGGAGGCCTTTCCGAAATAGTTGCTGCTTTGGTAAAAAATTAACTAGATGGATTCAAAGTCAAATTTGAAGAAAGCTGAGCAGGCAGAAGAAACAATCAGTGAACCTGAAGATAAGGCAATGGAAATCATCCAGTTTGAGGAACAGAAATAAAAAAAGATTGAAGAAAAGTGAACAGAGCCTAAGTGACCATCAAGTGGACCACCATGTACATTGTGGAAGTTCTTTTTTGTTGTTGTTGTTTTGGGGGGTGGGAGGGGGGAAGGAGTTTCATTTTTGCTGCCCAGACTGGAATGCAATGGCGCTATCTCAGCTCACCGCAACCTCTGCCTCCTGGTTTCAAGCAATTCTCCCACCTCAGCCTCCCAAGTAGCTGGGATTGCAGGCATGCACCACCATGCCTGGCTAATTTTGTATTTTTAGTAGAGACGGCATTTCTCCATGTTGGTCACGCTGGTCTCAAACTCCTGACCTCAGGTGATCCTCCCGCCTCGGCCTCCCAAAATGCTGGGATTACAGGCATGAGCTACTGCTCCCAGCCTTGCATTGTGGAATTTCTAAAGAAGAGGGAGAGAAGGGCAATAGAGAATATTTGAAGAAATCATGGCTGAAAACTTCCCAAATTTGATGAAAGACATGAATACAAACACAGTAGCCTAACAAACTCCAAGTAAGATAAACCTAAAGAGACCTACACCAAAACGCATTATAATCAAACTTTCAAAAGTCAAAGAGAATCTTTAAATTGGTAAGAGAAAAGCAACTGGTCACATGCAAGAAATCTTTAATAAGATTATCAACAGATTTCTCATCAGAAACTCTGGAAGCTGGAAGGACAGGAAATCAAAAGCTGCCAACAACCAGGAGGGGTGGCTCATATCTATAATCCCAACACTTTGGGTGGCTGAGGCAGGCAGATCACTTGAGGTCAGGAGCTCAAGACCAGCCTGGCCAACATGACAAAACCCTGTCTCTATTAAAAATACAAAAATTAGCCAGGCGTGGTGGTGGGTGACTGTAATCCCAGCGACTTGAGAGACCAAGGTGGGAGAATCACTTGAACCTGGGAGGCGGAGGTTGCAGTAAGCCAAGATCTCGCCACTGCACTCCAGCCTGGGTGATAGGGTGAGACTCTGTATTAATAAACAAACAAACAAACAAAAGCTGCCCGTGAAAGGGAAAAGGATCAATAAATGGGTATTCCAAAAAGTCAAAAGTCACACAAATATCAAGCCAAAATAAACTGGTTTCCTGACTGGAAATCGACCCCAGGCTATGGCAGCAAAACACAGAACTTTAAGCACTGAACTGCAAGGTAGAGCAGACTTTATTGTGCATCCTGGAAGGGATCCAGAGCAGGCAGTTTGAGCTTATGAAGAATTTTAACTTTGTTTCGGGTCAAATTTTGCTCTTTAATTTAGTTAAGAGAATTTTTTTTCCCTACACAACACACATAATATTGTCAAGAGAATTTTTAAGGGTAGCCATGACACTATTATGTGTGTTTGTTTTAATTTGATCTTCCTATGAACTGTTAAAATAAGAGATCTCTAAAATCTTTTTTTTTTTTAATTCAGGTGTCTAATTTAAGGGATCCATCTTCAGGCCATTGGCAAGTAGAATTTCCAATGGTGTAATTATTGCAATAGCAATTCAACCAAATAGCCCCTTTGTGGAAAGCCCAGGATGTCATTTTCCAGGTTAACCTCCTGGGAAGGGCAAAGAAGAAGCAATCCCAAAGATTCCCCTGCAAGAAAAAAGTTCAATGCAAGGAGTAGACCACAGATGGGTAAGGATGATGTTGGCCTCCAGTAACCCAGATATTTATGGGGGCTTCCAGTCACAGACCTCTGAATCTATAATACCAGGTAGGCCCTCTTGGGATTGAGCTTTCCTAGGACTAACCAGGCAACAAGAATTGAGATGACAAAAGCCTCAAAGGGATGGGACTTCTTAAGACAAACCCCAAGAGCTTGACATGGTCAGAACAAAAAGTGTGCTGGGGTTCCCAGCCATTTTCAGACAGGCCACCTAGTATGACCTGATAGTTACTGCCTCTTTCCAGATAGTGGAAACCAAGAGAAAGCGCTCCCACTTGCTCACAAGTCAAGCTCTCAAGGACATAAAATAAGATGAGAAGGAACCTCAACCGGTACCCCCTTTTATGACAGAATAACACATAGAGACAAAGACAAAGGAACAGACAATTTCCGGGAACAAAGGGATTAAACAATAGGAATTGGTACCACAAAGTACCAAAAAGCACACCAGAGTCACTACACCCAAGACTAGTCACACAAATCCTTTTCTCCAATTAATCAAGATTTTGGAGAGGGAAAAGAAAGAAACAGTGATTTTTACTGTCCACTTGATGAGATTCCACACAGAGAAGGAGGCCAGGAGCCTGGCTGGTAAAAAAATTCTTACCCTTATGACAGCTGATCAGATCCTGGGTTCTTCACTGCAGCTTCCAGAAGAGCAGAGCTTTCCTATCCTGCTTACAGCTCCAAAACTGTAGGGGCCAATGGAAACCCTCCCTCTTAACCCTCTGAAGTTTCACTCAAAAATCAAGTCGCAAAAGGCAGATTAATTGGAAAAAAGGCATAAAATGTACTAACATGTGCATGGGGAGAGTCACAGAGTGATTACCCTCCCCTACCCACAATGGGATGCAGAAGCTTATATACCATCTTGAGGTAACAGAATGAATGAGGGCTCAAAGCATGGCCAAAACCAGGTGCAATCAGAGTCAGAGGTATATCCAATTATTGTGGACAAGATAAGTGATGGTAGGGAGAGAAGAGGAGGCTTGGCTAGCAAAGGTGGTCTTAATATGTAAATGAAACCCTACAGTTAGCAGCTCTCAGAGAGAATAAACCCTAAAAATTTCTTTCAGACCTTTACATGTGTCAGACTCTCAGTTAATCTTTCCTAGATCTGGGCAAGGAAAGACTTGGCTGTATCAATGCAGATTCCCTACAGATGCAAATCTCCCCAACAAAAGACAACTTTGCAGGGCTACTTCTGCAGCTGGCTTTCTGAACAGACATCTCAAAATATGTCAAAGAAATGTAGTTTGGGGTCAAATATTTTTAATTCCTTCACATCTACAGCCTGATGCATCGGCCGTTTCAATGCACCATTGTTGGTGGCAACTCCATTCTTCCCTATACTCAAGCCAAAAAAACAGGTTCTCCTTGAGGCTAGTCTTTTTCTCACAGCACACATCCAATTTGTCAGAAAACTTATGTTTCCTGTTTGGTTAATTACAGATTTTGATCTGCCCAATCTTTCTCTTTCTTGGTCTCTGAATTTTGGCAAAGGAGTCTCCTGATACAGGCAGGATAGATTCTACTGACGATTCTCAAAACCGTCAGACACTTAAGAGCCTTAATCTCGGGGTAGGGGTTTGGGCCGCCCTCGAACCTTTTCTTTGGGCCTCCCCATCAAAATCAGTCTGGCCAGGCCTGTCTTCAAGGCCCAGGGGCAGGGCCAGGTCCTCCCGATGCTTCTTGAAGCTTCTCCTGCCGGGTCAGCAGCCACCCTCCCCTTCCCTCTGACCTGCAGAGAAGCTTCAGGGGGCATTTATTCAATTTGCTAGGAGCTCACGGATGCAGGTGCGCGGTGACTCTGTGGTTCCCACCGCACCCACCGCCCTCCTTGGTCCTCTCACTGTCTGAAGCGGGCAGTAATGTTCAGGGTGAGCTTGGGCTCCGAAGACACCCAGTCAAGGAGGGACCAGTAGGGAAGGGCACTGGCCCCTTAGGTCCTTCCCAGCTAGGGATCCGAAAAAGTTCTTGAAGAAATAGAAAGGGAGAGTTGGAAGTAGATCAAAGGGAAAGAAAGAAAATCCTAGATTTCCTATCTGAAGGCACCATGAAGAGAAAGTCCGCCTCCTCTGGGCCGCGTCCTCACGTCGCTGGTGAACCGAGTTCTGTTCTCCATTGGAGACCAAATCAGTTGACTTTGGCTTGACTCCTAGTGAAGGAGCCCCGCTTTGTCCTCCCCTGTTTAGCTCTTGATCCTGAAGCACTTGATTGTCTCTCCCGGGCTTTTGATGGATTTCAGGGATGCAACTGAGAAATTTGTTTTTAATGCACTTAATTGAAGTAAGAATATTTTAAAGTATTTTGGCAAAGAAAAACGTTTCCTTTTGCAATGAAGACATTCAGATGTAAGGAAAATCACTAGGCTCTCACAAACACAAATTCCATGTCAGCAAGTAGGTTTGACCCTCAGGTTGGGCACACTTTAAGTGTACTGTTGGAACTTAAGATGAATCTAGGACATTCATGATTAATATTTTTAGTTTTTTAGTACAATTTAATATTTTAAATTTAAATACACATTCTGAAAATTGTATAACCAGCACAAGAAACCGGCTTTACGCCATATTTACAAACATAGGAAAGAAAGATGATATTTTAAATGACAATGCTTCATAAATGGCAACATTTTTAAAGTACCTAGAGAAAAAAAGTTAATCTAGAATTCTATGCAAAAATAAAATTTCATAACTGTGAGTGAAATAAGGACATTGAAAAAATACAAAAGCTAAAAGAATTCACCAACCCATGCTGCAAGAAATCTTAAGAGTCCTCCAGGCAGAAGCAAAAGGATACCAGATAAAAATGTGGGCCTACACAAAGAAACGAATATTGGAAATGGCATTTAGAAAACATGTACTACACGTTTTCTTATAATTTAAATCTTTCAAAAAATATTTGACGTAATAAATAAAAGTAATAATGAATCACAAAGCTTATAGTGCATAAAGTAAAACTACATAACACTAGGATAAAGGCCAGAAAGGGAGGCATAATGACACTAGAAAGCAGACTATGATAAATTAAAGATGTATCCCGGAAACCCTAAAGCAGCCTCTTAAATAAGAAAAGGGTTATAGCTAATAAAGCAACAAAGGAAAGAAAACGGAATGAAATAAAAGCTATGTAAACACTATGCTGGAACAACTACTCTCCAGGCCTCCACCCTATAGAAATACACCAGTGGCCAATGAGAGTGTACAAGAATGATGACTGCAGCATTATTTGTAATCATGAAATAATAAAACCAACGTAAGTTTAAAGATATATGAAAAGGGTTTTATTTATTTAACAGACAGACAATGGAACAAGCAAACAATGGGAGCAAGTCCTTTGCCAAAAGGAACACAGAGGGTCATGATGATGCTACTCCTCCAAGGATTTCAGAGTTCCCAGACGCCTAGTTTTCTGTCTAGTTCTTCTGGAAGATGTTATTCTTGGGGAGCAATAGGTCCTCGAGTTTGGGGCTCTTTCAGGTTCTCTCTCCATTTCCCCATTCTGCTACAATAAACAAACAAAAACAATTCTCACTTCCAGAAGATCCCGCCTGTGCCTCTGCATGCGCCTTTCAGGAGGTCTGGATGTCTGGTCCACCGCTCCCGGGCTTCTTTCCCAGCTTTTGCTTTTCCCTTTACCTGCTCTCGCCCTACGGCCCCAGGGCCGGACCACGGCCCAGCTGAGCCCCGCGGCTCCACCGCGCAGAAGGTGCGCCGGAGGCCCTGCCAGTTTCCCGCCCTGCAGGGTACTGAGAAATCAACGATTTGTAAAAAGAACTTCCCCATGGAAAAAAATCTGTTGATTTCCGCTCTCAGGGCTCTTCAAAGGACTAAAAGCTAAAGGCGACAATGAATTCATTCGACAAGTCCTAGTCGTGAGCCCTGGTGAGTGCCAGACCCTGCTCCCCCCGAGGGGACCCACGAGCGACCCTCACCACCATCCCTGCCCTGGTGGAGCCCCCGTGCGGAACACAGGATCCGAAGATGGCAGCGGAAGCTCCTCCGCGGCCCCGAGAGCGACTGGGCAGGGTGGGCACAGGCTCTTCAATGGGTGAAGGCGGCGCAAAGAACGGGAAGAACCATCCCAGGAGCCCACAGGGCGTTCAGCTTCCCTTGGGGCCCCAGGCGGCTCGGGCTGGGTCGCCGACCCGGGAGTTCCTGGAAGCTTCTGAAGCAGGCGAGGGGCAGGGCGGGCGAAGGCAATTCAGCTGTTCTGGCTCCAGAATCTCCTAACGCGCAGGCGTCCAACGTGACCGGCGCGACTCACCGCTCTAATCTCTCTGGTTTTCCAAGGCCTTGCTCGGTGGTCCTGCCGGGCGGGCTCTGGGAGTAGAGGGAAGGGAGTTAGTTCAGTGAGTGCGCCCTTCCCATATCACCAGTAGAAGCGGAAGCGCTTGTCTCTGTGGCGCAATCGGTTAGCGCGTTCGGCTGTTAACCGAAAGATTGGTGGTTCGAGCCCACCCAGGGACGCTTATTGGAACTTTTGAAGCATTCATGCATTGTCAATCACTAGGTAAATGGGGAAGATTTTATCTTCCCGAAGTCCCAAGCCACTAATTTATGACTGATCCATGTCAAGGGCCGCCCACCTCCCCGACCAGATTCTTAACCGGCTATCTCCTGAAATGCCGGGTTTACACCTGTGTAACTTAGGAATCCTGAAACAGAGACCTAGGAACCCACTTCTGGTGTGATAAAATTCTAATTCAGTCCCTTATACGCTTAAACAAGTAATTCACGTGCCTCCATTTTTTCATATTTTAGTAATAGGAGTCCAGTATTACCTCCAGGATGTGCCTGGGTTTCCTGATTGCTCTATCAATAATGTGACCAGTGGAATCTTTCATCATGATAGTGATCCTCTCCATCATTTTTGAAAACAGTATTTTTCCTCAGTCTGTGCATGATTTATTTAACCCTTTTCAAAATGTTTTTGTTAGCCAGGCATGGTGGCACACACCTGTAATCCCAGCTACTCAGGAGGCTGAGGCAGGAGAATCGTTTGAACTTGGGAGGTGGAGGCTGCAGTGAGCTGAGATTGCACCACTACACTTCAGCCTGGGTATCAGAGTGAGACTCCCATCTCAAAAAAAAAAAAATGTTTTTGAGATGATGTTGGTTTCATGGTTTTAGGATTACAAAGAATGCTGCAGTCACCATTCTTGTACAGATATCTTTGGTCATTGTGGAAATGTCTACACTGCAGACATTTCTATAGTGTAGAGAGCTGGATGCGCCATTGCTACATTATAGTGCTTATATAATGCTTCTAATTTGAGTCCATTCTGCAAATGTGTCTTTCACGGGAGCAGTACCAAATAATATTCCAATATGAATATTTATAAAATGAAAATGTGCAGATGTGCAGTTGAGCTGCATGCCTCTCCATGGGGCCCATGTTCATAAAATGGTGGCGTTAGCAATCATCTGAGAGTGGAGTTTGTGGCCCTCTGACGTCAAAATCTGAGGCAATGGACATGAAAACCCTCACTGTACATCCTCCGTAGTCTGGCCAGAATCATTCCTGGGTCGGTGGTCTCTTATCAGGAGGGAATGCTGCTTGCTTTTTTTGTCAAAACCACAAAAGGGAGGGAAAGCATCAGGCTGTTGGTTGATAACAGTAGTGAAGCAAGTCTCTCCAAAGGCTTGGTTTGTTAACCCTTAGGAAAAAAATCCTAATTCTTGCCAGATGGTGCCATGCATTTCCAGGCTCTTGGTGTCCCAAACAAAGAACTGTACATGACACACACAAAGCAGCAAAGCAAAGCAAAAGTTTATTAAGCATAGTAACACTCTCAGAGTGGGGAGAGTGGACTGACCTCTGGGATGTAAGATAAGTATTAGTTTGGTGTACTTTGGGTCGTTTTATGTGTGTTTTTTTTTCTTGTCTTCACAAGGATGCCTAATCGTTAGCCAGTGTTTGCCTTTTGATTGATAGGTGGGTTGCTTAGTTACTTTGGCCCTTGTGTGCTTGCACATTGGCTCCATCCCATAATTTTAAGTACATGCATGATGTGCAGTCCATATGCATGAGTTTTAATGAGCTGATTATCATACGGAGTCATGTTAAGGATACTTTTTTTCTCTCATGCACATGCCTATCTCTGAGGAGCTGCCCCTTTACTGGTTTGGATCTCGCTGGCCATGGGGTCCTTGCTTGCTTTTCTTTTTTTTTTTTTTTTTTTTTTTTGAGACAGAGTCTCGCTCTGTTGCACAGTCTGGAGTGCAGTGGTGCAATCTCGGCTCACTGCAACCTCCGCCTCCCGGGTTCAAGCGATGCACCTGTCTCAGCCTCCCAAGTAGCTGGGAGTACAGGAGTGCACCACCACGCCCAGCTAATTTTTTGTATTTTTAGTAGAGATGGGGTTTCACCATGTTGGCCAGGCTGGTCTGAAACTCCTGACCTCAGGTGATCTGCCTGCCTTGGCCTCCCAAAGTGCTGGGATTACAGGCATGAGCCACCGTGCCCGGCCTTGCTTGCTTTTTTAAATCTTACTTTTTGTTTTGGCTGCTCAACTTCTGCCTTTTATCTTGCTTCTTGCTCTCCCACCCCATCACCTTGCTTCTGTTTCTGCTTTTACTCGTTCTGCCTTTTATCCAACTTCCAATTCCCTCTGCTGTTCTCCTGCCTCATAATGGCAGTTAGTGAGGGGGGGGTTTTGAGGTGGCATGTCCAACCTCCTAGCCTGCCACATCCAGAAACAGCTTTCAAGGTTTCTCTGTGGTCCTGTCAGCCAAGAGGGAGTCCGCAGTTGACTGTAGGGACTAGGGCTTATTTTCATTTCTCAATCCTGACAAGGTAAGGCTGGATTAACGCAGATTCTCTGCAGGTGTAAATTTCCCCTACAGAAGACAGTTTTGCAGAGTTCCTTCTGTTTGCTGGTTCTCTGACAGCCATCTTAAAATATGCCAAAGAAATACATTCTGGGGTAAAATATTTTGATTCTCTTCATCTATCTACAGCTTCACCATGCTGGCAGCCTCCAATCCAAGCATACCTGAAACCTTCTTTTTTTTTTTTTTTTTTTTTGGTTTGAGACAGAGTCTCGCTCTGTCACCCAGGCTGGAGTGCAGTGGCATTATCTCGGCTCACTGCAAGCTTCGCCTCCCAGGTTCACGCCATTCTCCTGCCTCAGCCTCTGGAGTAGCTGGTACTACAGGTGCCTGCCACCGCACCAGACTAATTGTTTGTATATTTTTTAGTAGAGATGGGGTTTCACCATGTTAGTTAGGGTGGTCTTGATCTCCTGACCTCGTGACCACCCACCTGGGCCTCCCAAAGTGAGCCACCACGCCCGGCCCCTGAAACCTTTCTTTTTAAAAAGCTTTCCCACCTTTATGACTGCCTTCAAGTCTCTGCCAAAACACAAGTAACAGTGACTGACTCCCTGCTATACCAAGCTCACAGTAAATAGCCTTTGCTGTTTTTCATTTGGTTGGTCTTTGTTTATTTGCAGAAGCTTCAATGTAGAGTTGACAAGGACTCCAATCTTTGACGAAACCTTAGTAGTTTCCTCTGAGCCCTTTTCTCTGTTACTTCTTGGCCTGCCAAGTCCAGCTTTAGGAAAGAATCCTGTTGAGTCTAGTTTAGCAAGAGTCCTCGCAACCACCTTTGATAGCTAATCAAGTTCCTCTTAGTAATTTTCCATCCACTGACTTTCTTATCTTGCCAATTGGCTATAATCCTCAACTCCTCCTGCTGTATTTGAGGTTGAGCCCAGTTCTCTGGGCTCAACCTCAAATACACGTGTCCAGTGCAGCCCCTCAGAAACTACCTTTGCAAAATTATGACAATCAGAGAAAGCTGACATGGCTGACTCCATCTTGGTTCTAGCCTCACAGGCTTGCTGTCTTTGCTCATTCCTGTGCAATTTCTCCCAAGCTATCTTTGGGAAAAATTGAGTTTATAGTTTAAATCAGGGCTCCCCAATCCCCAGGGCCATAAGACAGGTACTGGTCCATGGCCTGTTAGGAACCCAGCTGAACAGCAGGAGGTGAGCTGCAGGCTTTCGAGCATTACCACCTGAGCTCTGCCTCTTGTCAGATCAGCATGAGCATTAGCTGCTCATCGGAGCTCGGACCCTATTGGGAACTGCTCATGTGAGTGATCCAGATTGCGCACTCCTTATGAGACTGTAACTGATGCCACTGATGCCTGATGACCTGAGGTGGAACAGTTTCATCTGGAAACCATCCACCACCCCCTTCCATGGAAAAATTGTCTTCCATGAAACCAGTCCCTGGTGACAAAAAGGTTGGGGACAGCCAAAAATCTGGTTTAAATGATAACCTTCCCCAAAACTAAATTACCCCTGTAAAATGAATGAAAGGCCACCAAGTTAGAAGGATGAAAGCGGCCTGATTTCTACTAAGATGTATGCCTCCTTAAATAATTACCAGCCATTATTCCAGAAGTCACAAGATTGGCAGCTTCCCCAGTTACTGCTGTGAAGAACATCACTATTGTAGAACCTAAGATTGGCCTCTTGAGATGTCTTTTCAGGCTTTGGCATTTCTGACTGCTGGATGGCACCATTTGGCCCGAAAATCAACCAGTCCCTTAGCCCCCACCCAGAAGCTGACTCCATGCAGGAGGACCATTTTCCATGCCCCTGTGATTTCATCCCCAACGATCAGCACCACGCAAGCCCTAGCCCCCTCCCCACCAAACTATCTTTGAAAAACCCCTTACCTCCAAGCCTTCAGTGAGATTGCTTTGAGTAATAACTCTTGTCTCCCACATGTCGTGGCTGGCCTGTGTCAGTGAAACTCTTTCCTGCAGTGCCATGGTCTCCATGAATTGATTTTGTGTGTACATTGGGCAGGAAGAACCCATCAGGTAGTTACATCTGCAGGATGGTGCCAGTTCTTTCCACAAAGGCTGGTCAGATACCCAGAAAACATTTCTCCACTACTACCTGGACAATGTGTCTCCCTGTCAATCTCCAGGGAATGGGGCCTGGATCAAGTATTTAGTATTCAGCAGTTACTACACTGTCACCTAATCCCTCATTTTCAATATCTTGCCATGCCTTCCAGTGGCCTAACTGGCCACCATGCCACAGAATCTTTATGGTCTCCAAGGAGAACTCTCTACTTGATGTTTTGTGATTTGAGCAATGGAATAGAATCTGATACTGGTGGGCTGGGGGAGGTACCCGGACACTGGTGGGATCTCGACCCCAGCCGTGGTGTCCAGGCTCTTGACACCATCGCGAGAACAAAGTCAAAGATGAGTCAGCAGATAGTGAAAGAAGAGATTTATTGCAAAGCAAAAAGTACACACTCAAGAAAGGGGAGTTCAGGCATACCCAAGAGAGAACAATGGATTCTGGGGTTTCATCTTGATGGGTTTCTTTAACCAAGGAGTGGAATGTTCATGAAAATTCCTGGGTAAAGGTGGAGATTTCTCGGAACTGTGGTGCCATCCATTTTTACATCAAATATTGGTCTCAGAACTGTCATGGCACTGGTGGGTGTGTGATTTAGTATGTTAATGAGCATATAATGAGGGCCTAGGTAAAACCTCCGTCAAATCCAGCACCACATTGGGTCCACTCAGCCTTAGCCAGCTTGGTCCACACCCTGGTTTTTCAGCGTCTTAACAGCCCACAGCCTCAAGTCATGTAAATCTGCTGCCTAGAATTTGTTATCCTGTGACCACCCTGTAGTATTCCTGTCTGAAATCTACTTGTAAATATTCAAATGGTCTTTCACTTGGGCATTCCAACTTTGCTTACTTCACAGTGTTTCCTGCGTAATATATAAGAAAAGATGATCCAGACATTGTTAAACATCTCAAATAAGATGTATCCCAGGTATTTGTGTCAAATTTGGATTATTTTGATTTCGTCTTTGCAGAATATAAAAAACTAACATGAGGTAAGCACTAAGGTGTGGAGATGGCTGTGCAAGAGATGACAAAGTCCAGCACCACGCTTGAGAGTGTCCAATCATCTCTTCTGGGGCAGCATAGTTTTCTACAATACTGATTTTGGAAAAAAAATCAAAAAAAAAAAACCTACAAGATTCATGAAACTGGACAACTGTCTTTATAACATTACCAGTGATAAAACCAGTAAGGAAGGCTGGTTTGCAGTCATCTGAGCAGCCTCTTTACTTTCATAAACATGGTTTCTCTCGGCTTCCAATTGCAAGTGGAATGCTGCATCACAGGGATAAAGATGTGAAGAGAACCGGTTTCTTCTGTAATCCGAAACATTCTAGTCTGCGAATTAAAAGCCATTATTTGAAGAAGGATGCCCCGGCTCCATCTGGCCACCGAAAGGTTGCTCCTTAACACAGGCTAAGGACCAGCTTCTTTGGGAGAGAACAGACGCAGGGGCGGGAGGGAAAAAGGGAGAGGCAGACGTCACTTCCTCTTGGCGGCTCTGGCAGCAGATTGGTCAGTTGAGTGGCAGAAAAGCAGACGGGGACTGGGCAAGGCACTGTCGGTGACATCACGGACAGGGCGACTTCTATGTAGATGAGGCAGCGCAGAGGCTGCTGCTTCGCCACTTGCTGCTTCGCCACGAAGGAGTTCCCCTGCCCTGGGAGCGGGTTCAGGACCGCGGATCGGAAGAGAGAATCCCAGCTGTGTGTCAGGGCTGGAAAGGGCTCGGGAGTGCGCGAGGCAAGTGACCGTGTGTGTAAAGAGTGAGGCGTATGAGGCTGTGTCGGGGCAGAACCCGAAGATCTCATACTTACCTGGCAGGGGAGATACCATGATCACGAAGGTGGTTTTCCCAGGGCGAGGCTTATCCATTGCACTCCGGATGTGCTGACCCCTGCGATTTCCCCAAATGTGGGAAACTCGACTGCATAATTTGTGGTAGTGGGGGACTGCGTTCGCGCTTTCCCCTGACTTTCTGGAGTTTCAAAAGTAGACTGTACGCTAAGGGTCATATCTTTTTTTGTTTTGGTTTGTGTCTTGGTTGGCGTCTTAAATGTTAATCCTACAGTGGAGGGCTGCGGAATAGGAAGTAACATGTCGCCTGCACGCCATAGGAGAAAAAGCGAGCATCAGCCGTATCGGCTTTGTAACACAAATTAGCTATCGTGAAGTCCGCTCAGCTCTTCCCTTTCTACCCTGGCTGCTTTTTGCAGGGATTGGTCCGTGCTCTCCAGTCTCTTGGGTTCTCACCCTGTGTGAAAATCTTCGTGTTTTTCCCTACCCCCCAAGTCACCTCTTACACAGCCTCTGCTTCCAAGCGCAGCCCCCACAGGAGTTTGTAGGATTTCTGTGCTAGCGGGGAGTGTGTTCTCACCTCATAGAGCCAGGTAGAAACTACGCAGATGGGTGCTGTTCTCCAGGAAGAAAGCAGGGCCTTTGGGGCTCTCAGTGTCCCCGTTGGGTTGTAGACATAACACTCTTACTTTGCGTAGGGGAACGGCTCTGCCGGCCCCCAGGTGCCCTCGCGCATATTCATGGAGGCCCGTAGGTCAGAACCGCAGTCTCACCTGTCTTGGCGGAAATGCCCTGCGATCCTCCCGGAGATAGAAGGCGGGAAGTTTTATGAGGAGCCAGGTACAGTTTCCCTACTATCTCCGGCAGTTCATATATCTAGTGTTTCTTCAGACTTTATTTAAGCGACAGCTTCTTGTTTGATGTCTCGCTCCCACATCCTACATCCATTGCCAGGCAACTTTCTAGATAGCACCCAGACCCATCCTTCCCACCCCCAAGCAGCCGTTTCCTATTTCTGGTGCCAGTGTCCTCCCCAGTCCCTCTTTCTTCAGGCCCTCGCTTATCACCTTCATGGACAGAAAATACTTAGCTCTCTCTCAACCTGCGGTTTATACCTGACACGCGTCAGTACCCTGACAAATTCCTTAATACCCCTTCTCAAATGGCACTGAAAATGCATTTCTTTTTAACTCCCAGAAGTATCTAATTGGTTTTGTCCCTGAACTACATGAATACTAGTATTCCACTACAGAGGAAAACCCCAGGCCTAGCGATGGCGGTTCTGGGCATTGTGCCAGCCTCTCCCAGGGTATGTTTTCTGACATCACCTACTTTTGATCAACTGAGGTCAGGAGTTCGAGACCACCCTGACCAACATGGCGAAACTCCGTCTCTACTAAAAATAAAAATAAAAATAAATTGCCGGGCATGGTGGTGTGGGTCTGTAATCCCAACTACTCGGGAGTCTGAGGCAGGAGAATCGCTTGAACCCGGCAGGTGGAGGTTACAGTGAGCCGAGATCGTGCCATTGCACCCCAGCCTGGGCAATAGAGTGAGACTCTGTCTCAAAAAAAAAAAAAAAAAAAAAATTAGTCCATCTGAGACATTGTTGTTGGAGACAGTAGAATCCTGCGTCCAACAGGCACTTGGTGCAGATCTGAACCCATTGAGCTATTGGCTCATGTTCCCTATGTTCTATTAAGTATCATGAGCAGAAATTGAGCTCTTTGGCTTTTACCCACTGAGTATGGCTATAGGACAGGTCTCTCTCTCTCTCTCTCTCTCTCTCTCTCTCTCTCTCTCTCTCTCTCTCTCTTTCTCATTATTTGCATCATTATTTTTTGCCATCAGTGTGGGTTTTTGGTTTTGAGGCTATGAAGTGAATTTCTGGGGACAATCTCTGTTGGGTCGTGTTGACAAGGATCCAGTCCCTGTTTGGTGATACATGACAGCTAATCTGGTCTGTGAGTCTTCTTTATTGTCTATTTATTGTCCTGAGAATAATGGTATTTCCTGAAATTTGAGACTGCAGCAATGATAAGTTGTTCAGATCTTGTCTTTCCAATGTTTGGTAAAAATTTTATAGGCCCAATTGTTGTCAATATCTGCAAGAGTGGCATCTCTATTACAAGAGTGATCTTACTACTCAATGTCCCCCCTCCCACCCAACTTCATTTCCTAGGGGCTCTTGGCTTTAACGAATTTACTGTATCTAAAAGACATCTTAGTACAGGAAGAAAACTAAATCTGTAGCATGTAAGGAGCAGTTTTCTTTGATTGGTATATTCAGGTTTCTAACCAGCTGAAAAATTCAAATACATGTCCTTTAAGGATTAAGTTTAAACTACACTACAGAAAGAAGAGAAAAGATTTATATGATCACATATAAGCAATGGAATCAGCAATATGAGCACTTTTCACAACTATATAAATCAAATTTAGTAATCTCCAGAACATTAAGGAAGTTCAGCCCTTAATGAAAATGAATGAAAAGAAATTATTCACCCACTGTTACATGCCCTGGAAAGAGAATGCCCTGCAGGACTCAAAAGGGTACCACAATATTACTCAGATTTTCAGCAATGAAGGCCCTCCAAGGATCTAATGATACTCATATTTTCAGTTTATTTCCTTCACTGATAAACATTGTTAATAGATACCATTGCCTCTGTTTTCACTTTAAGTGATGTTACTTAGCACAATTCATTTCTTTAGAATGCCCCCTAGTTTAGTGAAAGGAATTTTCCTGCTTTATAAATATAGGATATTTTCTCATGAAACAAGTTGGCGTACTCTTTCAGTGAAGGGACTAGACCGATTAGGTCTCTAAAATGTTAAAGGAGTCACTGCCTCCATTATCTTAGGAACAATAATAATCACTTATATAAAATTAAAATAAGAAAATTAAGCCAGGAATGGTGGCTCATATCTACAATCCCAGCACTTAAAGAGTTGGAGACCAGCCTGGGCAACATAGTGAAACTCCTGTCTCTACAAATTTTTAAGTATTAGCTAATTTTTTAAAGTTGGCAGGGCATGATAATGCATGACTGTAATCTCAGCTACTAGGGAGACTGAGGCAGGCTCCAGTGAACTATGATTGTGCCACTGCCCTCCAGCCTGGGTGACAGAGTGAGACTCCCAACTCAAAAAAAAAAAAAGAAAAGAAAATATAGAATTTGTTGAAAATTGTTTTACTACAATGCTAGGCTGCATGTCTTGCACCTGTACTCCCAGCAACTCAACAGGCTGAGGCGGAAGGATTGCTTTAGGCCAGCGGTTGGAGACCAGCCTGGGGAACAGGGCAAGACCTCATCTCTAAAAAAACACAAGGCAAGCTGAGCCAGGAGGATTGCCTGAGCCCAGAAGTTCCAAGTTGGTCAGCTATGATTGCCCTGCTGCACTCTAGCCTGGATAACACAGCAAGACCCTGTGTCTTATTTTTTATTTTATTTTTACTACTTATGCTTATTTATTTATTTATTTTTGAGACAGAGTCTTGCTCTGTAGCCCAGGCTAGAGTGCAGTGGTGCCATCTCAGCTCACTGCAAGCTCTGCCTTCCAGGTTGAAGCTATTTCCCTGCCTCAGCCTCCAGAGTAGCTGGGATTACAGGCACACGCCACCACATCCAGCTAATTTTTATGTTTTTAGTAGAGACAGGGTTTCATCATGTTTCCCAGGCTAGTCTCAAACTCCTGACCTCAAGTGATGCACCTGTCTCGGACTCCGAAAGTGCTGGGATTACAGGTGTGAGCCACCTCGCCCAGGCTCCTTATGCTTGAAATGTGAGGTTTCATTAGGGAAAAATTTTCTTGTTGAATTTCTAACATGAAAAAATAATAGATTTAGCTGTAGATTAAATTAATGGTCTTGATAGTTTGGTACAATAAAATAAATGAAATGAAGTTGATAGCAGAGAGGAATTTTTGATGCTTTTGGACAATTTAAATAATGTAATATTTAATATATAAAGACATGAAAAAGTTCATTACATTATTATATTTATTTATTTATTTATTTATTTATTTATTTTGAGACATAGTCTCACTCTGTTGCCTAAGCTAGAGTGCAGTGGTACAATCTCGGCTCACTGCAACCTCTGCCTCCCGGGTTCAAGCAATTCTCCTGCCTCAGCCTCGTGAGTAGCTGGAATTACAGACGTGCGCCACCCCACCCAGCTAATTTTTGTATTTTTAGTAGACACGGGGTTTCACCATGTTGGTCAGGCTGGTCTCGAACTCCTGACCTCGTGATTCACCTGCTACGGCTTCCCAAAGTGCTGGGGTTACAGGCGTGAGCCGCTGCATCTGGTCTATTATGTTATTTTTTAAAAGTCAGTGTGACTCTTTTGACAAATTAGAATGGTTTAATAATCTTGGTTAGGCTGGGCATGGTGGCTCACACCTGTAATCCCAGCACTTTGGGAGCCTGAGGTCAGGAGTTCGAGACCAGCCTGGCAAACAAGGTGAAACCCTGTCTCTACTAAAAATACAAAAATTAGCCGGGTATGGTGGGGGGCTCCTGTAATCCCAGCTACTCAGAAGGCTGAGTCAGGAGAATTGCTTGAACCCGGGAGGCAGAGGTTTCACTGAGCCAAGATCGCGACATTGCACTCCAGCCTGGGGGGGCAACAAAGTGAGATTCGGTCTCAAAAAATAAATAAATAAATAAAAATAAAGTATAAAAAATTAAAATTATGTGTTCAAGTAAATTAAATATATGGCAATGAAAAGGAGGCCTAGCATGACTGACTGCATTTTGCTCCTAACCCTTCCTACCCTGTGGTGATGTCTTTCAGGCTAACTGCTTTTTCTTCTTTCTGCACATAGGCCAAGCTATCTATGGGAGGGATTTAGCTTACAGTTTAACTTTAAAGCACAGATGATAATAATCCCTTCCCCAAACTAACTCCTGAGAAGATAGGCAGGTTGTTGAAGATTTATAAGAGCAGTGTGACCTGACAAAGGACAAAGAATTTTCACCATCCCCTTGGGCTCTCACTGCAGCCCATATGTCTGTCATTGTCAGACCTCTTCACCTCAACCGCCTCCTTCTTCCTCCCTTCCCTAACGTACAAGGAACCTGAAAATCATATTAATTTAAGATGGTTCTTTAGGATGTTAGTTCACCATCTGTTCAGTTTGGTGGCTCTCTGAATAAAGTCACCTTCCCTGCCCCTACACCTTATCCCTGGACTTATTGGCCGTCATGCAGCAAGCGGTGAGTGCAGTAAGCCGAGATCACACCACTGCACTCCAGTCTGGGTGACATAGTGAGACCTTGTCTCAAAAAAATAAAAATAAAAACAGAGAAATTTGGTTTTAGAACCAGACAAATTAAATGGGAGATTACTTCCAGTGAGACCTAGAAATTTCTAAATTTCTAAAATTTCTAAAAAAACTGAGAAAATTGCCTCCATTGAGGAAGTAAGCTGAAGGAGGTAAACTGTCATGTTTTCTGAATTGAGAAATATTGAGGAGGCTTTGTCTCTTTCACCTCCAGCTGCTCCTTCTCCTCCTGCCCCTGCACCTGCATAGTCTTTCTTACCTGAGCCTTCCTGTCCTGCCTTGCCTCTTCTTCCATCACCACCACCTGGGGAAAGTCCCCAGGGCTCTGGCCACTTCCCCAAAACTTCTGTTCTGACAGCCCCTTTAAAGGTAAAACCCAAACCCACAGGAAGAGGGGAGCCTACCGTTGTGTATACCACTTCACCAAAACGTGAATTAAGAATATTATAAAGGACTTCCCTGATCTAAACTTAAATACATTTCACTCTTCTGTTTCTAAAGCAGGCTCCGAGATTCTATAGGCTTTGGCAGAAAATTTGACTTAACTGTTGAAACCTTTGAGCCCAAATATTCTGACCTTTATCAATCAATTCACATGCTGGTGAAGAAGGCAAGGCCACTAACTGGTTGCAAAGGCAAATTGGAAGGATTTTCAAAAAGGGACTGAAGCAGAACATGAAAGGTTCACATTTTCACCAAATATCTCCATGTTGCCACTCCCCAGGTCCTTCCTAAAAATATAGATTGGAGGATAATTCAGCATTGTACTAAAAAGCCAGACAAATCTGTCTTTGCTTAATTAAAATGGTTTGAGAGCCAGGTGTGGTAGCTCATGTCTTTAATCCCAGCACTATAGGAGGCCAAGGCGGGCGGATCACTCGAGGTCAGGAGTTCGAGACCAGCCTGCCAACATGGTGAAACCCTGTCTCTACTAAAAATACAAAAATCAGCCAGGTGGCTACTCAGGAGGCTGAAGGAAAAGAATCGCTTGAACCCAGGAGGCAGAGGTTGCAGTGAGCTAAGATCCTGCCAGTGCAATACAGCCTGGGTGACAGAGCAAGACTGTCTCAAAAATAAAAATTAAAAAAAAAAAGAAAAAATCAGCAGCGTAGTAGAAGTATAATGCACACAAGAATGATAATCATGAAGACAATCTGATTCTAGAAGAGTAAGGGAACCTATTCCATTAGAGAGCCAACTGAAAACATCAAATCCCAGTTCACACCCCAGGGTGTGGGGGCACGTGCCTGTAGTCCCAGCTACTGGGGAGGATTAGTAAGGAGGTTTGCTTGAATATGTGAGGTCAAAGCAGAAGTAAACCCTGATCATGCCACTGCACTCCAGCCTGGGTGACAGTGAGACCTTGTCTCAAAAACAAACAAACAAAAAACCCACAAAACCAAACAACAACAAATTGTCACCTCACTCTGAAATGACAGTGGCAAACATCACTTTGCTATTGGAAAATTAAAAGAAAAACACTCCCTCTTGCTATCAACCTGCCCTCTTGCTCTAACATGTCTGACCCATGGTTTAAAATGCCCAAAAGCTGATGTACTCAAATTATAATACACTTACCTGTTCTGCACCAGCATTTATTTTTGTCTGGAGGAGATCACCATCCATGGTCCTGTAAATGTCTAACGGCATGGAATGATGAAGGGCAGTGTCTTTTAGGATATTTGGTTATATCTATATATATGGCTCTGAAGAAACCCAACATTGGGCGAGTTCCCTCAAACTTTTCACTAGGCATGACCACTGCTCTATTTTAGATAGAGATTCTGTGGGGCAAAACCTGAGAATTATCTGCCTGGCTATCAAGAAGATAGCTCCTTGCATTTTTTTGGGGAGAACACTTGCTTCAAGGGAGTGTTTCCTCCCAGGATTACAAATCTTTTTGTAACCTCAGGAAACATTGCTGATGAAAACCAGGCATGGTGGCTCTGGCCTGTAATCCCAGTGACTCAGGGGCTGAGACAGGAGAATCACTTAAGCCAAAGAGTTTGAGGCTGCAGTGAGCTATGATGGCGCCACTGCACTCCAGCCTGAGCCACAGAGCCAGACACTGTCTCTGAAAGAAAAAGAAAAAGAAAGAAAAACATTGCTGATGAAACTGCGGCCTCTTTTGCAGCTCTATAAAAAGGTATTTAGTCACTGGCTAAGGTTGTACTAGATAATCACATCACTTTAGGTGATACATTTAGCTGAGCAGGGAGATGTGTGGTGGCAAATACCTTTTGTTGCATATACATATACATTTCCCATGTAGTAGAACCTTCTCTAGAAAAAATCAGAAAAGAAGCCACTTGGCTGCAAGAAATCACTAAAGAAGAAATGGGGTTTGATGTTTTCCCTGATGTTTTCAGTTGGCTGAAACATCAAATCCCAGTTCCCTGGTTCCCTTACTGTTCCAGGATACAGATTCTCTTTGTGATGATCATTCTTGTATGCATTATATTTCTACTACTCAAATTATTAATGTTATGTATTTCTCATTGTTTTACTTCTTTTGAGAAACTAAATTCATGGTACTCTGAAAACTAGAGATGATTCAACAAGTGACAGCAACTATAGAATTGGCCGAGATATCTCTCTCTCTCTCTCTCTCTCTTTTTTTTTTTTTTCCATGTTGTGATGCCACACCAGTTCAGCTTTTGGACGCTGTTAAAAAGAGAGGTCTCCTTCCCTCCCCTGACCCCCGTGTGGGACAGGACTATCTGGGAATGAGCCATTCTGGCAAGGAGGGACACAGCTTTTGATCGACAATGCTTTCAAGAAATACTTTTTTTTTTTTTAAACGGAGTCTCGCTCTGTCGCCCAGGCTGGAGTGCAGTGGGCGATCTCAGCTCACTGCAAGCTCCGCCTCCCGGGTTCACGCCATTCTCCTGCCTCAGCCTCTGCGAGTAGCTGAGACTACAGGCGCCCGCCACCACGCCAGGCTAATTTTTTTTTTTTATTTTTAGTAGAGACGGGGTTTCACCGTGGTCTCGATCTCCTGACCTCGTGATCGGCCCGCCTCAGCCTCCCAAAGTGCTGGGCTTACAAGCGTCAGCCACCGCGCCCGGCCAAGAAAGACTTTTCATCTAAAGGGAGAATGGGGAAAGAAGAGAACTTTTTTATTTTCAAATTCTCAGGCCCAGCGAGGCATTACATTGAGACAGCAACCACATTCTGCTTCCTTTTTGTACACTACTGTATTTGAAAAACAAAAAAACAAACCTACAAGACTCATAAAACTGGACAACTTTCTTTATAACACTACTACTCGTAAAACGAGTAAGGATGGCTGGTTTGCAGTTATCTGAGCAGCTTCTCTAGTTTCATAGACATGATTTCTCTCTGTTATTAAAGGGCTCCCAATTTTAAGTGGAATGCTACTTCACAAAGATAACCAGGTTTGAAAGGGTCCGGTTTGCTTTGTAATCCGAAACGTTCCAGTCTGCTATTAAAAGCCATTATTTGAAGACGGGTGCACAGGCTTCCAGCTGCCCGCCAGAAGGGTCCTCCGCAGGACACAGGTTAAGTAATCACTTCTTCGGGGGAGACTAGATGCAGGGTCTCGGCGCACCTCCCCAAAAGACAAGGGCGAGACAGAAAGGAGGGACAGGCGGACGTCACTTCCCCCGCCGGCTGCGGCACCGGGTTGGTGGGCTGAGTGGAGGAGGGTGGGGCGGAAGAACAGAAGGGGACTGGGAAAGGCACTGTTGGTGACATCACCGATAGGGCGTTTCTATGTAGATGAGGCAGCGCAGGGGCTGCTGCTTCGCCATGAAGGATTTCCCGTGCTGTAGGAGCAAGTCCGGGACCGCTGGCTGGACGTGAGCGTCCTAGCTGTGTGTTAGGGCTAGGAGGGCTCAGGGTGATTGGGGATTGGCTGGGGTGGTGCTCGGGGCAAGTGACCGTGCGTGTAAAGGGTGAGGCGTATGGAGCTGTGGCGGGGCGGAAGTTTACATGTGTGGTATGTAGAGCACATGTTATGGTTATCGAAGTGGTTTATTGGAAGGTTGAGGACCATGTATTCGGCAGCTATGCTGTTGTCTCTTATTTTTTCTAACGTGGAAATCTGTTTTGTAACTTGTAGTAATAAGGTAGAAATTAAAAAGAAAAAGTATTTTCCTGTACTTGCTTGGCTGCAAGGTCAGGAACAGATAGTTCCTTAGCGGATCCTTGGTAACGCTATCTGAAAAACCACATCGCTGAGAAATGAGTTCTGGAGACTCTCTTAACAGTCTGTTGTCCCTAGGAAGGATAAGAGCAAGAAACAGCAAATGCTTTTATTACCTTCTCTTTTCCCTTTACCATTTCTCACTATTCAAGTTTTGTTAAGTTCTTGATTTCCCTTCAGTGCAGCTGCAAGGTCACCAGCTATTCTTGCCTCGTGAGACCTGTCACAGTTTGACTAGCTGCCTTTGTTCTGCTTCTGTAAGCCCTCTTGCCTGCCCCGCGAGTTTGGTGCCATCATAGTCCCACCATGCCATTCAAACTAGCCAACCCCCTTTTTGAAGTGTGTATAAAAGTCAAACCCTGTCTTTGTTCGGGGCTCAGCCTTTGGATTTTAATCCTCCGGGCCTGAGTGCACTCAATAAATCCTCCTGTTCCACCCATTGGTCTCTCTGTTCTCCTGATTCCCACAACAGTAGTAGGGGACTGTGTCTGCACTTTCCCCTGGTCTTTCACGGTATGAATAATAGCCTTTTTTTTTTTCGCCTATAGTCGCAGGCTCGGTCTCAGTGATTTTATGGTGTGGTCAGCTGTTTTTGTGAGACCTTGTTTACTGTCCTGGGACAGATGTCTGTAGTCACTTGTTTCCTTGGGAGGCAAATTTCAGTCTCTGTGGCGGAGGTCTCTCATGTTAGCTGTGGTGGTACTTGGCAGGCGGAGCTCAGGGATCTAGGCTTCCCTGCTTTGTAGACTGCTCAATGGTCCCCAAGGCCTACTGGCTTTTACCACCACTTGAAAACCTTAGTGTTTTTCCACTGTCCCCAGAGTCACCTCTTACACAGACTTATTTTGTTTGTCTTTTTCCCCGAGACAGAGTCTCACTCTATCTGGTAGCATCTTGGTTTAAGCGATCCTCCCACCTCAGCCTCTGGAGTAGCAGAGGCACGAGTCACCACAGCCAGCTAATTTCTGTTCTTGGTTTTGTTGTGGTGGTGGTTGTTTTGTTTTTTAAGAGTTGAAGTTTCACCATGTTGCCCAGGTTGGTCTCCAACTCCTGGACTCAAATAATCCGCCCTGCCTTGGCCTTCTAAAGTCCTGGGATTACAGGTGTGATCCATCACACCTGGCCAGCCCCTGCTTTTCACTATAGCATTCATGGGAGTTTGTAGGATTTCTGTGCTGGGGGGAACGTGTACTCAGCTCATACAGCCAAGTAGAAATTGTACTTGGAACTGGTGTCGTTGGGTTGTAGACATAACATGCTTGCTGTTTGTATGGGAAGGGCTTTGCCAGTGCTCTGTGCCCCTGTGCAGGGCATCCAGGCCTGCAGGTCAGAACGGCAGTCTCACCTATGAGTTTGTGTAATACGCAGCAATTCTCCCTGGAATATAAGACGGGTGGTCTTGTGAGGTTCCTACAAGTAAGAAGACAAATTTCCCTTCAGTTTGTATTGACAAAATTCAAAATTAATAATAACAGCCCAACCTCTTGAATGATAAATGTCCTTTACATTGACAGACCAGAACTGCCCTGCTTGCCTCAGCTCCTCTGTGCAGGTGCAGCTCACAATTCCCCCAACACAGGTCATTTCCTCCCTGCTTTCTCCAAAAGAGGGAGACAGCAGTTCTGCAGGACCACAGGGCTCAAGGCCTTCCAGGGCCAAAAATCTCAGAAGAAGTTGCCCGTTCTGCCTGTACCTCACGACTGACCTAGAAATGGCCTTTGCTAAGAGCAAAGTAGGGGGAAATGGTCGCCAGAGCTGGGGCCTGGGTACTGGGCCAGGTTGCCCCACAGGAGGGGAAGTACTCAGGGTTAGAGGGGGCCAAGCACCAAGACCTCAGCATCCTCAACCTCCAAAAGGACTCAGAGAGATGCAGAAACCGAGACAGGGTTCCTCTTTCAAGGAAAGAGACTTTTGAGGAAGACCCCAGGGCTCTGAACCAAAATCCAGATTTTTCCCCATCTGCAGCTTAATTCCACCTTAGTTGGTGCAACTTCATCCTTCCCCTATGCTCAGGACAAAAAACAGTTCTTCTATAGGCTGGTCATTCTCTGGCCCCATACATCCTATTGGTCAGAAAATTATGTTTTTTCTTTGGTTAACTGCAGACTTTGGTCTGCACAGTCTTTTTCTTTCTTGGTCTGAAAACCACCCAATAGTCCCATATGTAGCTTTTTTGGATAAACCTAGAAATTGACCCTGCTGGTCTTAAAGCTTGAAACTTAATATTTGTTTCGTCTGAGTTCCTTCCTCAGGAAACAACCTTCAGGCCTCTCAAAAAAGCCATCAAAGAACTGAAATTCATCCAGACAATGAGATGCTGGGACCCCTCATTCATCATGATTGCTTCCTTGCTCCTCCCTAGTTCCTGTTTTCTTACACATTGTTACATTTCTTCCCTGCCATATAAACCTCTGGTTTTGTTGGTCAGGGAGATGGATTTGAGACTGAGTTCTCATCTCCCCCACTGCAGCACCCTATTAAAGCGCCTTCCTTGGCAATAATCATCTCGGTGATTGGCTTTCTCTGTGGCAACCAGCAGGAATCCCAGATCTCTGAATTTTGGCAAAGGAGTCTCCTGATAAAGGTGGGATGGATTCTACTGACCAACATCAAAACGATCAGACATTTGAAAGCCTTAATCTCAGGGTCGGGGTTTGGGCCGCCCTTGGGCCTTTTCCTTGGGCCTAACCATTAAAATCAGCCTAGCCAGGTCTGTCTTCCAGGCACAGGGGTAGGGCCAGATACTCCTGATGCTTTTTGACGCTTCTCCCACTGGGTGGGCAACAACCCTCCCCTTCCCTGTGACCTGCAGAGAAGCTTCAGGGGGCGTTTATTCAATTTGCTAGGAGCCTACAAAGCACAGGTACACGGTGACTCTGTGGTTCCCACTGCTCCTGCCACTCTCCTTGGTCCCCTCACTGTCTCTGGCAGGCAGTAATGTTCTGGGTGAGCTTGGGTGCTGAAGACACCCAGGCAGGGAGGGTAGGGAAAGGCACCAGCCCCTTAGGTCCTGCACATTAGGGATCCAAAAAACATCTGAAGAAACAGAAAGGGAGCGTTGGAAGTAGATCAAAGGGAAAGAAAGAAATCCTAGGAGATTTCCTATCTGAAGGCACCATGAAGAGAAAGTCCGCCTCCTCTGGGCCGCGTCCTCCTGTTGCAGGTGAACCGAGTTCCGGTCTCCATTGGAAACCAAAGCAGGTAACTTTGCCCTGACTCCTAGTTAGGAAGCCATGCTTTGTCCTCCCCTGTTTAGCACTTGATCCTGTAGCACTTGATTGTCTCTCCCTGGCTTTCTATGGATTCCAGAGATGCAACTGAGAAGTTTGTTTTTAATGCACTTTTCCTTAAAGTAAGAGTATTTCAGGCCGGGCACGGTGGCTTACACCTGTAATCCCAACACTTTGGGAGGCAGAGGTGGGCATTTTACTTGAGGTCAGGAGTTCGAGACCAGCCTGGCCAACATGGCGAAACTCTGTCTCTACGAAAAATACAAAAATTAGCCAGGTATGTTGGCACCGGCCTGTAGTCCCAGCTACTCGAGAGGCTGAGGCAAGAGAAACCTGTGAACATGGGAAGGGGAAGTTGCAGTGAACTGATATCAAAAAAAAAAAAAGTATCTTTTGGCAAAGGAAATGATTTCTGACAGGTTTTGCACTTAAGACACTCAGGTGTGAGGAAAACATGAAAACCACTATGCTAGGGAAAGCAAATGCTGTTGAGAATGTCTCATAAACACAAATTACATGTCAACAGGTAGGTTTGACCCTCAGGTTGGGCACATTTTACTTTAAGTTCACTGTCGGTGGAACTTAAGATGAATCTAAGACATTCACGATGTATGTATGTATGTGTGTGGGTGTGTATACATATACATATATATATACATATATATACACACACACATATATATATATATACACATATATATATGTCTCTCATATATATATGAGAGACAGAGTCTTGCAATCTTGCCCATATTGGTCTCCAACTCTGGGCCTCAAGCGATCCTCCTATCTCCCCATCCCAAAGTGCTGGGACTATAGGCATGCACCACCTCGTCCAGCCCATTTTAATGTTTTTAATTTAAATACACATTCCCAAAATTATATAACAAGTACAGGAAGCCCACTTTCAGCCAGTTTTACAAAAACAAAGTGGCAACATCCTAAAGTACTGAAAGAAATAAAGTTTTCCTAGAATTCTATGTCAAAGTGAAAAATCTTTCAAGAATATGACTGAAATAAGGACATTTAAAAACATATAAAAAATGAAAGAATTCAGCAACCCACACTACAAGAAATGCAAAAGGAGTCCTCCAGGCCTAAAGATAAGGATACCAGACAGAAATCTGGATCTACACAAAGAAATGGAGACTACTGCAAATCGGTATGTACATAGTTAAATATATATGTTCTTATTATTTAAATCTTTTTTAATAATTTATTTATTTTAAATTATTTATGATTTAAATCTTTTTTTAATAATTAAAAAAAGCAATAATAATGGATTCTGGGATTTATAACATGTCTGAAATCAAGTTACATGACAACACTAGCATAATGGCCAGAAGAGGAGGTATAATGCCACTAGATGGCACTGATAAAGGTGTATTCAGGAAACCCTGAAGCCCTCACTGAAAAGGCAAAAGCAGGGAAAGAAGTCGGGGAGCGGTAGACCAGAAGAAAGAAAGAGTTATAGCTAATAAGCCAACAAAGGAAAGAAAATGGAATGATATAAAAACCATGTAATCATTATGCTGGAACAACTGCTCTTCATGCACTCCAGCCTGGGCGACAGTGAAACCCTGTCTCAAAAAAAAAGCCCACCCCTAGGGCTGGGCATGGTGGCTCACGCCTGTAGTCCTACCACTTGGGGAGGCCAAGGCAGGTTGATCACCTGAGGTCAGGAGTTCAAGACCAGCCTGGCCAACATGGTGAAACCCCGTCTCTACTAAAAATACAAAACAATTAGCCAGGCATGGTGGTGGGTGCCTGTAATCCCAGGTACTCAGGAGGCTGACGTAGGAGAATTGCTAGAACCCTAGGAGGGGAGGTTGCAGTGAGCCGAGGTCATGCCACTGCACTCCAGCCTGGGCAACAGAGCGAGACTCATCTCAAAAAAAAAAATCGTACACTTAAAAGGTCACGGAGGCAAGCAAAAATCACCTGGTGGCTGCAAAGCAGACCATCGAGAGGCAAAACTCTTTATCTGGGGAATTTAGAGGCAATTAGACTTCCTTATTATTTAAAGCAAGAATCTAGTTCCAGGCTTCTTTCCCAAAAATTTATAACTAACTAGAATTTCTGGGGTTTTTTTTTTGTTGTTGTTTGTTTGTTTGTTTGAGACGGAGTCTCACTCTGTTGCCCAGGCTGGAGTGCAGTGGCGCAATCTCGGCTCACTGCTACCTCCGTCTCCCGGGTTCAAGCAATTCTCTGCCTCAGCCTCCCGAGTAGCTGGAATTACAGGTGCCCGCCACCACACCCGGCTAATTTTTGTATTTTTAGTAGAAACGGGGTTTCACCATCTTGGCCAGGCTGGTCCTGAACTCCTGACCTCGTGATCCACCCGACTCGCCCTCCCAAAGTGCTGGGATTACAGGCGTGAGCCACCGTGCCCGGCCAGTAACTAGAATTTCTATACATCTCTGGAATACATGCTTATCAAAACTTGTGCAACCCTTGCTGACATTAAGGCACCAAAATGTCTACAAATGTAGTATTCTGTGAGCCACCGCACCCGGCCTACAAAATGTTTTTTAAAAAATTATTGTGTTGGGAGTGAATTATTGGGCTGGTGGCTCATGCCTGTAATCCCAGCACTTCAGGAGGCCGAGATGGGTGGATCACTTGAAGTCAGGAGTTCCAGACCAGCCTGGCCAACATGGTGAAACCCCATCTCTACTAAAAATACAAAAATTAGCTAGGCGTGGTGGCGGGCGCCTGTAATCCCAGCTACTTGGGAGGCTGAGACAAGAGAATTGCTTGAACCCAGGAGGCAGAGGTTGCAGTGAGCCGAGATCGTGCCATTGTACTCCAGCCTGGGTGACAAGAGCAAAAAAAAAAAAAAAAAGAAAGAAAGAAATCATTATTATTTTTACAATATGGGCTTATCCCTGTATTACTCTTCTGAACTTTTCACTTAATATATCGTAACCATCTCTCCAGTCATTGAATGTTCTTCTATAACATTTGGAATGATATCATAGTATCCCATTATATGAATAACCCATGGTTTATTATACAAGTCCCCTACTGCTGAACGTTTAGGTCTTTCTAACTTTTTGCTATTAAAGTCTGGCATGATAGACTCTGCAAGTTAGCCTTCAGATGCCCAGCAAATCCAGTTAACCAGAGCACTGTCCTCTAAGCCTCCTGGTGAATGTGGTTTTGCTGATGGTGGGCAGAGTCCACCCCAGCCGAGCCGCTGGATTTGGCAGGCACTTGGCCTTAGCAACCTGAGGGTGGTAACTCCAATCAGTTACTTGTTTCCCTGTTACCTGAGTTGCAGATTTAGAGCCCTCTGCAGTGAGCAGGTGAGCACCTGGCATGATTCTTTTCTGGTGAGTGGTCCTGGGGGTCACTGGGCCAGTCACCACCTGGTGACAGGACAGGGTGACCGGTGGGTGGCAGCACTGGGGATTCAAATGACCGCAGCCCGGTCAGGCTGAGCTGAGCAGAGCCAAGGACTCAGCACAGCAAGGAACCTAGGCTCTTCACAGAGAAGGGAGCTGGAGGACCCCCCAAGGAGATGAGTATGTGCCACCCTGCGGCAGGGTCCTGTGGGCTTTGGGAGTGAGAGGGTCAAGGGGAGAGGAGCTGTGTTTGCCACCCCCTGTTAAAAACCTCAAGTGAAGCAGCATGGTAGAGAGGAAAGAGCATGGGATTGGAAGCCATTGAACTTCCTGCTGTGTGTCCTTGGGCAAGTGACTACATGTCTCTGATCCTCAATCTCCCCTTCTATAAAATGGAGATGATCCTAGAACCTGCTTCACGGGAGTGTTCAGAGGGGACTGTAGACAGAGCGGGAACATAGAAGAGGAAGTAGGCGGCAGTGTGGTTCACAGCCAGCGCAGGCTGCCCGCAGGGTGCAGGTACTGTCACCAAGGGAGACCCAAGGTGCCCTGGAGGGAGTGGCAAGGACACAGGCCTGAGCCCAGCCCTGGTGATATGAACACTGGAGTGGGCTTCACAGGGACAGACAGCATCAGAACTGGACTAGTGAGGTCATGAGCCCACCAGGGCCTGGGTAGGGACATAGCAAGTCTGGGGACTCCAGACAGGGTCACACAGACCTGGGCCATGCTGGGCATCCAGGGACTGGCTGTGCATACTGGCAGATGTCAGTCAGCCCTCCTGCAGTTGGGCCAGGGACACCTCAGGGAAACTGTGACCTTCCTTCCAATCTTGGTAACATCACCCTTCCACCCCAAATCCCAGGGAATGGCCCGAATCTCTCCTGACAAACAGCTCTCAGCCCTGGTCCAGGCCACAGTCTTGCTTGCACCAGGCCGGGTTTCAGAGCCCGAAGGGCACACTGGCAGCCTTTAGTGCAGTGTTTCAGATGTCACAGACAGGTTCCTCTTTGACGAAGATGGAACTTCCACTGCTTCCCTCCTACCACGCAGGAAACACAGAAGCAACCATCAGCCGCGGGCCTGCTGGCCGTTCTCTCTGGGTACTGTGTTTGGAAAAAGCACAAAATCATTAACTTAAACATGCTTTTTCAAACCAAACACATCCCTCTCTTAGCCCTGGAGATTCAGAGCTGCCTCTCCCTTTGAAAATGAATGATCTCGCCCGGGTGCAGTGGCTCACGCCTGTACTCCCAGTACTTTGGGAAGCTGAGGCGGGTGGATCGCGAGGTCAGCAGTTTGAGACCAGCCTGGCCAATATGGTGAAACCCCGTCTCTACTGAAAATACAAAAATTAGCCGAGCGTGGCGGCGGGCGCCTGTAGTCCAAGCTACTCAGGAGGCTGAGGCAGAGGTTGCGTTTAGCCAAGATCATGCCACTGCACTCCAGCCTGGGCAATAGAGCAAGACTCCCTCAAAAAAAAAAAAAAAAAGCATGATTTCATCCAATGCCTTCAGTAACAGAAGGAGGTCCAAGTCCAGTGAGAGGGTGGAACGAACATACTGTCACAGTGGAAAGGACACGAGACAGGCGCGCCACCGGGTTGAGTCTCGCGAACAAACTGAGGCCAGAGTGCCTTCCCCAGGGCTGCACGTCAGTCAGGAAAAAAAAAAGCATTCTCTCCGACAGGTCAAATCACCGAAGCCTCGGGATCGTCGCTGGGGGCTGTGACGGGGCTGGCATGAAACGTCCCTCTGTCTGGCTGGGCGATGGGTCAGTGCTCAGGAGTTTCAGGCCTTTAAGGCCCGGCCAGACCGCAGGGGGACTCTGCAGCCGGGTCGGGGTTTCGATCCTGCGCTGCGGCCTTGCAACTGCGAGGACTTGGGGGTCGTGCTTCGTTCGCCTGGTATCCTCGTTCGTGCGTGTAGGAGGCGCCTGGCTTGCCGGGCGGTGCCAGGCGGCAAGAGGGAGGGCGCACGGGGCGTGTCCGCCCAGGGCGGCCCCTGTAAGCGCTGCAGAAGCGCTGCTCCCGGCGCCCGGCCCCGCCCCAGCCTCCGCCCCACTACCGCGCAGCGCAGGCTCCGCCCCCAGTTTTCCCCGCCCGGTCCGGCCCGCTCGGCCTCGGCAGCAGCGGCTGCGGCGAAGGCGCGCGAAGGTAGGTGGCCGGGGGCGCGCGCGTGCGCGGGGGCGGGACGGACGCGCTCCCGGCGGAGGAGGCCGCGCGCCTGGGGGCGGGCTGGAGCCACGTACCGGGGCTGGGGGCGCTGTGTGTTCCGCGACTGCCGCGGCCCGGCACCGGAGGCCAGGAGAGCGTTCCCAACAGGCTCCGCGGATGCCCCGCCGCGTCCTGCCGCCCATCCTGCCCGGATTGTCGCGGGCCGGGGGCACGACAGGAGACTGGGGCCTGCAGGGCGCAGCCGTCCCTCCGCCGGCCGGGGTCCCCTCGCTCCGCGGGCGGCCGTGGGAGGCCCTCGCGACGGCCTCTGCCCCCCGCAGATGCCCTCTGCAGCTCCTGCGTGCGGGCCCCGCCCTGCACTGCCCTCCTCGTGTGGGATCCGGTTTCGTCTTCATTGCAGCCCTGCCGAGTCGGAAGCATCTCCATTGTGCGGATGGGGAAACTGAGGCCCAGAGCGCATAGTTGGGCTGGCCACGGAGGCAGGGCCGCCGGATGCTGTGCGGGGATGGGGCCCTGCACCCCTTGCGCCTCTCACCATGCGGCCTCAGGCCTCTGTGCCCGGCAGCGTCTCTGGAGTGGGCTTTTTAACGAGCTCCCTCCTGATTTTTGCACAGACTTAAGCCTAACGACCATGCTGGGGCGGATGTCTGCCCCTCTGGTGACCAGGTCACAGCTCCCTCGGGAAGACGATTGACTGGGGAATGGGGACCCTGGGGAGGAGGACTTCAGGGTGCCATCTGTCTGTTTACGCCAGAAAACAGAGATTTCTGTTTTCTTTCGCTGGGCTCACAGCAGGTGCTTAATAAACAGATCTTGTGGCGGGAGCAGACGACAGCGAGGTTCAGGCAAGACTCCAGGAGTCAACCCCTGGATCTCGGAGGCTCCCCACCCGCGCACATTTCCCTGACTTAACCCTCCCCTCCCCAAGTCTTTCAGCCCTTTCCACCCAAGTGGCCCCTGTGGGGGTCACTGCCTGGTTTTCACCCTGATCTTCTGGGATGCGGCAGATGCTGGCTGGATATGTGTTCGCTGGTGTCCTTCCGTGATCCCCGTCTGTGGCTGACACCATCTGTGGCCCAACATGACCCCAGCCAGAGCCAAGGGGAATCATTTCTTTTTCCATTTAACATCCTATGTTATTACTTGGCTCTTAGCATTCATTAATTCATTCAGCAGCTCTTCATGGAGCTTTGGCCTTAGCCCATGCACTGTGGAAGTGACAGTGAGCTAAGCCAACCTGGCACTTTGGGAGGCTGAGGTGGGAGGACCGCTTGAGCCCAGGAGTTGGAGACTAGCCTGGGCAACATCTCATCTCTACAACAAGTAAAAAATTAGCCAGACGTGGTGGCACGCACCTGTGGTCCCAGCTACTCAGGAGGCTGAGGTGGGAGGATCCCTTAAGCCCAGGAGGTCAACGCTGCAGTGAGCCATGATTTTGCCACTGCACTCCAGCCTGGAAAACAGAGCAAGACCTTGTCTCAAAGAAAAAAAAAAAAAAGGAGGAGACAGACAACATACATGTTGGAGAAAATGGAACAGCCACTGGAGGGACCTCTTTAGCTGAGAGTCGGGGTAGCTCCCTCAGAAAGTGATATTTTTGAGCCAAAATCTGGCCGACAAGCGGGAGTCAGCTGTGCAAAAGAAGGGGGAAGTGCGTCCCAGGCAGAGAAAGTGGCAGTGCAAAGGCCCAGAGGTGGGTGCCTGCCTGGTGTTTGAGGAATCAAGAAGGCCATGAGCAGCCAGGTGTGGTGGCTCATGCCTGTAATTCCAGCACTTTGGGAGGCTAAGGTGGGTGGATCACTTGAGGTCAGGAGTTTAAGACCAGCCTGGCCAATACAGTGAAACCTCATCTCTACTAATACAAAAATTAGCTGGGCGTGGTGGTGCATGCCTGTAATCCCAGCTACTCGGGAGGCTGAGGTAGGAGAATTGCTTGAACCCAGGAGGTGGAGGTTGCAGTGAGCTGAGATTGTGCACCACTGCACTCCAGCTCAGGCCTGGGCAACAGATCAAGACTCTGCCTCAAAAAAAAAGGCCATGAGAGAAGGGGAGAGAGGAGATGAGGTGGGAAAAGTGGAGTGGGGCCAGATCTGGTGGGCCCTGTGGGCCATGGAAGGACTTTGAACTTCATTTTAGGTGTGGTAAGGGCTAGTAGAGGGCCTTGGGTAGGGGAGGGGTATGACCTTTACTGTGTGAAACTTGAGTGGGTGAGGGGATGAGCAGGGAAGCATAGAGACCCTCGGGGAGCCATCTCAGCAGTCCAGGCAGTGGCTTATATAATACACATCGGCGTCCTGGGGTGGTGCCAGGTACACAGCAGGCGCTGCAGGATGGAAGTCATTGCTGTTACTGTTTTTGTTTATTTGAGACAGGGTCTTGCTCTGTCACCCAGGCTAGAGTGCAGTGACACAACCACGGCTCATTGCAGCCTCAACCTTCCAGGCTCAAGCAATCCTCCTGCCTCAGCCTCTCAAGGAACTGGGACTACAGGAGGTGCATGCCACCATGCCAGGCCAATTTTTTTTATTTTTTTGGCAGAGATGGAGTCTCACTGTGTTGCCAGGGCTGGTCTCAAACGCCTGGGCTCAGGCAGTCCTCCTACCTTGGCCTCCCAAAGTGTTGGGATCACAGGTGTGAGTCAGTGCACCCGGCTTGCTGTTATTATTTAAAACTCTGGGCTGGGCGCAGTGGCTCATGCCTATAATCCCAGCACTTTGAGAGGCCGAGGCGGGTAGATCACTTGAGGTCAGGAGTTTGAGACCAGCCTGGCCAACATGGTGAAACCCTGTCTCTACTAAAAATACAAAAATAAGCTGGGCGCGGTGGCGCATACTTGTAATCCCAGCTACTCAGGAGGCTGAGGCAGGAGAATTGCTTGAGCCCAGGAGGCGGAGGTTGCAGTGAGCCGAGATCGTGCCATTGCACTCCAGACTGGGTGACAGAGCCAGACTCCATCTCAAAAACAAAACAAAACAAAAAACAAAAACCCTTTGGAATCAGGCACACCTAGGTCGCGGCTGTGACTTGAGCTCTTTGTGGCTGGGTGCATTGGAGCCAATTATTTAACTTCGCTGAGACTTCACGCTGTCATCTGTAAAGTGAGTAGGGTGGTGCCAGGAGTGTTAAAGCAGGTAAGGGACAGATGTAACGTTTTGGGCACAGGGCCTGGCTCGTGGTTGGTTCAATATTTTTGTCATAATTTCTAGTCAGCAGCAGGAGGATAACGAAGGGGTAAGCGGATAAGAGCAGCTGCTATGTTTGAAACGAGTAATCTTTGAGGGGCTTTTTGGCTAGTTCCTGCCGCTAGCCCTGGCAAAAGGCAAGTTTGGAGGGTGGTAGTGGGGAGGGAAGGGTACAAAGGGTGTCTCCTCTGTATTTGGTCACCAAATAATGTCTCAGCATCTAGAACAAGGCACAGGGTTCTAGCTTGGGGACTAGAAAGAGCCAATAATACTCATGATAGTAATGATAACAGTAGTAATAGCCAACACTTACCCGCTGTTGAACTGCAGGTAGTAATTAAGGTAACACTAGCTAATGTGATAGTGAAACCCTGAATTCTCAGAGGCTTAGCGCAATAGAAGTTTATTTCTCATTCATGAAAAGCCCTGTTGGGTGTTTGGCAGGTGGCTTTCTATGTGGCGACCCAGGGACCGAGATCCCTTCTGTCTTGTGGTTGCGGCATCCCCTAGGACCTTGGAGTTATTTCCTTCTAGCTGATGGACCAGGAAGGAGAGAAATAATTTTATGGACCAAGCCTAAAGTGGCACGCTGTCTTTCTGTCTTAATTCTATGGACCAGAACTTGACCACATGGCCGTATCTGACTGCAAGGGAGTCTGGGAAATGGCTTTTAGCCATATTCCTAAGAGGAATCGGAAATGCTTTGTGGTGAGCACATTGCAGTTTCTGCCACACCATATCCAGGCATATAGCTTAGCACGGAGTATTTTATTTAATGCTCATGCTAGAAACAGGCACCATTATTATCCCATTTTGCAGATGAGGAAACTGAAGCTCAGAGAAGTGAAGACACTGGTGCAGGGTCACACAGCTGGTGAGGGGCTGGTGAGCCAAGATTGGAGTCCAGGTGGCCAGATGCTGAAGCTGTTAGCATCCAGATTTCTAAGAGGAATTCAGTCTTTTTTTTTTTTTTTTTTTTTTTTTGGAGAATTGGGTGGAAGCAGTGGACACATACACGAGGTTCAGATATGACTTCCTGGGACCCACAGAACCCAGCAGGACTCTGGGGGAGAACTTTGGGGATGGAGCCAAGGGTGAGTGTCACCTGGTGCCAGGGGCTGACATCCTGTCCCCTTCCTCCAACCCTTAGGGCCGTGGTCAGGAGAAGGCACAGAATAATCCAGTTCAGTCCCTCAAGGACATCTGGGGCCCCCTCTGCTGAGCTGGGCATGCAGGGCTGGACATGCTGGTCCAGGGGTATTTTTGGCTTCCCCCCTGTTCTGGTGGGCAGGTGTGCAGCCTGTAGAGGGGATTTTTTGGAGGCTGCCTAGAGGTAGAAGAGTGGGCGTCCCTGGGGTTTGTAGTGGCAGCTCTATCTGCTGGCCGGTTTAGTTTTTTGTTTTTTTTTTTTTTTTTGAGACAGAGTCTCTCTCTGTCACCCAGGCTGGAGTACAGTGGTGCGATCTCAGCTCACTGCAACCTCTGCCTCCCAGTTTCAAGTGATTCTTGTGCCTCAGCCTCCCGAGTAGCTGGGACTACAGGCACCCACCACCATGCCCAGCTAATTTCTGTATTTTTAGTAGAGACGGGGTTTCACCACGTTGGCCAGGCTGGTCTAGAATTCCTGACCTCAAGTGATCGACCTGCCTCGGCATCCCAGTGTTGGGATTACAGGCATGAGCCACTGCACCTGGCCAGTAGCTGGTTTAGTTTTGCCCAAATCTGGCTTGCTTGCCATTGCAACTTGGCAACATTTATCTTTTCAGACCTGTTTCTTGGTTTTCCATTTGCAGGGCAGTTTCCTTAGTTGGGCGTGAGCGGTCCAGCCTGGACTGATGAGCATTTATACAGCACCGTGGCATTCTGGGTCTGACCTGGATACAGAAGTAGAGCCTCAAAGCGCAAATGCCTCGGCCTTGCCCTTCAGTCACTCATTGGGAGGCTGCTGGTCTAAGTGGAATGAGCTTTGGGCTCACCACTTCCCTGAAGCATGTCGCCTTGAATAGGTGAGAGCCCAATGTCTCTGAGCCTCAGTTTTCTCATCTGGAAATAGGTTGAAGTAAGGATTTAATGAGATAATGTGAATATGCCCCCTTTGGGGCACAGCATGGAGCAGAGGGCACCCAGGGACGGAGGGCTGAGGCATAGCAGTGTAGCAGGACGAGCCGCAGGCAAAACTCTTCAGTCACCAAGTTAAAGAAGGAAGGAACTTTATTCGGCTGGGAACTTCAGGAGACTTGTGTCTTAAAAGCCGAGCTCCTCGAGTGAGCAATTCCTGTCCTTTTTTAGGGCTTACAACTCTAAGGGCAGGAGCCCAGACACGTGATGCTAATGACAATAGGAACAGTGGCCCCCATTGGCTAATAGCTCACCACCTGCCAGGTGTGGTAGGTACTATCAGTCGCATTTTTTTGTTGTTTTTGGTAGGACAGAGTCTCGCTATGTTGCCCAGGCTGGTCTCAAACTCCTGGGCTCAAGCGATTCTCCCATTTTGGCCTCCCAAAGTGCTGGGATTATAGACCTGAATCACCACACTCGGTCTAGTCTCATTTTATTTTATTTTATTTTTTTGAGACAGACTCTTGCCCTGTCACCCAGGCTGGAGTGCTGTGGCACAATCTCGGCTCACTGCAACCTCCTCCTCCTGGGTTCAAGTGATTCCCCTGCCTCAGCCTCCTGAGTAGCTAGGATTATATGCACATGCCACCACGCCCCAGCTAATTTTTTTTATATTTATTTATTTATTTATTTATATTTTGAGACGGAGTCTTACTGTGTCGCCAGGCTGGAGTGCAGTGGCATGATCTCGGCTCACTGCAACCTCTGCCTCCCAGGTTCAAGCGATTCTCCTGACTCAGCCTCCCAGGTAGCTGGGACTACAGGTGTGCACCACCATGCCTAGCTAATTTTTGTATTTTTAATAGAGACGGGGTTTCACCATGTAGGCCAGGATGGTCTTAATCTCTTGACCTCCTGATCCGCCTGCCTCAGCATCCCAAAGTGCTGGGATTACAGGCCAATTCTTGTATTTTTAGTAGAGATGGGGTTTCACTATGTTGGCCAGGCTGGTCTCAAACTCCTGACCTCAAGTGATCTGCCCGCCTCAGCCTCCCAAAGTGCTGGAATTAGAGGCTTGAGCCACTGCACCTGGCCTGGTTTAGTCTCCTTTTAGAGATGAGAAAACTGAGGCTCAGGGAGGTAACCTGTTCAAGGTCTTACTGTCTTGAACACCATAGTTGCAAGTGACAGAGCTGAGTCTCACATGCAACCTCAGACCTGATACTGACTCCAGAGCTGTGCGCCTAAGCACTAGAGCACATAGCCTCCTTGCCCCAGGGAAAGAACAATGGGAGGTGGTGGGTGACCTCTGGGTCTCAGGGCCCTGGGATATAGGGACTGTGCCTTTTTTTTTTTTTTTTTTTTTGAGACAAAGTTCCACTCTTGTTGCCCAGGCTGGAGTGCAATGGCGCGATCTTGGCTCACTGCAACCTCTGCCTCCTGAGTTCAATCGATTCTCCTGCCTCAGCCTCCCAAGTAGCTGGGATTACAGGTGTGCACCACCACACCCGGCTAATTTTTGTATTTTTGGTAGAGACGGGGTTTCACCATATTGGTCAGGCTGATCTTGAACTCCTGACCTCAGGTGATCCACCCGCTTTGTCCTCCCAAAATGCCGAGATTACAGGCATGAGTGCCTGCGCCTGGCTGGGACTGTACCTTCTGGATTTTCAAATGAATGAAATGAGTATTTCTTGAGTGTTGGCCACGTGACCCCCCAGCACCATGTCATGTGCTGGGTATGCACACACGATACTGTTTCATCCCCGGACGGCTCCGAGAGATGAGTACCAATATTATCACATCTTACGTAAGAGGACACTGAGTCTCAGAGAGGCAAAGTCAGTGTCCCTGGTGCACCCAGCTAGTGGGGGCTGGGGTGGGTGTGAAGGGGCCAGAAGCTTCCCAATAAGTGCCTGAAGGGCAAGGCTAGGGCATTTGTAGTTCGAGGCTCTACCACTGTGTCTAGGTCAGACCTAGGAATGCCGCAGGTGTTGCATAAATGCTCATCAGTCCAGGCTGGACCGCTCATGCCCAACTAAGTGCCAAGCCTGGCCTGGGTGATCTCACAGCCTGCATTCTTTGCCCTACACCTGTTGTGGGAAAACATACTCCCAGCATGCTGTAAATCCTCTCATTCTTAGCTAACCATGTGACTCCCGTTCTGGGCCAGAAAGATGGTCACAAATACTTAGGACTCTGGCCTTTCCCGCCGCATGGCTACTGACCCCACCCCCTGGGCTTGGAGGGCTCTAGGACCCAGCAACCTGCGCAGGGTGAAGAGTGTGTGAGGTCCTGACCTCCAGGTGTCTCCCCTGTTTCCTCCTCCCATTCCCTCTTCTCTCTCCTCCCTCCTTTTCTCTCCCTTCTCCTCCCCTCTCTTCATCCTTCCTCTTCCTTTGGCTCCCTGCCTCTGCTTCCCTCCTCTCCTGTCCTTTCCCATCCCCTCCCTCCTCAGCCCACATCCTGCTCCTCCCACCGCGGTGGTCACATGGGGGCGCCGCCGGATTTAAGCTTAATCTGCCTGGTGCTCAGCACAGCATCCTGGCTGTGGCGCGTGCTGACTGAGCTAGTCTTGGGGTCCTGGAGAAGGGGGCTGGAGGCATGCCCACAGCCTCCCCCCCATGAGCTTGGGGCTGGCGGGGGCACAGGAGGTGGAGCTGACACTAGAGACGGTTATCCAGGTGGGTCCTGGGGGCTGTGCCCACCCTGTCTGGGGCGGGGCAGCGTGGACTTAACAGGAGTGGTGAGAGGTGTGTGCGTCTTGGGGATCAAGGGGTGGGAGAGGTGTGGTGGTGGTGGGGTATACAGGGGCCCCCCGCTTGCAGTTCCTGGCAAGATGGGGGGCAGAGGTACACACAGGGTGCACCTGCTGTGGCTCCCTCATCCCAGTGCCCTGGGTTGGGAGAAGGGGGTCTCTACTGCCAGATTTTAGGGCTTGGGGGACCTCTGGCATAGCCAGATCCTCATCCATCTAGGGTCGGAACCGGATTGGAGCCCCCAACACTGGACTGCCTCCAGTGGGGTTTGGGAGTTACCCGTAGGGTTTGGTTCTCATCTCTGGCCCTGGGCCTTCTTCCTGGGGCAGTGAGCACACAAGAGGCTCTTTGCATGGGGATTTTTTGGATTCTAACTCCCAGGCTTCACTCCATCTTGAGGGGGCTCCTGGGGACCTGTATCTTGGGCAGTAGGATTCTGTGGCTCTCCCCACGAGGCCAGGGAGCCCCGGGTCCCATGTCCCCTGAAGACCCTCTCGCTTTTCCCACAGACACTGGAGAGCAGCGTCCTGTGCCAGGAGAAAGGCTTGGGCGCGCGGGACCTGGCCCAGGACGCTCAGATCACCAGCCTGCCTGCCCTTATCAGGGAGATTGTCACCCGCAACCTCTCCCAGCCTGAGAGCCCAGGTGCCACCCCCATCCGCTCCCCTCCACAAACACCACCCACATTTTACCTCTTCTCATGTCCCTTTCCTGAGCAGTCACCATGATGATCATGACTGTAACTCGCTGTGGGGCAGGCACAGCTTTATGACAGAAGAACCCATTTTACAGATGAGGAAACAGAGGCTCAGGGATGTAATTTGTCCAGACTTATTCCGCATGTGGTGCAACTAGAAGGAAGGGCCGAGCATCTCCTGCGTGCTTGCCTGTAGCCTGCTGCAGAGATGTGAACCCCAAATCCCGTATTCCCACCCGGGGAAGGTGTGAGCTGGCTGAACCCAAGATACAGGAAGAGGGCAGCTCAGCTCAGACCAGGGTTTTGCGGAAGTCTGAGTGGATGGCGCCGTCCATCCGTTTCCCACGTGGGCAGGAAGGCGGATGGTCCCTGCTCCTCTCAGTGGGTGGCGCACACGGTGTAGTTATGTGGCTTGAGGATCTGGGAAAGGCACACTCAGTTGCAGCTGGTGTGCTGGCGTGTGGCGTTTTGGTGCTCTAACCATTGTCTGTGTTCAACTCCCAAGCTACAGACGGGCCCCCTCCTTGGGAGCGCCAGGGATGTTGGCGCCCTGGAGCCCCAGACAGGGAGAGACTCAGAGGGCCCTCACCCTGACACCTGGGGTGTATGTCCAGTTCTCCCAGGGTAGAAGGGGAACCCACAGGAGGTGGACAACCCCGCTTCTCCCGCTGGCCTTTCTTTCCCTCTTCTCTCTTTCTCCTTCTCCTCACAACCTGACCTATGCTATGCTCTCCTGAGCCCTAGCCTTTAAAGTTCCATGAAGCCCTTCTCTTGAGCGAGGCTTTGATGCTTTTCTGGGAGGATCTGGTTACTACTATTCTACCTTTTTTTTTTTTTTTTTTTTTTTGAGACAGAGTCTCGCTGTGTTGCCCAGGCTGGAGTGCAGTGGCGCAATCTCAGCTCACTGCAACCTCCACCTCCCCGGTTCAAGTGATTCTGCTGTCTCAGCCTCCCAAGTAGCTGGGACTACAGGCATACACCACCATGCCCAGCTAATTTTTGTATTTTTAGTAGAGACAGGGCTTCGCCGTGTTGGCCAGGCTAGTCTCAAACTCCTGACCTCAGGTGATCCTCCTATCTCGACTCCCAAAGTGCTGGGATTACAGGCGTGAGTCCGTGCCCGCCCCACCCATATTACAGATAAGTAAATCTGAGGCCCCGGAGAAGAAGACTAATTGGAAAAGGAGGGAGCAAGAACTCAGGGGTCTCCTGGCTCCTAGACTGAGCGTCTCTCCTGCACCTCCCAAACCTGCTGGGCCACACTTTAGCTGGAGTTGTGTTCACTTTACGTCCAGCTTTGTATCCCCTCCTTGCCTTCCTCCCTGTTCTCAGCTCTGTTTGCAGGCCTGGTGCTGCAGCCATTCCCATCTGGACTCCTCCCAGGGGCCTGGATGGTTTTCTTGCCCTCCCTGTTGGGGGGAGGATGTCCCACTGGACCCAGAAGCCAACCATGTGCCCACTGTCCCTTGCCAGTCCTGCTGCCGGCCACAGAGATGGCATCGCTGCTGTCGCTGCAGGAGGAGAACCAGCTGCTGCAGCAGGAGCTGTCCCGCGTGGAGGACCTGCTGGCCCAGAGCCGTGCCGAGCGCGATGAGCTCGCCATTAAGTACAATGCGGTCAGCGAGAGGGTGGGTGCCGCCCAGGTGGTGGACTAGGCCAGGGTTCCCCTCGTTCAAGGGCAGGGAGGCATCTAGACCAGGCCCACACATGGGGCAAAAGATGGGCCCTGGAGTCAGGTTGGCCTGGGCTTGGATTGAGGCTCTGCCACCTTGAGTGGCGTTGAGCAAATCACTATGCTCTTTAAGCCTGTTTTCTGTAGTGGGGATTGTAATGGGACGTGGAATTGTAGGAATCAAGGAGATAATAGAATAAAGTGCCTGGCACCAGGGGTATTTTGTTCCCATCTGTCCCAGGCCTGTTAGGGGTGTGGGACACGGAGAATGAGATCCCTAAAGATTCCTGCCCCTTGAGTTTCTGGGCATCTCCCATTGCCACGGGCCTTGGGGTTGAGGCGGTGGCTGGATGCTGGCTCGAGGCTGGTGTGGGCACCCGCGGTGTTCTGCAGCCCATCTGGGGCAGCCACAAGACCTGCCGCCACTGCCTATTGGAATGAGTTCCAGGCAGGGAAGGAAGGAGAAGCAGGCCTGTCTTCATGTCCAGGCAGGATTCACATCACCCGTGCTGCAGGCTTGTGGGGGTCCCAGGGTGTGGGGCGGGAGCTGGGTGTGAGCCGGTGCGAGGGGTGCGGGATGCTCTTGATGCACTGTCTGCTTTGGGCCTCCGGGTGGCCGGGAGGTGGCCCTGGGAAGTTGGTGGTGGCTGAAGATTGGTAAGGGACACTCGCAGCTGGGACAGAGTGTATGTGTGCAGATGAGAGGCATGCAGGTGGCAATAACGTATTAACAGTAGCTACTGTTTATTGAGTGCCTACTATGTGCCAGGCGCGTGCTGAGTGTTTCACATTTAATACACCAAGGTCGGGACCATTATGATGCCCATGTAACAGAGGAGAAAACAGAGGCTCAGGGAGGGGAAGCACCATGCTGGGGGCACACAGCCAGTTAAAGTTAGACACCAGGTCTTCCAACTCCCAGCCCAGGGCTCTGTTTGGTTTCTAAACTAACCCAGTCTAGAAACAAAGTTCTGAAGTTTCATTTCCTGTGTATGGGAAGAGACACTGGGCTAGGGATTTCAGGGCACAGCTGGCCCCCACAAAGTTGGAAGGGACCCAGAGAGGCAGGGGCTGGCCCAGGGTCCCCTGTGTGGTAGTGGCAGAGCTAGGGTTGGCATGGGACCCCTGAGCTGGACTTGTCCAGGCTGGAGCCCGCATTGGCAGGAGGGTGTGTGTTCCTGTGTATGACTGTGGGGTGTGCCCGTGTCCTGGGATTTGCCTGGCTGGACAAACCCACGACTAGTTGGGACTTGTAGAGGAGCAGAGTAGGCGGCCCGCAGTGGCCCCTGGCATGAGGACAGTGGAGAGCTCGTTTCCCCAGGGTCTGCAGCGGGTGTGTAGGGCACGCTGGCCCCAGTCATGAATTGTGGGTGTTGATGGGGCCCTGAGCCAGGCACCCCTTTCTTTTGGTCCATGCATGGCACAGTGCCACACCCCCAGGGCCGCCTCTTAAATGCCACCTTCTGAAGCTAGCCCTGCCCCCAGGTTGGCAGGGAAGGGAAGAGGTGGGAGGTAGCAGGTTCCTCCTCTGCTGGGACACAGCTGCTGGGGCTGGGACTGCAGCACAGGGGGTCTGGGTTAGTCTAGAAAGCTCCCTCCTGTGGTTAGTGGGGGCCCAAATGGCACGCAGAGGGCGCCCGCTGCTTCAGTTGTCCTCTATCCACCATGGTTTGAATGAGGCCCCACCTGGAGGCAGGGGTGGAACAGGAATGACCTCAAAGGCCTTTCCTGGAGGGTGGGTCCCCAGAGAACTTCAGAGCCTAGAGATCACCTCATCACAGATAGGGAAAGTAAGTCCGGGAGAGGGGCATGATAGGCCCAAGGTCAGTGGTGGTCCTGGGATGAGACCCTTGGTCCAGGGCTCTGCAGTTGGGCAACATTCTCTTTCCCTGCCACCCCCTTGTCCCCATGGCCACAGGTGGCAGTGCCTGCCCCTGTGGCCCTCACTGGCATGTTGGGCTGGGTTGGTGGGCAGTCAGCGAGATTGTTCTGATCTTTCCAACCCTGCAGCACCCCTGGCATGGGGAGCGGAGGGAGGGTCAGGTCTGTGTCCTGTTAACTGCATGTCCTGCAGGGAAACTGAGGCACTCCCAGAGGCCACCTCCCAGCTGAGAGAGAGGACCTCAGGGCCCCCATGGGGGTCCCCCCTTCTTGCTGTCCCTGAGAAGCAGATGTAGGCGCAGCTGGGAATGGAAAGGAGGGAGTGGTCACGCCTCCCTTGGCTCCAGAGGACAGACCCCCTGGGCTCCCTCGTGTCCATAGCAACCTGGAAAGAGTAAATTGAATGGCGGTCTGAGGGCAGCAGTTGCTAGGGGAGACAGTCAACTTCTTTCATCTCTGGCTTAGTGGCAGCCTCCTTCCCTTTTGAATTGCAAGTAAAATTGAAAGGCTGTTTTGCTCACGGTGAAGTTTGTGGAAAGGGGTGAGGTGTGGCCGAGAGGGCCCTGGCTCTGGTTCTGAGCACTGGAGAAGGGGGAGGAGAACCCAGCAACGGCCTGAACCCCTCTGTGTCCCAGAGGCAAACAGCACCTGCTTCACACAGATATGCAGTGTGTACACGACATGGGCTACACTGGGCCCCACACAGACACACAGATGCACAAAACATTCCACAAACAACATAGTGAGACCCTAAAACCAGGCCACACAGAAACACTCCAATTCACAGAATATGCACAGTGTTAGCCGCACACACAGCCAGATGCCACACAACCCCACACAGGCACAGAACAGTCCCCCCACCACCGGGGACCTATAACAACCATATGCAGATGACACAGCACGCTATCTCCCACCTCATGGGTGCACACGGACAGGAAAAGCATACAGTTCAACACAGCCACCAATCGGCCCACAAAGGTATGCCCAGATGCACAAAGTGTGTATCACACATACCAGGGAGCCCAGGCACACCCCCCAGACCCACCCACATGCGGTTGTACACTTGCCTCACCGACACACAGACATATACCCTGATACACACAGCCAGGCCCAACACCCGCGCCACAACATAGACCTTCAGCCACAGATGCCGCCTTAGCCGTTCACGGGAAGGCTCAGATGCACCAAACAGTCGACGTGAACTCAGCACCCACACACTACACACACAGTGTCCTGCGTGGAGACAAATGACAAAATACACCCCACTCGCACCTAGTGAGAGCCACCAACATCAGTGCACAGCCTGTGTGGCTGCCTCAGGCCACCGCCACCACACACAGATGTGGACACCGCTCACCATTGACCTCAGTGGGCTTGGCACAGACGCTTGACAGGCCTGCAGCCGCCATCCAGGCAGAAACCCCCTACTTCCACCTCCCCTGCACAGCCTTGGACTGTGTTCCTCCAGACTCAGGGGGAAGCCCCCAAGTAGTCACAGTTAGCTCCTCCCTATTGGTGGGGCTGCCATGCACCTGTCCCGGGGGTGGGGTGGGTAGAGATGTCCTTGCTTTGTCTGTGGCTCATAGAACATCTCTCAGCATATGGGGTCAATGCAGGCCTGGAGGGCACCTTCCCTACCGCTAACCTGGCCTGGACCCAAGACCCGAGATGAGCGTGGGTGAGAGCAGCTGCCCTCCTGTTGGCTTCCTGTGGCTGGCGTGGCCCTGCACGGGTGGGCTTTTGAATGCCCTGCCTGGGCTGTAGCAGGCCAGGTCCTGAGGATGCAGATGGTGAGTGCAGGGCTAGCATCAGAGTAAGCTGGGCTGGGGTGTTGTCGCTGCCAGGTGCCCTTGACCCACTGTGTGCTCTCCCACTGCCCTGCTCCTCCCTCACCTCCCTTCCCCCAACAGCTGGGGAAGATGAGGGGCCACCTGGGGCCAGCAGGTGCCTTAAGGGAGTTGAGAGGGTTCTATGGCTGGTAGGGACAGCCAGAGCCCACAGGGGTCTGAGGATGTGCGGGATGGAAGCTTCCTGGGGGTAGAGGAAGGGCAGCAGCAACAGAGGCTTTCCTGCAGTGAGGATGGAGGGGACCTTTTTTTTTTTAAGATGGAGTCTTGGGCCGGATGCTGTGGCTCACACCTGTAATCCCAGCACTTTGGGAGGCCGAGGCGGGTGGATTACGAGGTCAGGAGTTCGAGACCAGCCTGGCCAACATAGTGAAACCCCATCTCTACTAAAAATACAAAAAATTAGCCAGGTGTGGTGGCGTGCACCTGTAGTCCCAGCTACTTGGGAGACTGAGGCAGGAGAATCATTTGAACCCGGGAGGTGTAGGTTGCAGTGATCCGAGATCGAGCCATTGCACTCCAGCCCAGGAGACAGTGCAAGACTCTGTCTCAAAAAAATAAATAAATAAAATAAAATAAAAAATAAATAAATAAAGATGGAGTCTTGCTCTGTCGCCCAGGCTGGAGTGCAGTGGCACGATCTCGGCTCACTGCAACCTCCACCTCCCAGGTTCAAGTGATTCTCCTGCCTCAGCCTCTTGAGTAACTGGGATTACAGGTGCATGACACCACGCCCAGCTAATTTTTGTATTTTTAGTAGAGACGGGGTTTCATCACGTTAGCCAGGCTGGTCTTGAACCCCTGACTTCAAGTGATCTATCCGCCTTGACCTCCAAAAGTGCTGGGATCACAGGCATGAGCCACTGCACCCAGCCAGAAGGGGGCATTAATATGCAGGCGCCGTATAGGGCAACATCTGTGTGCACCTCTTACAAATCTTAATGCTGTGTATATGAGGGGGTTCCTTCGTGTCCTCCGGGAATGTTTGAGGTTGCCTGTATGTGTTATGTGTGTGCATATCTTTAAGGTCAGATATGCATAGACAGATTGACACCTCTGTTTTGAATGTATTCCCATGAGCTCATCCCATTAATTCACTATCGCAACAAATATTTACTGAGCGTGAGCCATGCCATTCCACAGCCACCATTCTAGTACTAAGATACAATGAGGAACAAAAAATCCAGGCTTTCTGAGCTCACATTGGGGTCGGGGCATGGTGGGAAGACACAGGCATCAATGTAATAAACAGAAACCACGACAGGGCTAAGTGTTCTGGAGGAGAGGCACATGGTGTACTGAGGCCCCTGAGGTTGACCCAGGTGCACCTTTGAGCTTTGCCTGCGTGGTTTGGGTTTGTGGGCTCACCTGCATGTGTCCATGCATGCCCCGTCTGCGTGCCCGTGCATGGCTGCATCACCCCATACACACGTGCACTGCCCCTGGGCTTGCCCACATGTGCTGCTCCCCAGGGCGCCAGGCTATCAGCCTACAAGGCATTGTGGGTCTGGGCCCAGCCTGCCACGCCCTACAGAAGCCTGAGCCTGCCTTCCCAGGAGGCCCAGGACTCTCACCCAGGGCCCTTCCCTGCAGCTGGAGCAGGCTCTGCGGCTGGAGCCTGGGGAGCTGGAGACGCAGGAGCCCAGGGGGCTGGTACGGCAGAGCGTGGAGTTGCGGAGGCAGCTGCAGGAGGAGCAGGCCTCCTACCGGCGCAAGCTGCAGGCCTACCAGGAGGGCCAGCAGCGGCAGGCCCAGCTTGTGCAGCGGCTGCAGGGCAAGGTCAGGACCACCCACTCCTGCTCCTGTCCTCCCACCTGTTCACTTTGCCCCGCCCCAACCCCTGGGGCTCACCATCAGCTCCCCATCCCCAGATTCTCCAGTACAAGAAGAGGTGCTCGGAGCTGGAGCAGCAGCTGCTGGAGAGATCCGGAGAGCTGGAGCAGCAGCGGCTGAGGGTGGGTGCCAGTGTGGGGCAGGGGCAGGCCCTGCCCTCCACCTGCCCAACCTGATGCTTTAACCTCTCTCCCACCCAGGACACAGAGCACAGCCAAGACCTGGAAAGCGCCCTCATCCGGCTGGAGGAGGAGCAGCAGAGGTGAGGGCGCAGCAGGGAGGGCCAGGGCTGGCAGGATGGCCCCCTGCGCGAGCGCCTACTGATCCCCTGTGCCCCATTCAGGAGTGCCAGCCTGGCCCAGGTGAATGCCATGCTCCGAGAACAGCTGGACCAGGCAGGCTCGGCCAACCAGGCTCTGAGTGAGGACATACGAAAGGTGACCAATGACTGGACACGCTGCCGCAAGGAGCTGGAGCACCGGGAGGCGGCGTGGAGGCGCGAGGAGGAGGTGGGCATGGGGGTGCAGGGAGGCCAGCCTGACCCAAGAGGAAGGGGCACTGCAGAGGAGGGAGGACTCAGAAGCCTGGAGAGGGAGAGGGAGCACTGTCCAAGGGAGCCTGTTAGCAGAAGTAAATAGCCGTCATCACAATAGCTGGTCTTTATCAGTGTGTAGCATGTACCACGTGCACGGTGTGCGTTGACCTTTATTCCTCATGATAACTGCATGTGGTAGGTGCTATCATTCTCCTCATTTTAAAGAGAGGTTAAGGCCCGTCGCAGTGGCTCACGCCTGTAATCCCAGCACTTTGGGAGGCTGAGAGATCGTGCCACTGCACTCCATCCTGGGCAACAAAGCAAGACTCTGTCTCCAAATAAGTAAATAAATAAAGAGAGTTTAAGTAACCTGCCCACAGTCATGCAACTGGCAGCTGGGATGCAAAGCTAGGTCCCTTGCATTTTTGCCCTTCGTTGCTGCCTCTTGCAGCCAAAAGAGGACTTGAAACCCAGGTCCCTGTGCAGGAGGGAGCCATGAGGCTTGGGAGGCTGAGCATGGCCGCTGCAACACAGCTCTGTGCACAGACCCACAGGAAGACCCAATCCCTGAACGACGGTGCCTCCCAGGATGGTCGGAGATGAGGGAAGCAGTGGGAGGGAGTAAACCCGCTCTCACACCAACCCTTCCCTCGGCATGTCTTCCCTCCAGTCCTTCAACGCCTACTTCAGCAACGAGCACAGTCGCCTGCTCCTCCTCTGGAGGCAGGTGGTGGGGTTCCGGCGGCTGGTCAGCGAGGTGAAGATGTTCACTGAGAGGTGAGGCCTGGCCGGGGACGGGGCAGCAGCTGAGAGCCAGCCCTGCTCTTTATGTCCAACTGAACTCAGTTGAATTTCAGTTCAACTCAACGCACTTACTGTGCACAAGGGCCGGTGAGGACACAGAGGCAACTTGTAATAACCATTACCACAGTCGTGGCAGTCAGCATTTATTAGATGTTTACTCTGGGCTAGGCTCATTGTATATTTCATTTCAACTAATATTCATAGCTTCCCTGTGAGGTAGGAACTGTGTTCATTCACATATTACAGATGAGGACATTGTGGCGCAGAGAGGTTGAGTGATCTTCCTGAGGTCACACAGTAGTACATAAGTGGCTGAGTCAGAGTTTGAAGTTCCTGATTTTTTTTTTTTCTCAGACGGAGTCTTGCTCTGTCACCAGGCTGGAGTGAGGTGGCACGATCTTGGATCACTGCAACCTTCACCTCCTGGGTTCAAGCAATTCTCCTGCCTCAGCCTCCTGAGTTGCTGGGATAACAGGCACATGCCGCCACACCCAGCTAATTTTTTTTTTTTTTTTGTATTTTAGTAGAGACGGGGTTTCACCATGTTGCCCAGGATGGTCTCGAACTCCTGAGCTCAAGCAATCAGCCAGCCTCAGCCTCCCAAAGTGCTGGGATTATAGGCATGAGCCACAGCGCCAGGCCGAAGTTCCTGATTTTAATCCACTAGAATATTCAGCTTTGCTACCAAGGACCTCACAGCCTCTTGTGATGAAAAGATGTAGATCCCCAAAATTCTAGGCTGGGCACGGTGGCTCACGCCTGTAATCCCAGCACTTGAGGAGGCCGAGGCGGGTGGATCACCTGAGGTTAGGAGTTCAAGACCAGCCTCAACATGGAGAAACCCTGTCTCTACTAAAAATACAAAATTAGCCGGGCATAGTGGTGCATGCCTGTAATCCCAGCTACTCGGGAGGCTGAGGCAGGAGAATTGCTTGAACCTGGGAGGCAGAGGTTGCGGTGAGCCGAGATCTCGCCATTGTACTCCGGCCTGGGCAACAAGAGCAGAACTCCATCCAAAAAAAGTAAAATAAAATTCTAGACTGAGGAAGCGAGTGGTCAGTGATATGTACGTGGAACAGAGGGAATGTCCTCGAGGCTCAGAAGGATGGGAGGGGTGGGGAGGTCAGAAAAACCACTTTGTGGAGATGGAATTTGCACAGAGCCTCAAGGGATGGGTAGGGTTGAAGCAGAGCAGCAGGCGCTCCAAGCAGGAGCAAGGCATGAGCAAAGGCATGGAGGTGGGAGCCCATGGCAGCCAGGGGGGTTGCAATGAAGAGCTGGTACAGGGAAAGGAGAGCCTGCCTCAGCGGGGGAGCTTGGGCCTGCCTGATCCGTGTGAGCAGTCAGCTCAACAGTAGTGTCAGGGAGGCTGCGGAGAGAGCCCCAAGGCAGGAGGCCAAGGTATTTCATTTAGTGCGTTAAAAACATTTTAGTTAGTAATCTTTTCTTTTCTTTATGGCTCACTACAGCCTCAGCCTCCTCGTCTCAAGCAATCCTCCTACCTCAGATCCTGTGCAGCTGGGACTACAGGTGCATGCCACCAGGCTTGCTGATTTTTTTATTTCTTGTAGAGTCGAGGTCTCACTTTGTTGCCCAGGCTGGTCTTGAACTCCTGAGCCCAAGTGATCCTCCTGCCTTGACCTCCCAAAATGCTGGGATTACAGGCATGAGCAACCACACCTGGTTTAATAATCTTTTGTTAATATCATCAAATAGCCAGTGTCTAAATTTTCCATATGTCTCATAAATGTCACAGATAGACCAGGTGCAGTGGCTCACGCCTATAATCCCAGTACTTCAGGAGGCCGAGGCGGGCGGACCACCTGAGGTCAGGAGTTCGAGACCAGCCTGGCCAACATGGTGAGACCCCTATCTCTACTAAAAATACAAAACTTATCTAGGTGTGGTGACACATGCCTGTAATCCCAGCTACTGGGGAGGCTGAGGCCCCAGACTCGCCTGAACCCAGGAGGCGGAGGTTTCAGTGAGCCGAGATAACACCATTGCACTCCAGCCTGGGTGACAGAGTGAAACTCTGTCTCGAAAAAAAAAGTCACAGATAGTCTTGCTTTAGTTTTTTCTTTACAATTTGTTTGAATCTCGATCCATAGACATTTACAAAACGTAAATGTTTGCTTTGTCTTTTTTTTCTTTTTTTTTGAGATGGAGTCTTGCTTTGTTGCCCAGGCTGGAGTGAAGTGGCACGATCTTGGCTCACCACAACCTCTCCCTCCTGGGTTCAGCAATCCTATGGCTTCAGCCCCCTGCGTAGCTGGGATTACAGGAGTGCGCCACCACGCCCAGCTAACTTTTGTATTTTTAGTAGAGATGGGGGCTTCACCATGTTGGCCAGGCTGGTCTTGACCTCAGGTGATCCACCTACCTTGGTCTCCCAAAGTGCTGGGATTACAGGCCCAAGCCACTGTGCCCGGCCCCTGCTTTGTCTTTTAAGTCCCTTTTAACTTATTTGTTCAGGAAACTGGGCTAGTTGTCCTTGGAGATTCTCATGGTCTGGATTTTGCTGGTTGCATCCTTATGGTGTCAATTAACATGTTTCTTTATCCCATGTATTTCCTGTAAATTGGATGTTGGATCTAAAGCTAGGTCAGATTCAGGTTCTTCTGCTTGCTTTTTTGTTTGATCAAGACTCCATAAGTAGAATGTGTTCTTCCAGCAGGATGCCCCTATGCCAGCTGTCTCTCTTTTCAAGATCCAACCCACTCATCAAAGGCTGCAAAACTGTGAGCTTCTCATTTAGTCACTCCTGTGTATATTAATTAGAATTCTGGAATGAGGCACTTTCTCTCCTTACTATTAGATAACCAGTGGTACTGTTCATTCAGGAAAGGAAAGGATTTAACCTGTATTATGGACTGAAAATACATTTTTTTTTTTGAGACAGTCTCTCTCTGTTGCCCAGGCTGGAGTGCAGTGGCACAATCACAACTCACATTAGGCTTGACCTCCCAGGCTCAAGTGATCCTCCCACCTCAGCCACCCAAGTAGCTGGGACTACAAGTGTGCACCACTATATCTAGCTAATTTTTGTTTGTTTGTTTTTAGAGACAGGGTCTTGCCATGTTGCCCAGGCTGGTCTTGAACTCCTGGGCTAAAGCAGTGCACCTGCCTTGGCCTCCGAAAGTGCTGGAATTACAGAAATGGCCCACCATGCCTGGCCTTAAAATACAAAACAAAACCAAAAATTTTAAGTAGCCTTTAAAATTTTTATATTTTACTTTTGATTAAGTCACATGTTCACAAGGTTCACATTTCAAAAGGGTACACAGTAAAATGGCTCCCTCTCACCTCTGACCCCAGATATTCCTCTTCCCTCCTTGGAGGCAAGCAGCATTATCAGCTTCTTTTTCTTTTTATATATACAGATTTTTTCTTTTTTCTTTTTTGCTTCTTCTTCTTCTTTTTTTTTTTGGCCACCAAGTTACCATGAGAAGCATTATCAGCAGTTTCTTTTTTTTTTTTTTTTTTCTTTTTTGAGATAGAGTCTTGCTCTGTCTCCCATGCTGGAGTGCAGTGGCACGATCTTGGCTCACTGCAACCTCCACCTCCCAGGTTCAAGCGATTCTCCCACCTCCGCCTCCCAAGTAGCTGGGATTACAGGCATGAGCCACCACACCCCGCTAAGTTTTGTATTTTTAGTAGAGGTGGGGTTTTGCCATGTTGGCCAGGCTGGTCTTGAACTCCTGACCTCAGGTGATCCTCCTGCCTCAGCTTCGCAAAGTGCTGGGATTACAGGCATGAGCCACCACGCCTGGCCTATCAGTTTCTTAAGTGACCTTCCAGGGTTATCTTACATAATCAAATAAAGCAGATCACACACACACACAGAGACACACAGACACATGCACACTTTTTTGCATATACGCCTGGTAAAATTTCATCTTCACAGTTCTTGAAGATGCTTCCCTAACCTACTAGTTATAACTGGGAGGTGGCTCTGTGTCAGGCCAGGAAGAACTTCTCCACTGGTTTTTTTGTTTTGTTTTGTTTTGTTTTGAGACATAGTCTCACTCTGTCGCCCAGGCTGGAGTGCAGTGGCCCAATCTCGGCTCTCTGCAAGCTCCGCCTCCCGGGTTCACGCCATTCTCCTGCCTCAGCCTCCCGAGTAGCTGGGACTACAGGCGCCTGCCACCTCACCCGGCTAATTTTGTTTTTGTATTCTTAATAGAGACGGGGTTTCACCGTGATAGCCAGGATGGTCTCGATCTCCCGACCTCGTGATCCGCCCTCCTCGGCCTCCCAAAGTGCTGGGATTACAGGCGTGAGCCACCAAGCCCGGCCTTCCACTGCTTTTTCTTGGCCACAGAGTGTTCCACAGAATGGATGTACCATCATGTACTTAGTAGCAGTCCCCTTTTGATAGACATTTAGGTTGTCACCAGGATTTCTTACATGAGCAATGCTGCAGTGAACCTCCTTGTCCACAAGCCATCTCCTCTGTGCTGGGGTATATCGTTGGATACGTTCTTAGAGGAGGAGCCGGTGGGGAAGGTCCTATGCATGCATAGTTTTCAGAGCTCTCCCTCAGTGCCCTCCGTTGTGGTTGTATCACCCTCCCACCAGCTGAGTAGGGGAGGGCCTGTTACCCCAGAGCCCCTCCTTGTGTATTATGTATCCCTTTTTTTTTCCCCAATCTGAGAGTGGACAAATGGCATCCCAGTGTAGGGTTTTTTTTTTCTTCCTCTTTAGTTTTTGAGATGGAGTCTCACTATGTTTCCCATGCTGGCCTCAAACTCCTGGGCTCAAGCAATCCTGCCTCAGCTTCCCGCATAGCTGGGACTGCAGGTGTATGCCACCGCACCCAGCCTAGTATAGTTTTATTTTTATTTTATTATTTATTTTGAGACACAGTCTTGCTGTGTCACCCAGGCTGGAGTGCAGTGTCATGATCTCGGCTTACTGCAGTCTCCACTTCCTGGGTTCAAGCAATTCTCCTACCTCAGCCTCCCAAGCGGCTGGGACTACAGAAGTGCGCCACCATGCCTGGCTAATTTTTTGTATTTGTAGTAGAGATAGGGTTTCACCATGTTGGCCAGGCTGGTCTCGAACTCCTGACCTCACGTGATCTGCCCGCCTTGGCCTCCTGAAGTGCTGGGATTATAGGTGTGAGCCACCACGCCCTGCCCAAGCATAGTTTTAATTTGTAGTTGGGAGCAAGCCCCATCCATCCCCAGCCTGTGCTCTCTCCCGAAGGGACCTGCTGCAGCTGGGAGGGGAGCTGGCCCGGACATCACGAGCTGTCCAGGAGGCGGGCCTGGGACTGAGCACGGGCCTACGGCTGGCAGAGAGCCGGGCCGAGGCAGCCCTGGAGAAACAGGCCCTGCTGCAGGCCCAGCTGGAGGAGCAGCTGCAGGACAAGGTGCTCCGCGAGAAGGACCTGGCGCAGCAGCAGATGCAAAGCGACCTGGACAAGGCTGACCTCAGTGCCAGGTGGGTACCTGGTGGATGCCGCACGAGGCAGGCGTCCCTGCAGAAGGTAAAACTGGAGAGTTGGGGAGAAGGGAGCATCTGTTCACTAGGGGAAGGGCCTTCCTCTGTGAGCTCAGCCAGTCTTCCCATGCACTGAGGTTCCGAAGGCACTTGCCCAGTGTTTATCATAAACAGCTTAGCCTCCTATGACAGAACTTGTGGCCGGGTGTGGTGGCTCACACCTGTAATCCCAGCACTTTGGGAGACCAAGGTGGGGGATTACCTGAGGTCAGGAGCTCAAGACCAGCCTGTCCGACAGGCAAAACCCTGTCTCTACTAAAAATACAAAAATTAGCTGGGCGTGGTGGCGCGTGCCTGTAATCCCAGCTACGAGGGAGGCTGAGACAGGAGAATCGCTTGAACCCAGGATGTGGAGGTTGCAGTGAGCCAAGATCACATCTCTGTATTCCGGCCTGGATGACAGAGCGAAACTCCGTCTCAAAAAAAAAAAAACAAAAAAAAAGAACTCGTGCCCCTTACTCCTGCCACCTGGACAAGTCCTCAACTGCTTTCCCATGAGATAAAGCTGGTGGGAACCTCATTCCCATTTCACAGATGAGAAATGTGAGATCTGGAGAGGAGCCGGGACTTGTCTGAGGTCACACAGCCAGGGAGGTGGATGTTAGGGTCCCTGCCTCGGGTTTGGAGAAGCATGGTGGACACAGAGCTAGTGGATTTGAGAAGCTGGGGTGGTCCCGTATTCACCTCTGTTGCTCCCCCAACTCCAGAGTGACAGAGCTGGGCCTGGCAGTGAAGCGTCTTGAGAAGCAGAATCTGGAGAAGGATCAGGTCAACAAGGACCTCACTGAGAAGCTTGAGGCCCTGGTGAGCTGCAGGTGCCCCTGAGATGGGGCAGGGTGAGATGGGGTACCGGCCAGATCCATGGACGCAGGCTTAGGGCTGGGCTGCCTGGGTCACCCCCAGCGTCCCACTCACACTCAGGTTCAGCCCTCACAGGTGTGCAGGCTTTGTGGGAAGCACACTCACCTCCATCCCATTTCTTCCTCCCAGCAGCCCTGTAGCATAATCCTCATAACACAGATGGGGAAACTGAGGCCCAAGAGGGGTAATGCTTGTCCAGTCTCAGAGCCACTAAGCGGGAGAGTCGGGACTTGAACTCCCATCCATGCTCTCCAGGTCCAGATGCGGCCTCTGGCAACCTAGCTGCCCCCCACCCCCACCAGTGGGACACTCACTCCCCCAGGGTACAGCCTGGTTTGGTCACCCCTCTGTGTGGGGCCTGGCCTGGGTTCTAGGTCCGGCTCTCCTCCAATCGACTGTGTGACCTGGGGCAGGACATAGCTCTTCTCTGGGCCTGGTCTGTTCAGTGAGGGCCTCGGGCCTGCTGTGGGGTCTACCAGGTGGCTGGCCTATGGACATGGCTTCAGAGGCCACCTGGTCAGTGGTGGGCCAGGTAGGGAGGGAAAGGGGAGGTTTCAGATAAGACAGAACCCCAACCACCCTTTGTCTCCCTAACCGCACTCCAGGAATCCCTGCGGCTACAGGAGCAGGCGGCCCTGGAGACAGAGGATGGAGAGGGGCTACAGCAGACCCTAAGGGACCTGGCACAGGTGTGAGCCCAGAGAGGCGGGAAGACAGCGCCCTGCCAGGCAGTCCCAGGCTCCCCCGCCACGTCTTTCGGTGACCTGGGACTGAACTGCAAATGGGTGGGGGCCTGGGACCCAGGCTGTAGCTGCTCAGCACCCCTGCTAGCTCACCCAGCCTCTGCCTTGGGGAGCCCCCAGTCTCAGAGGGGAGGCACGACCCTTTGGGAGCCCACCTGTGAGCAAGGCCAAATGATGTCTTCCCAATAAATGGGAGGCCTCAGCGGCGAGCCGAGGACTGAGCTAGTGGAGGAGGTGAAATCAGGAAGGCTTCTTGTAAGAGGCAGCATTTGGAATGAGGCAGCCCCCAGCCTCACCTGGGCGTCTTTGCCCAGCTAACCCCGCGGTTCCTAACTCAGCAGCCTCCTTCTGCCTCCCTCCCCCACCCTCAGGCCGTCTTGTCAGACTCTGAGAGCGGCGTCCAGCTGAGCGGCTCTGAGCGCACCGCGGATGCTTCCAACGGCAGCCTGCGGGGGCTCTCGGGCCAGCGGACCCCGTCCCCACCGCGGCGCTCCTCGCCCGGCCGAGGCCGTTCACCCCGCCGAGGCCCCTCCCCGGCCTGCTCAGACTCCTCCACGCTCGCCCTGATCCACTCCGCCCTGCACAAGCGCCAGCTGCAGGTCCAGGTAGGAAGGGGCTTGAGCGTTCTGGGCGCAGCCAGAGGCCTGGGGGAGGGGCTCGCGCCCTCCGGGTGGGGGCGGGGGCGGGGGCAGGTCCGGGGCCAGGGTCCGAGGGAGGAGTCTGAGCGCCCTGGGGTGCAGCCAGAGCCCTGAGAAATAGTTTCTGAGGGTGTCAGGACCCCCAAGGAGGTGGCCGAGAGCTCTGCGGTGAAGCCGAGCCCAGAAGTGGGGGTGCTTGGGCAGCTGGGGGTGGGTGCTTGGGCAGCTGGTGGAGGGAGGAGGCTGCGGCAGTGTTAGGGTCCTGGTAGAGAGGGAGACAGGTCCCTGGTCATACAGAGCCAGGACCCTGGGAAAAGGTCTAGCAAGGGGAATCAGAGCTTGGGAACTAGGGGCAGAGCCAGGGTAGGGAGGAGTCTGAGAGTGGAACCAGGATGCAAGGGGGAGGAGCCTAGGAGCCCTGGGGGTGGGATCAGAACCCAGGAGACGAGTGTGCCTGGGGGTTTGTCTGGCATCCGGGGGGCTTTGATAGGAGTTGTCCGGGACCCCAGGGAGGTGAGGGCTCAGAGGGTGGCGAGGGCACATAGGAGGGGAGCGGAAGCCTGGCTCTCAGGCCTAGGCCCCTATCCTGCCCCAGGCCAGGTCCAGGCCCTGGACCCCGCCTAGCGTAGGCTAGTGTGTATCCCTGGAACCAGAAGAGAGTAGGTGGCTCTGGAGGCCTCTCAGGCCCCCCCAGACTCTGTGACCCCCCACACCCCAGGACATGCGTGGGCGCTATGAGGCAAGCCAGGACCTACTGGGCACCCTGCGGAAGCAGCTTAGCGACAGCGAGAGCGAGCGGCGGGCCCTAGAGGAACAGCTGCAGCGCCTGCGGGACAAGACCGACGGCGCCATGCAGGCCCACGAGGACGCCCAGCGCGAGGTGCAGCGGCTGCGGAGCGCCAACGAGCTCCTGAGCAGGTGCCGGGGAGGTCTGAGCTGGGGGGTACTGAAGAATAAGTCACCGTCTGGGCATAACACCAGTCAAGCCTTATGCGTATGGCTCTGCACTAATATGGTCGCCACTAGCTGCATGTGCCTATTAACGTTTATTTATTTATTTATTTTTAAAATGGAGTCTCGCCCTGTCGCCCAGGCTGGAGTGCAGTGGCGCGATCTCGGCTCACTGCAAGCGCCGCCTCCTGGGTTCACGCCATTCTCCTGCCTCAGCCTCCCGAGTATCTGGGACTACAGGCCCCTGCCACCATGCCGGGCTAATTTTTTTTTTTTTTTTGAGACGGAGTTTCACTGTGTGGCCCAGGCTGGAGTGCAGTGGCGCGATCTTGGCTCATTGCATCCTCCTCCTCCCGGGTTTAAGCAATTCTCACCTCAGCCTCTGAAGTAGCTGGGATTATAGGTGCCCACCACCACGCCCGGCTAATTTTTTTTGTATTTTTAGTAGAGACGGGGTTTCACCATCTTGGCCAGGCTGATCTTGAACTCCTGACCTCATGTTCTACCCGCGTCCATCTCCCAAAGTGCTGGGATTACAGGCATGAGCCACCGCGCCCGGCCAACATTTATTTTTTAGTATTCAGTTTTGTTTTGTTTTGTTTTGTTTTGCTTTGTTTTGAGTCACACTCTTGCTCTGTTTCCCAGGCTGGGGCACAATTGGTCCATCACAGCTCACTGTAACCTGGAACTCCCAGACTCAAGCGATCCTCCCACCTCTACCTCCCAACTGCCCCTAGTTGGGGGCCTGGGCCTGGCCTGGGGAAGGATATGGGACCGAAGCCTGAGAGTTAGGTTTCCACTCCCTTCCTCTGTGCCCTCACCACCCTCTGAGCCCTCACCTCCCTGGGTTCCTGGGCAACTCTGATCTCAGCCTCGAGGATAGTAGACAAGCCGCCAACATTTCTAAATTTTTTGTAGAGATGGGGGTCTCACTATGTTGCCCATGCTGGTCTTGAACTCCTAGCTTCAATCACTCCTCCCACCTCAGCCTCCCAAATTGCTGGGATTACAGGCATAAGCCACTGTGCCTGGCTCTATTAAAATTTAATTAAAATTTTTAAAAAGTGAAAATTCAGGCTGGGTGTGGTGGCTCACACCCAGCTTGCTGGCCAACATGGTGAAACCCTGTTTCTACTAAAAATACAAAAATTAACCAGGCATGGTGGCATGCTCCTGTAATCCCAGCTATTCAGGAGGCTGAGGTGGGAGAATCACTTGAACCCCGGAGGCAGAGGTTGCAATGAGCCAGGATCGTGCCACTGCACTCCAGGCTGGGAGATAGAGCGAGACTCCATCTCAAAAAAAAAATAATAATAATAATGCTGGGCCCGGTGGCTCACACCTGTAATCTCAGCACTTTGGAAGGCCAAGGCGGGCGGATCATGAGGTCAGGAGATTGAGACCATCCTGGCTAACACAGTGAAACCCCGTCTCTACTAAAAATACAAAAAGTAAATTAGCTGGGCGTGGTGGCAGGCACCTATAGTCCCAGCTACTTGGAAGACTGAGGCAGGAGAATGGCCTGAACCCGGGAGGCGGAGCTGGCAGCGAGCCGAGATGGCGCCACTGCACTCCAGCCTGAGCGACAGAGCAAGACTCCGTCTCAAAAAAAAAAAAAAAAGAAAAAATTCAGTTCTTTAGTTGCCCTAGCCACATTTCAAGCACTCATCAACCATACATGGCCATAGAACATTTCTGTCATCTCAGCGAGTTCTATTGCCAGCACTATTTTGGACTGTATTTCTTGGAGTTTTTTTTAGAGATGGGGTCTTGCTGTGTTGCCCAGGATGGTCTCAAACTCCTGGCCTCAAGTGATTCCCCTGCCTCGGCCTCCAAAAATGCTGGGATTAGAGGCATAAGCCACCATGCCTAGCCTTGAAGATTTTTTTTTTCTCTTAATTTGAGACAGGGTCTTGTTATGTCACCCAGTCTGGAGTGCAGTGGTGCGATCTCATTTCACTGCAACCTCCACCTCCTAGGCTTAAGTGATCCTTCCATCTCAGCCTCCTGAGTAGCTGGAACTACAGGCACACACCACCACGCCTGCCTAATTTTTCTGTTTTTTGTAGAGATAGGGTTTCGCCATGTTGCCCAGGCTGATCTCTAACTCCTGAGCCCGTCTCGGCCTCCCAAAGTACTGGGATTATAGGTGTGAGCCATCACGCCAGGCACCCTGAAGATTTTTAAGACAAGAAATTATCCACTTCTTAGCTGCCAGGTTGTTTTTGATATTTTGTTGTTTGGTTTTTCTCTTCATAAATGTAACCATCTAATGAAAAGTTTGAAAAATAGGAATAAAAAGACAGCGCCTTCTCACAGCCTCATCTGCCCATCCTAATTCATTTAGGGCACTGGTTTTCCTTCCCATTGTGTTGCCTGGCAGTGAGATAGCAAACGTTTCCTGCACACCTACTGTGTGCCAGGCTCTTGGCCGAGTGTTTTGTATGTACTCTGTGATTTAGTCTTCCTGTCAAACTCATGCAATTCGGAACTCTGTTGTTGTAAGCTTGAGAGACTGGCTCAGACTCATACAGCGTGTGTGGCTGGGGGTGGCAGGGTGGGAACTGGAATTCAGGTCCATGTGAGAGTAAACCCAAGCTTTCCATGCCTGGAAAGGAGAAGGTCTTTTTAAGCAGTTGTGTTCACAGCAAACATCCCATTTCGCATTCTGCTATTTTTACTTAACAGCACATTGTCGACTGAGCGAGGTGGCTCACACCTGTAATCCCAGTATTTTGGGAGGCCAAGGCGGGTGGATCACTTGAGGTCAGGAGTTTGAGACCAGCCTGGCCAACATGGCGAAACCCCATCTCTACTAAAAATAAAAAAAAATTGGCCGGGCACAGTGGCTCACTCCTGTAATCCCAGCACTTTGGGAGGCCGAGGCAGGAGGACCACCTGAGGTCGGGAGTTCGAGACCAGCCTGACCAACATGGAGAAACCCTGTCTCTACTAAAAATACAAAATTAGCCATCCGTGGTGGCACATGGCTGTAATCCCAGCTACTTGGGAGGCTGAGGCAGGAGAATCGCTTGAACTCTGGAGGTGGAGGTTGCAGCAAGCCGAGATCGTGCACTGCACTCCAGCCTGGGCGACAGAGTGAGATGCCGTCTAAAAAAAAAAAAAAATTACTGGGCGCATTGGCTCATGCCTGTAATCCCAGCACTTTGGGAGGCCGAGGCGGGCAGGTCATGAGGTCAGAAGATTGAGACCATCCTGGCTAACACAGTGAAACCCCCATCTCTACTAAAAATACAACAAATTACCCGGACATGGTGGCGGGCGCCTGTATTCCCAGCTACTTGGGAGGCTGAGGCAGGAGAATGGCGTGAACCCGGGAGGCGGAGCTTGCAGTGAGTGGAGATTGCGCTACTGCACTCCAGCCTGGGGGACAGAGCGAGACTCCGTCTCAAAAAAAAAAAATAAAACAAAATCACGCTGTGAAGTTTTTTCGCACCTATGGCCAGTGGGGAACGTGGCAGCTCATGGCAAGTCTTTGGGGTCCCAGTTGTTCCCTTCTCCTCCCTCCCCTGCCGTGGCCACCATGTGCCTGTGTAGCAGGAAGCTGTGGGATCTGCAGACTCAGCTCTATCAGGCTTCCCAGAATTGAGGGGCATGGGGTGTTATAGGGGACATTTCCTGGTCACATGGCCTAGCAGAGCTGGTGGCACAATTGCCGTGTGTCCCAGGAGCCTAGCTCGGCCTCTTCTACCTGGTAGGGTGCTTGGAGATCACACCAGCACCTCCATCCACTCCAAGTGGGCGGACTGGAGAGAAGGAAAGCCAGGTTCTTCTGCTGGAGTGTGTGAGTGAAATGAGTCAGCCATGGACAGGGTGGTCAGGGAAGGCTTCCTGGAGGCAGGTGCCTTGGAAGACTGGAGGATGTAGCTCATGGCTAGAGGAGCAGCCAGCCACCTTCCCTGCAGAGAGCAGCCCCAGCATCCCCTCTGCTCCCCCTCCCCTTGTCCTGAAGGGAGAAGAGCAACCTGGCCCACAGCCTGCAGGTGGCCCAGCAGCAGGCCGAGGAGCTGCGGCAGGAGCGGGAGAAGCTGCAGGCTGCCCAGGAGGAGCTGCGGCGCCAGCGGGACCGGCTGGAGGAAGAGCAGGAGGACGCAGTGCAGGATGGCGCGCGGGTGCGCCGGGAGCTTGAGCGCAGGTGAGCAGCATCTCGCCACCCTGCCAGGACCCTTCAGATGTGCCTCGGGTCCCCTGACAGTGCCCCCCTGGGGTTAGGTGACACCCACTGGGTCCTGGGCCTCCTACCGTCTGGACCCCTCCGATGTCGGGTTTTCTAACCAGACCCATTTCAGGAAACTGGGGCTCAGGGAGGTATAGTCACTTACCTGGAGTCAGAGAACTAGTTAAAAGGTAGAACTTGGATGATAATAACAAGAATAATTAAAATAACAGTAGTAATATTAGCAGTAGTATTTTAAAAATTTAGTTAGAAGAATAATAATATCCTTACTAATTTCACTAAGTGCCAGATACCATTTTAAGCAATTCAGTTCTCTCATTTAACTCCATGATAACTCTGTGACATAGAAGCGGTTATCTCCATTTTGTGGATGGTAAACTGAGGCACAGAGAAGCCATGTCACTTGCCCCAGGTCACACAGTTAGCAGAAGAGCCAGGATTTGAACCCAGACATTCTGCCTTCAGAGTTAACCTCTTCACCACTGCGCTGCTTACCTCTCAGGGACGTGATCGCTGATGATGTTTAGTAGACTGTGGTGGAGCATGTTATTCTTGTTTCTGAAGGTCCTTGGGGAGATGTGTCAGGCACTATTTTAAGCACATGTGAAGTTTGTATCCTTAAAACAGGCCGGGCGCAGTGGCTCACGCCTGTAATCCCAGCACTTTGAGAGGCCAAGGCAGGCAGATCGCCTGAGGTCAGGAGTTCCAGACCAGCCTGACCAACGTGGAGAAATCCCGTCTCTACTAAAACTACAAAAATTAGTCAGGCGTGGTGGTGAGCACCTGTAATCCCAGCTACTCGGGAGGCTGAGGCAGGAGAATTGCTTGAACCTGGGAGGCAGAGGTTGCAGTCAGCCAGGATCGCACCACTGTACTCCAGCCTGTGTGACAGAGCAAGACTGTGTCTCAAAAAAACAAACAATGTCACGAGGTAAGTGTTACCTCATTTTGCAGATGTGAAAACGGAGGCCCAGGGTCATGGAGCTAAGCGGTAGTGGGCTTGGTTGCCCTGTGGCTCAGGCTGTTTCTCTCCAAACTCCTGCCTCAGGCCTGGTCCCCAGCCCAGCATCTCGCTGGCTACAGGAGGTTCGGGGCAGGAAAGTGACATGGGCCACCCACCCACCCTTTGTCCCACAGCCATAGACAACTAGAGCAGCTGGAAGGGAAGCGCTCAGTCCTGGCCAAGGAGCTGGTGGAGGTGAGGGAGGCGCTGAGCCGCGCCACACTGCAACGGGACATGCTGCAGGCCGAGAAGGCCGAGGTGGCCGAGGCGCTGACCAAGGTGGGTCCCTGTCTGCTGCACAACCACAAACCTACCTCTGACCCCCAGCCCCAAGCCTTGTCACTCTGGCACAGACTGGTCCCAGTGTCAGGCAGACCTCTGAGCCTGGTCACAGACTGACCCCTTCCTTCTGGATACAGGCTGATCTTTGTCACAGGCCACAGACCTCTGGACCTCTGGTCCCAGCCATAAGTGGACTGACCTCTCTTTATGGCCGTATCCCTGCTCTTCTGGATGCTCCTGGGGGCAATGCCTATAGCTCAGGGTCATCCAGTGCCTGAGACTCAGCTCCTGGGGTCTGAGAGTTGTGGCCACAGCGCAGAGGGTCCTTGGCAGGGGGGCCTGCGCTGTCCGCTGCAGCCTGGGCTCTGAGCAGTGCTATCCCTAGACCCTACTCAGGGGATCCTCTGAACTCTGGCCCTGCCCTGCAGCTTGAGCTATTTTTGCACAGCTCTGTGGTGTGTGGCTTTTAAATGGCTCATAAGCAGCAGGCTTTCTGCGGTGATTTTTTTTTTTCCATCTCACACTGTGTCCCCTCCTTGTCTCCCCTACCCTGTCTCTGAGGGTCCATCTCTCTGGGTCTCTTCTTGGGCCTCCTCACCTCCTCCCGACCTTTCTGCCTTTCCTCATTTCTCGGGGCCTGACCCTGCAGGCTGAGGCTGGCCGCGTGGAGCTCGAGCTCTCCATGACCAAGCTGAGGGCAGAGGAGGCCTCCCTGCAGGACTCCCTGTCCAAGCTGAGCGCCCTCAACGAGAGCCTTGCTCAGGACAAGTTGGATCTGAACCGCCTTGTCGCCCAGGTACGCTGTGCACCTGCGGGCCCACCTGCCTTGCCCACCCATCCTCCCCACTCAGTGAGGCACCCCGGGCCCAGCCCTGTACCTGTCTTGGCCCCTGCCTCCCTTTCTGTCCCTGGTTCTCTGTCTGTCTCTGGTTCTCTGTCTGTCTGTCTATCCCCTCTAGGCGTCAAAGCACAGAAGTTCCATGGGCCCTCCTCATCTCCCCCTCCCCAGTGTCCCATACACCCAAGGGCACTGTCCCTCATTCCCTGGGAGCCTCCCCTGGGCTATTGTTGCTGGTGGGTGGGTGGAGGAGGCGTCCTGGTCCTGGGAGGGACGCCCTGCTCACGAGGCCCCACTCCTACCTGGCCTCCAGCTGGAGGAAGAAAAGTCCGCCCTGCAGGGCCGGCAACGGCAGGCAGAGCAGGAGGCCACAGTGGCGCGGGAAGAGCAGGAACGGCTAGAGGAGCTGCGGTTGGAGCAGGAGGTGGCGCGGCAGGGCCTGGAGGGCTCCCTACGAGTGGCGGAGCAGGCCCAGGAGGCATTGGAGCAGCAGCTCCCCACGCTGCGCCATGAGCGCAGCCAGCTGCAGGAGCAGCTAGCGCAGGTGGGCAAAGCTGTGTGTGGGGGTGGTGTGGAGAGCATGTGGGGCAGGCCGGGCTCCCAGCCCCCTGCATCCAGTCCTGGGTTAAGTCACAGGCACTGGAGCCTGCTTCTGGGTTAAATCCAGCCCCACTTCTGCTAGCTGGGGACCTTGGACAAGCTGCCCAATCTCCCATACCTCAGTTGCCCCATCTATAACATGGGGCCAGCCAGGCGCAGTGGCTCACGCCTATAATCCCAGCACTTTGGGAGGCCGAGGCGGGTGGATCACCTGAGGTCCGGAGATCAAGACCATCCTGGCTAACACGGTGAAACCCTATCTCTACAAAAAATTAGCTGGGCGTGGTGGCACGCGCCTGTAGTCCCAGCTACTTGGGAGGCTGAGGCAGGAGAATCGCTTGAACCCAGGAGGCAGAGGTTGCAGTGAGCCAAGATCATGCCACTGCACTCCAGCCTGGGCAACAGAGCAAGACTCCGTCTCAATAATAATAATAATAATAATAATAATAATAATGATACAGATTAATAATAGGTGGAGACTTTTTAGAATTGGAATCTTAGACTTTTGGGAACATCACATCTGGAAGAGACCTTAATGTTTCAGGGATCCAGGGACCTTCATGCAAGGTCTATCCTGGAGCGCCTAGGTTTCTGGGAGGGGCCTCTAGAGGATGGGGTAGGGGGTGCAGGAAGCAGGGTGCAGGTCTCCACCTTGAGGCCTGCCGAGCAGCTGCACTTGGGTCTGGTTTATATATTCAGCTTCTCTGCAAGTTTAGAGTAATACAAGGGTTCTGTTACTCCCAGAGCTGAGTGAGGGCCCTCATTTTTTTTGTTTCATTTTGTTTTGTTTTTGTTGTTGTTTTTTTTTCCAGACAGAGTCTTGCTCTGTTGCCCAGGCTGGAATGCAGTGGCACGATCTGGGCTCACTGCAACCTCCGCCTCCAGGGTTTAAGCTGTTCGCCTGCCTCAGCGTCCCAAGTAGCAGGGACTACAGGCGTGCACCACCACGCCCGGCTAATTTTTGTATTTTTAGTAGAGACAGGGTTTCACCCCGTTGGCCAGGCTGGTCTTGAACTCCTGACCTCAAGTGATCCACCTGCCAAAGTGCTGGGATTATAGGCACGCACCACCGTACCTGGCTGGGCCCTGGTTTTTGTACACACGTGCATTGCAGATCTAGAGAAGGTCATGACTTGCCCAAGTACATGTAGCACATCAGGGCAGACCCTGGGCTCAAACCCAGGCCTTCTGCCAGGACTGGGTTAGGCCCAGAGTTGGGGTGCTGCACGATGAACAAGCTGGGGGACGCTGGGAGTGCTACTCAGTCTCTGGGTGGGGGCCAGCTCTCCCGGCAGCTGAGCGGGCGGGAGCAGGAGCTGGAGCAGGCCCGGCGGGAGGCCCAGCGGCAAGTGGAGGCGCTGGAGCGAGCGGCCCGTGAGAAGGAGGCGCTAGCCAAGGAGCACGCTGGCCTGGCTGTGCAGCTGGTGGCTGCGGAGCGTGAAGGCAGGACCCTGTCAGAGGAGGCCACACGCCTGCGGTAAGGCCTTGGGCTCTGCCCAACCCGCCCTGGGGGGTCCTCCTGGGGCCACACCATGACCAGCCACACGCAGGCACGGGCCCCCAGGGGCAGTTACTAAGGAGTCTGGCTTGCCGACTCGTCCTAGCTGTGGCTCAGGCTTCCCCAGGGAGTGTGGGCCTGGCCAGGCAGGTAGATTGGCACTTGGCCCATGCCTGGCCACTCCCTGAGATCCACAGTTTCCTGGGGCCAGGGAGGCTGAGTCCCAGGGCCTCAGGGACTGTATGTGCTGCAGCTTGGAGAAGGAAGCCCTGGAGGGCAGCCTGTTTGAGGTGCAACGGCAGCTGGCCCAGCTTGAGGCCCGCCGGGAGCAGCTGGAAGCCGAGGGGCAGGCCCTGCTGCTGGCCAAGGAGACCCTGACTGGTACGAGGGGCTGGGGACTTGGGGGGAACACCAGGTTCCAGCCCAGACTGCAGCCTCCCAAGGTCTGGGGTCTCACAGAAGTTGGGAGCACTGGAGTAGGAGTCTGGCTGGCCTGGGTTCCAGTCCTGTGCCACCACTTAGATCTCACCTTCCCTTGAGCAAGCCCCTTTCCTCTCTGGGCTGCAGATTCCTCAGCTGATGATTGGAGGTGGCAATGCCCACCTTCTAAGCCTGTTGCCAGGATGACGTGGGAAAAGCGTGTAAGGCCGTGGCACGGTGCCTGGCTGAGTCAACAGTAACTGCCGTTCATCGGTCATCAGGCCTGTTAGTCTGAGTTCTCTGTGCTTTTCAGATGACTCTCTTGGCCCCAGAATCCCAGCCCCACTTCCCTGCACCGTTCCCATCCAGTCTCTGAACTCAGGGCTTCTTTCTGCTCACCTAACATTAACTAAGCACCTACTTGGGTCATGGAAATTAATTTTCCTGTCCATGTACACCTGAGCCAGACAGAACCAGGAAGGGAAATGCTGGTGGGTTTCCAACCCGGGAGATGGTTTTTAGATGGTAGCTATACCATTTCCATTCCCTGTAGTCATTTCCATTAATATAAATAGTTAACGTTTGACGGGTATGTTCATGTCAGTCATTAAAGGAGATGCTTTATGTGTAGCTGTGCAGCTGTGGGAAGTTGCTGCTGATCTCTGAGCCTCCATTTCATCATCTGTTAAATGGGGATGAGGATAAACTACATAGGCATGTTATGAAGACAAAATGAGGTTATGTCTAAAATACTTAGCTGGGCGCTTGACCCATAGTAAGTGCTCAGTCAGGAATAGGGTTGTTTTTTGTTTGTTTGTTTTGAGACAGAGTTTCACTCTTGTTGCCCAGGCGGGAGTGCAATGGCACTATCTCGGCTCACCTCAACCTCTGCCTTCTGGGTTCAAGCGATTCTCCTGCCTCAGCCTCCCAAGTAGCTGGGATTACAGGCATGCATCACCATGCCTGGCTAATTTTATATTTTTAGTAGAGACGGGGTTTCGCCATGTTGGTCAAGCTGGTCTCGAACTCTTGACCTCAGGTGATCCACCCGCTTTGGCCTCCCAAACTGCTGGGATTACAGGCATGAGCCATCACGCCCAGCCTGTTTGTTTTTTGAGACAGAGTCTCACTCTTGTTGCCCAGGCTGGAGTGCAATGGTGCGATCTCGGCTCACTGCAACTTCTGCCTCCTGCATTCAAGCGATTCTCCTGCCTCAGCCTCCCAAGTAGCTGGGACTACATATGCCCGCCACCATGCCTGGCTAATTTTTGTATTTTTGGTATAGACAGGGTTTCGCTGTGTTGGCCAGGCTGGTCTCAAACTCCTGACCTAAGGTGACCTACCTGACCCAGCCTCCCAGAGTGCTGGATTACAGGCATGAGCCACTGCGCCCGGCCTATTTGTTTTTTTGAGGCAGAGTCTCACTCTTGTTGCCCAGGCTGGAGTGCAGTGGTGCAATCTCAGCTCACTGCAACTTCTGCCTCTTGGGTTCAAGCGATTCTCCTGCCTCAGCCTCCCTGAGGCTGGGACTACATACGCCTGCCACCACGCCTGGCTAATTGTTGTATTTTTAGTAGAGACAGGGTTTCACCATGTTGGCCAGGTTGGTCTTGAACTCCTGACCTAAGGTGATCCACCTGCCCCAGCTTCCCAAAGTGCTGGGATTACAGGCGTGAGCCAAGGCACCTGACCTAGGGTTGTTATATGTTTGACATCCGTCCCATTTGGGAGGCCTTCTCATCAGTCATTTTATGCCTTTAATGCCATTCTAGGTAGGCAGGAAAGGGGTCAGGGCCAGTGGGCCCATGTAGCATATAGGGAAACTGAGGCCCAGAGAGGGCAAGCCACTTCAAGAGGACCCAAACTAGATGCCAGGCAGGCCCTCTGCCTCTGGGATTTTGCCCATGTGGCTCACCTGGCCTAAGTCTGCTGGCCCAAGGAAAAGTTTCAACCCAACCCTGCCCTTTCCCCCATTCCTCTCGTGCAGGGGAGTTGGCGGGCCTGCGGCAGCAAATAATAGCTACACAGGAGAAAGCCAGTCTAGACAAGGAGCTGATGGCCCAGAAGCTGGTGCAGGCTGAGCGGGAGGCCCAGGCCTCTCTGCGGGAGCAGCGGGCAGCTCACGAGGAGGACTTACAGCGACTCCAGCGTGAAAAGGTTCAGGCAGCTGGGGAGGGGTGGGCAGGACTCTGAGCCAGTGTTTCATCATCGTTCTTGCTCTGCCTCGGTCTCTACATCTGTGAAATGGGACTTCCTCTCTGTTGTGGAGGTCCTGGGGACAGCTAGGAGGACTGGGGGGATGGGGAGGTTGTGGTTCTTATTAGACATGCAGATTCCCAGGTCCCAAATCTGGTCCAGCCCTGGTAATCCTGATGCAGAGGGTCCACAACCACATTTGGGAAATACTGACCTAATGTACAGCAGGAAAGCACTTTCATTTGCTAAGAAGTACTGTTTGCATATGAAGAGCCACTCAGACCTCAGCATATAGAAAGGCAAGGGGCCAGGGAAGTTACTAGAACACTGACTCTGGGTTTGAATTGCCTGGGTTTGAATCGAATCTTGGTCGCTTACTGGTGATGCTACCCAAGGTGTCCGTGCCTTCATTTCCCCACCTGTAGAAATAGGGATAGGATAGTGAAAGGTATTGAAGATGAGCTGAGACCATCTGCATAGAGGGCTTAGCATAGTGACTGGTACTTAGCAAATGCTCCATAAGTTATGATTGCTGGCACTGACATGCTCTCCAGAGTGGCCCTCGGGACAGGGGCCCTCAGCCACCAAATCCTAGACAGGGCTGCCTCTGACAGAGGTGCAGGCTATGACTGCATGGCTCCAGGGCATGCCACTCACCCTGCAGTACCCCTGGCCTTGGGTGGTTGTTACCACGCTTCTCCAGGAGGTGGCGGTAAAGCTCTTTTTTTTTTTTCTTTTTTCTTTTTTTGAGACGGAGTCTTGCTCTGTTGCTTAGGCTGGATTGCAGTGGCGCAATCTCGGCTCACTGCAACCTCCACTTTCTGGGTTCAAGCGATTCTCCTGCCTCTGCTTCCTGAGTAGCTGGGATTATAGGCGCGCCACCACGCCTGGCTAATTTTTGCATTTTTAGTAGAGACGGGATTTCACCATATTGGTCAGGGTGTCTCGAACTTTTGACCTCGTAATCTGCCCACCTCGGCCTCCCAAAGTGCTGGGATTACAGGCATGAGCTACGGTGAAGATCTTAAAGAAGGGGCGGTTTGGCCGGTCGTGCTGACTCATGCCTGTAATCCAGCACTTTGGGAGGCCGAGGTGGGCAGATCACCAGGTCGGAAGATCGAGACCATCCTGGCTAACACAGTGAAACCCCATCTCTACTAAAAATCACAAAAAATTAGCTGGGCGTGGTGGCACGCGCCTGTAGTCCCAGATACTTGGGAGGGTAAGGCAGAAGAATCGCTTCAACCTGGGAGGCAGAGGTTGCAGTGAGCCAAAATCTCGCCACTGCACTCCAGCCTGGGTGACAGAGCAAGACTCCGTCTAAAAAAAAAAAAAAAGAAGTGGCAGCTCTGTCTGCTTCTCACAGAGTTGCTAGGGGCAAGTGCTGAGGCAGGCACCTGCCCTCAGGCTCCCCAGGTGGGCTGCTATTTGCCTGTGGGCTCTGCCTGCCCGCCTGTCCAGTCCCCAGGGATCTGAACTCCTGTGACCTCCCCCTTGCTCTTCTTGCCCTTTGCATTGCCTGGCTTGGCCTCATTAATGTCCCCAAATCTGTGTTCTCTCCAGCTCCTCTGGCAACCCCTGACCCCCTTCATTCCTCACAGCCAGTCCTAACTCCCCTCCATCCCAACCCCAATCCCTCTTCCACAGCTGTCGGAACATCCCCTAAGCTAAAAATCAGATTGCTCCTTGTCACCTTGGCTCGAGTCCTCTCTCCCACTCCCCTCACTGTCCTTAGAATCCCCATGGCCCACACGGCCTGTCCTGGCCCCACCCCTGCCTGGGGCTCTGGCCCTGTGACTCACCATGTCCCGTTCCCCTCTGCACCCTGCATCCTCTAGGCCTTTCCAGGGGCTGTGTTCTTGGCCTGGGGTGGTCTTTTCTCTCCTTACCTGGCTGACAGTTACTTGTCCCTCCGCAGGGGACCATGTTCGGACCCCCAGGCCAGCCCACTGCTGCTCCTTGGCACTTTCACGGCCCTGGCGTGTCCCCGTCATAGCCCTTATCACTCCCTTGTATTTACCTGGTCACCCTCCATCTCTGAGGGTATGGGGGCCAGATGGCTCTTGCTGCCCTGATGTTTTGGGGGGTCTGCCTGGGCCCCCTCCTGGTGTGTCACAGGCATCCGGTCCTGGCCCCCTAGGAGGCAGCATGGCGGGAGCTGGAGGCCGAGCGGGCCCAGCTGCAGAGTCAGCTGCAGCGTGAGCAGGAGGAGCTGCTGGCCCGGCTGGAGGCTGAGAAGGAAGAGCTGAGTGAGGAGATTGCTGCCCTGCAGCAGGAGCGCGACGAGGGCCTCCTCCTAGCAGAGAGTGAGAAGCAGCAGGTTCGTGAGCCCTGGCATGGCCTCTGCTGCTCTCTGAGCTGCTCCAGTTCTGGGGCCGGGCCCTGCTCTGCCACTTGGCAGCTAGGAGCCCTGGGGCAGGCCACTGCCCTCTTGGGGGCCTCAGTTTCCTTACCTGCAGGAGGGGAGGATTAGAAGGGGGTTCGTGAGGCTTTGCTGTGCTCCATGCCTGGCACACAGTGAGCACTTACTGAGTGACAGTGACAGTCGTGACACCAGGAAAGCTGTTCCATATTCTCCCATGCCTCGTCCCACCCCACGCTGGGCATGGATCCTCATGGCTGCCTTCTGAGCAGTCCCCACGATGCCCACAGGCATCAGCTGACGTGTCCCCCCAAATAACAAATCCCTAACTTTCCTATAATGTAACGGAGACAGGGCAGACTGTGCCCATCTCCTCTCCTCACCAGCTGTGTACCTGGGCGAGTCACTTTACCTCCTTGAGCCTCAGTTTCCTCATCTGTAAGATGGGTAGAAAGAAAGACTCTGCAGTCAGGGTGCTGTGGCGGGTTAGTGAGCTCTATGAGTGGTATCCACGTCCGGGATTCTTGTGACTGCCGTTGTGCCCTTTTCCAGGGCTGCATGTCTGCCCTGGGTCCACCTGCAGTGGCACACTCAGGCCTCTAAGCCCCCAGTGGGCACATTTCCTAGGCAGCAAGAAGCCTGAGCATGCCCCCAGGACCAGCCCATCCCCCAAGCCCTTTGTCCCCTGCCTCTGCCCAGGCCTTGTCTCTGAAGGAGTCTGAGAAGACGGCGCTGTCAGAGAAGTTGATGGGTACACGGCACAGCCTGGCCACCATCTCCCTGGAGATGGAGCGGCAGAAACGAGATGCCCAGAGCCGGCAGGAGCAGGACCGGGTAGGGCAGGCTGGGCAGCTGGGCCTCTGTCTCATAGAGAGGCACATCCCTGGCTGAGGAGCCCCCACCACGGGGCGGCATGGCCCTGTCCTGGAGAAGCTTCCAGGCTGTGGGAAAGGAGGTTTAGCCCTTCTTTTGGGAGCCCCCATCTGAGGGAGGTGGCTCAGCCCTGCCCTGATGAATCCTTTTGGCGTGAGGGAGAGGCTGGCTACACGGGCAGCACTCACTATGCATCCAGGGGTTGGCAGAGGGTCCGGCAGGCCAGCGGGAGGGGCCGTGTTTAGAGCTAAAAGTGGACAGTGCACTGAGCGGGTTGGGAGCAGCCCGGGGCTGGGGGACACAGCAGGACCAAGTCTGAGGAGCCCCTCTGTCCCAGAGCACCGTGAACGCTCTGACGTCTGAGCTGCGGGACCTACGGGCCCAGCGGGAGGAGGCTGCTGCGGCCCACGCCCAGGAGGTGAGGAGGCTGCAAGAGCAGGCCCGAGACCTGGGCAAGCAGCGGGACTCCTGTCTTCGCGAGGTGAGCAGCCGCCCCCCTCTTCCAAGCAGCATACCCTAAATGGCACTGTGTGCCTGGGGGCCTAGTTCCCCAGGGCCCCAGAAGAGTGTAAGATTCCTCCCTGCATTTGAGGACCAATGAATAGCAACTTAGAAAGGAGGCAGCAAGCACTACGAAGCACCTGTTGTGTACAGGTGGGATTTGGCCTCAAGGAGGGGTGAGTGGGGTCTCTGCCCTCTTGGTGTTGTGCTCAGGACAGTCCTGATTGATGGTGACTTCAGGTCAAAACATTACTGATTACAGCACGCCTTGCTCAAATGATAACTCACAGCCTGCGGTCTGAGCACTGCAGAGGGATGGGGCAGGCTCCCTGGGTCCAGGGATCTGGGGTACAAGACCCAGCTTGACGGGGGGGTCCCTGACCGCTGCCCTGGGGACACCTGCTGTGCTCACAGGCAGAAGAGCTTCGGACCCAGCTGCGTCTGCTGGAGGATGCCCGTGACGGGCTGCGGCGGGAGCTGCTGGAGGCCCAGCGCAAGCTGCGTGAGAGCCAGGAGGGCCGGGAGGTGCAGCGCCAGGAGGCAGGCGAGCTGCGACGCAGCCTGGGCGAGGGTGCCAAGGAGCGCGAGGCCCTGCGGCGTTCCAATGAGGAGCTTCGGTCTGCTGTGAAGAAGGCAGAGAGCGAGCGCATCAGGTGGGGTGTCGCAGGAGGACCAGTCCTGAGTCCTCATGGGATCCCATCCCTGAAACCTAACTTCACCCCCAACGTTCTGGGGAAATTGCCCAGATACGGATCCTCTGTCTCCTAAGCAGAGCCTGGCACCTGGGTGATTTTAGGAAGGTTTCCTCCCTGTTGATTGGGGAAAGGGGCAGAGGGGCAGTGGGCAGCTTTGGGTCCAGACTCAGACCCACCCACCGTCATCACCCTGGAAACCAGGTCCCCTCCTGGAGTCACTGGTCTACCCCTCCCAGCCGAGGGCCTGGGCCCCAGCCCTGCAGGGCTCAGGGCTTAGCTCTTCAGAGAGGCCACATGGGCAGGCAGTGCCTGATCCACTCCAGAAATTGGAGGAGACGGCTTTTGTGTAGAGCCACTGACTACTCCCAGGACCCAGGGCAGCCCCTGACCTCTGCCCTCTCCAGCCTGAAGCTTGCCAATGAGGACAAGGAGCAGAAGCTGGCACTCCTAGAGGAGGCACGGACAGCTGTGGGCAAGGAGGCCGGGGAGCTGCGAACTGGGCTGCAGGAGGTGGAGCGCTCACGGCTGGAGGCTCGGCGGGAGCTGCAGGAGCTCCGGCGTCAGGTACTCTCCCTGTGCCACCCCTTAGCCTGGGGCTTGCTGTGTGCCCCGGGCCAATAGCTCCCCCTTTCTGGAATTACGTTTCTACCCCTATGTAAAACCAGGGGCTTGAACTATGACAAGCCCTCTCACCTAACCTTGGTGTGAATGGATGGGCTTTGAGGAGTCCTTGAATCCCTGAAACTGTGCAAAAGTCTGCGTGCATTTGTGTGCACACTCAGGCTCACATTTCTGCAAGGAGAGGAGCTGGTGTCCTTGTCCAGTTCTCAAAGGAATCTGCAAACAACAAAAGGTACAGATTTTGTGAACTAGGTCAGAGGTTGGCAAATGGTTTTTTGTAAAGAGCCCAAATGGTCAATATTTCCAGCTTTACGGGCCACACAGTCTCTGTTGCAACTACTTGACTCTGCTGGGGTAGTGAGAAAGCAGTCCCAAACAGTGCATGAACAGAGGGGTGTGGGTTCCAGTAAAACTTTGTTTAGGGACACTGAAATGTGAATTTTCTGTCATTTTCATGTGTCAAGAAATGTTGTTCTTCCTTTAGAAATGATCCATTTTCGATGATTTAAAAATGTAAAAAAAAAAAAAAATCCTTAACTCAGACCCTTGTAGAAACGGGAGATGGGCTGAATTTGGCCTGTGAGCTGTAGTTCGCTGACCCGTGAATTCGATGATCTGCAAACTCAACAGCAGCATGTATTGAAGAAGCACCTGCTGTCTACTGGGCACTGGCCTGGACACTGTGGGTTCAGGCTTCTCACTCTAGAAGATGCAAAGAACAGGAAATGGCCTCATTCAGCCCCTAGGCGCTGCCTCACCCAGAGATATCACAACCAGGCCAGGCGCAGTGGCTCACACCTATAATCTCAGCACTTTGGGAGGCGGAGGCCAGTGGATTGCTTGAGCCCAGGAGTTCGAGACCAGCCTGGGTAACATGGTGAAAACCTGTCTCTACTAAAAATACGAAAAATTAGCCAGCTGTGATGGCTCATGCCTTTAATCTCATGCTTTGGGAGGCCAAGTTGGGAGGACTGCTTGAGCCTAGGAGTTCAAGACCAGCCCAGGCAACATAGTGAGAACCAGTCTCTACAAAAAATTTAAAAAATAGCTAGGTGTGGTGACACGCTCCTGGAGTCCCAGCTACTTGGGAGGCTGAGGTGGGAGTATCCCTTGAGCCCAGGAAGTCAAGGCTGCAGTGAGCTGTGATCGCATCACCGCACTCCAGCCTGGGCGACAAAGCAAGACCCTGACTCTAAAAAAAGTTTTTAAACTTTTAATTTTTATTTTATTTATTTATTTACTTTCTGAGATGGAGTTTCACTCTTGTTGCCCAGGCTGGAGTGCAGTGGCGCAATCTCGGCTCACTGCAACCTCCGCCTCCCGGGTTCAAGTAATTCTCCTGACTCAGCCTCCCAAGTAGCTGGGATTACAGATGCCCGCCACCACACCTGGCTAATTTTTTTGTATTTTTAGTAGAGACAGGGTTTCACCATGTGGGCCAGGCTGGTCTCGAACTCCTGATGTCAGGTGATCCACCCACCTTGGCCTCCCAAAGTGCTGGGATTACAGGCATGAGCCACGATGCCTGGCCCCCCCAAATTTTTTTAATTAAAAAAATTGTTTTTAATTACAAAAAAAGAGATCACAACTGGATAGCCAGAGATATTCTGATACTCTGATAGCCAGAGATACCACAGCCCCCTTCACCCAGGCCCCTTCCTGAGAAACCACAAGACTCCCGGAAAGGAGCTGGCATTTGCGTGCCAGCTTTTGCTGGACGCGTTGCATGCTACGGCCTCTCCTGTTACCCCTGCTGTAGCACATGGGGGAGGTAGGCAGTACCCCTCCCTGCTCCTGTGGGGAAATAGGGGCTTAGAACATTGCCGTTGTCTCAGATCGAATCCCAGTCTGGTGTGTGTGGGCTGTGTGACTTTGGGGAGGTTACTCTGACACTCTGAGGCTCAGTTTTCTCATCTGTTAGATAGGGATAATGTTACTACCTACCTCATATAGCATTGTACCAAGATTAAACGAGTTAATATAACTGAAGTGCTTAGAACAGGACTGGACACATGGTAAGCGCTCCAAAAACGTTCATCGCCATCGTAGAGGGGAAAGATAACCCAGGGAGCTGTGGTTCCTGCCTGTGAACTCCTGGTCTGCTAAGGGCTGAGCCCTCCTTCTATTATACCCACCCCTTTATGAAAGGTAGTTTTGGCCCATTGATTAAGTGGTAAACAGGCCACTGGTGCCCAAGTGCCTGGCATCGCCCAAGTTCAGTGTGGTTGTGTAGGGGCCGGCTCCCAGTGGATGTGGGGTGGTATTTGATACATGTGTCCCTACAGCAGTAGGTACCAAGTGGCCTTGGGCCAGAACTGGGAGGGTACAGGGGCAGAGCTGAACCTGCTGCCATTCCCGTGCTCTCACAGATGAAGATGCTGGACAGTGAGAACACCAGACTGGGCCGGGAGCTGGCGGAGCTGCAGGGCCGCCTGGCGCTGGGCGAGCGGGCAGAGAAGGAGAGCAGGCGGGAGACCCTGGGCCTCCGGCAGAGGCTGCTGAAGGGCGAGGCCAGCCTGGAGGTGATGCGGCAGGAGGTAACTGAGCAGGCGGGCAGGCTGGTGCATCTTTCCTTCCCCCAGCAGGAAGCAGGTGGGCACCCCAATGCTGGGGCCATTCTGAAAGGCCACTCCCTAGGGCTTGCTCCTTCCCCCACTCCTTGAGACTCTTCCCCAGTTGTAGTAACAACAACCCAAAGAACAGTGGGCCTACTGTGTGCCGGCACAAAATGGGTAGGGAGAGGCCCTGTAGATACAACCTTGTTTGATTTCCCCAGCAGCCCTATGGGGTAGGTACTGTTAGCCCTTTTTATTTAGTTATTTATTTTGAAATGGAGTCTCACTCTGTCGCCCAGGCTGGAGTGCGCTGGCACCATCTCGGCTCACTGCAACCTCCGCCTCCTGGGTTCAAGCAATTCTTCTGCCTCAGCCTCCCGAGTATCTGGGATTACAGGTGCTTGCCACCACGCCCAGCTAATTTTTTGTATTTTTAGTAGAGACAGGATTTCACCATGTTGGTCAGGCTTGTCTCAAACGCCTGACCTCAGGTGATCCACCTGCCTCGGCCTCCCAAAGTGCTGGGATTACAGGTGTGAGCCACCACACCCTTCCTACCATTAGCCCCATTTTACAGAGCCCTCAGAGAGGTCGAGGGATCTACCCAAGGTCACACAGCCACCTAAGTCTGTCTGACTCCAAAGCCCACAGGCTACCCGCTCTGCCTTTTCCGGCTGTTTCATTGCCATGAATCTGTTGTGTGGCCTGAACCAAGTCACGTCATCTCTGTGCCTCAGAGCGCTCATGAGAGATGGGCTAGCACAGCCGAGCATGTATGAAGGGCCCTGGCACAGGTCCTGGCAACCAGCTGCTCAGTAGATGGGTTTCCAGTGAAACTGGTGACCGTGAGAGGTTGACTCTCTAAATGGCAGGGGTGGCTTTGTGTCTGTGTGACCATGCATCCCATCAGGAAATGATATTTTAGTGCATGCCCCCATTGTGTGCAAATTTATTGATAAATTATGGGCAAGGGCGGCAATGTAGCCTAGTGGTTAAGGGAACAGCCTCTGGACACAGCTCCCTTTGGAACCAGTGGGCACTTAACCTTCCTGGCTGTTCACTGTGTTCTCAAGTGCAGCCCACAGCCCCCGTGTGGCCCCGTGTGGTATGCCTCCCCGCCTTTCCCCCACCCCCCAGGGCTGTGAGTACATGTGATTAATAAGCTGCTGTCAAGCTATTAAAAACAAAAAACAAAAAAAAAAACAGAAACAAAAACAGCCGGGCGCAGTGGCTCACACCTGTAATCCCAGCACTTTGGGAGGCCGAGGCTGGCAGATCACTTGAGGCCAGGAGTTCGAGAGCAGTCTGGCTAACATGGCAAAACTCTGTCTCTACTAAAAATACAAAAATTAGCTGGGCATGGTGGTGCTCACCTGTAATCCCAGCTACTCGGAGGCTGAGGTGGGAGGATCACTTGAACCCAGGAGGCAGAGGTTACAGTGAGCTGAGATTGCCCCACTGCACTCCAGCCTGGGTGACAGAGCTAGACTCTGTCTCCAAAAACAAACAAACAAAAACCCACAAAAACAACAAAAAAAACAGCCTTTGGAGCTAGAGTGCCTGGCTTTGAATCCCAGCTCTGCAGTTTACTAACTCTGGCCTTGGACAAGTTACTTAGCATCTCTGTGCCTGTTTCATCTTCTGTAAAGTGAGATCGATTCATAGAGTAGTAATTAGAGTTAATATTTTTTGGAAAGTTACTTAGTGCCTGGCACTGATAAGCCCTATGTATTCAAATGCCAGCTGTTATTACTAATAAACTATGGGCATTACAAGGCTTGTATAAAGAATAAAGAGATTAATAAACAAGTTCTAGTATTTCCTCCCACGGGGATGTTTTTGCACCGCCTGCTTGAGTGGCGAGCACTAAAGGAGAAAGGGTTGTACTGACCACACAGTCAGGGATGGTGGGCTCCAGTCTGGGCCTTAGGGGTGGGGCGTCGGGTTGGGAGAGGTCTTGCCGACCTCCACCTCCTGGCATCACTCCAGCTCCAGGTAGCCCAGCGGAAGCTGCAGGAACAAGAAGGCGAGTTCCGGACCCGCGAGCGACGCCTGCTGGGCTCCCTGGAGGAGGCGCGTGGCACTGAAAAGCAGCAGCTGGACCACGCCCGCGGCCTGGAGCTGAAGCTGGAGGCGGCGCGGGCCGAGGCTGCAGAGCTGGGCCTGCGGCTGAGCGCAGCCGAGGGCCGGGCACAAGGCCTGGAGGCCGAGCTGGCCCGCGTGGAGGTGCAGCGGCGCGCGGCGGAGGCCCAGCTGGGTGGCCTGCGCTCGGCTCTGCGCCGGGGCCTCGGCCTCGGTCGCGCGCCCAGCCCAGCCCCGCGGCCAGTGCCCGGTTCCCCTGCCCGGGACGCACCCGCAGAAGGTAAGGGCAGTGCCGCGCGCAGGGAAGGGGGGAGGTGGGCGGGCCGCACTGAGGCCCCGCCCCCACATGGCAGGGTGTTTTTGTTTTTGTTTTTGTTTTTTTTCAAGGAGCCCACCACACCTCTCCACTGAGGTCCACTTCTTAGCCCCGTCCCCTCACCGAGACCCCTCCCTTCACTGATCTGTGCTTCTCAAGGGCGCTTCTTTTTTCTTTAGACCAGGCCTCATCTGTTTCCCGGGCTCAAGTGGTCCTCCCTCCTCAGCCTCCTGAGTAGCTGGGACTACAGGTGTGCCACCACGCCCAGCTAATTTTTGTAGTTTTTGTGGAGACGGGGTCTCACTATGTTGCCCAGGCTGGTCTTAAACTCCTGGCCTCAAGCGATCCTCCTGTCTCAGCCTCTCAGGGTTGGGATTAGAGGCATGAGCCACGGCACCCGGTCTAGGCCACTTATTTTTTTGGGGAAGTGGGGTGATTCTTTTTTTTCAACTTTTGAGACAGGATCTCACTCTGTCACCTCAGTTGAAGTGCAGTAGTGTGATCTTGGCTCCCTCTGCCTTGGCAGCCTGTGCCTCCTGGGCTCAAGTGATTCTCCCACCTCAACCTCCTTTGTAGCTGAGACTACAGGTGTGCACTACAATGTCTGCTTAATTTTTGTGTTTTTAGTAGAGATGGGGTTTTGCCATATTGCCCAGGCTAGTCTTGAACTCCTGGACTCAAGCGATCCTCCCACTGGGATTACAGGCGTGAGCCACCGTGCCTTTCCTGGACCGGGGGCTGGAGGGCTCTTAATGCCTTTGACTCCTTATCTGATTTTCTGAGCTTCCATCCTGCCATATACTCCCACATACTTTCAGTCATCTCTAGGTTACTTAGGATACCAAATACAGCTAAGTGGAAATCTTACACTTGTTACACTGTATTGTTTTTAATTATTCTTTTTGTTTTTTTTTGAGATGGCGTCTTGCTCTGTTGCCCAAGCTGGAGTGCAGTAGCACGATCTCGGCTCACTGCAACCTCTGCCTCCTGGGTTCAAGTGATTCTCCTGCCTCAGCCCCCTGAGTAGCTGGGAGACTACAGGCGTGTGCCACCACGCCTGGCTAATTTTTGTATTTTTAGTAGAGACGGGGTTTCAAGGCTGGGCGCGGTGGCTCATGCCTGTAATCCCAGCACTTTGGGAGGCAGAGGTGGGCGGATCACGAGGTCAGGAGATCGAGACCACAGTGAAACCCCGTCTCTACTAAAAATACAAAAAAAATTAGCTGGGCACAGTGGCAGGCACCTGTAGTCCCAGCTACTCGGGAGGCTGAGGCAGGAGAATGGCGTGAACCCGGAAGATGGAGCTTGCAGTGAGCTGAGATCCCGCCACTGCACTCCAGCCTGGGCGACAGAGCTAGACTCCGTCTCAAAAAAAAAAAAAAAAAAAAACAAAAACAGGATTTCAGCATGTTGGTCAGGCTAGTCTTGAACTCCTGACCTTACGTGATCTGCCCACCTCAGCCTCCCAAAGTGCTGGGATTAAAGGCATGAGACACTGTGCCCGGCACACCTGGCTAATTTTTGTGTATGTGTGTGTGTGTATATAAATATACATATATATATATGTATATTTTTTTTTTTTAGGAGAGATGGGGTTTCACCATGTTGGACAGGCTGGTCTCAAACTCCTGACCTCCAGTCGGGATGATCTGGGAACAGATGATGGTGATGGCTGCACAACAGTGTGAATGTAATTCATGCCGCTCAGTTGTACACTTAAAAATGATGAAAATGGCCAGACACGTTGGCTCATGTTTGTAATCCCAGCACTCTGCGAGGCCGGAGCGGGTGGATCACTCGAGGCCAGGAGTTCAAGACCAGCCTAGCCAACATGGTGAAACCCTGTCTCTACTAAAAATACAAAAAATTAGTCAAGTGTGGTGGCAGACGCCTGTAATCCCAGCTACTCGGGAGGCTGAGGCAGGAGAATCTCTTGAAACCAGGAGGCAGAGGTTGTGGTGAGCCGAGATCGCACCATTGCACTCTAGACTGGGCAACAAGAGCGAAACTCCGTCTCAGAAAAAAAAAAAAAAAAAAAATTGGGCAAAGCCAAGGTAGGGGCTAGGGCAGTTCATGCGGGGGCAGCAGGTGCCTCACTGAGGAGGTGATGGGTAAGGGGAGAACGTGAGCGAGCAGCTGGGAGGGGGACTCGGGGCGAGTAGGGAGGTCCTGAGTGGAGGTGCGCCTGTCCTGTGGACAGCAGGGGCCAGCAGTCCCAGAGCATCAAGCAGGGGGGTGAGATTTGGGGACGAAGGGCTTGCTCCAATAGACATTATAGGCCTCTACGGGGACTTTTACCCTGAGACGATGGGACCTTCTAGAGCTGGAGGCCCCCAGGGGCAGGCCTGCTTCTTTGGGAACCTCTGAGCGAGGCCTTTTGGGTGGTGACCAAGTTCATGGCTGCGGAGCAGTTTTGGTGTCCCTCTGCGGCCAAGGCAGGATGCTCATGGCAGGACCCGTGTCCTGCAGTTCCAGTGCCAGCCTCCAGGTAGTGCCCTGGTTCCACCCGCCCTGCCCCCTCCACCTCCCCGGGCCATCACTCCAAGCAGGAGTGCTGCCAGGGAGTCGGGCTGCCTGGATTCCCATCTCAGCCCTGAAACTTCCCAGCATTGAGAACAACCAAATCACTTTGTTTTTGTTTTTTTTTGAGCCCAAGTCTCGCTCTATTGCCTATGCTGGAGTGCAATGGCGCGATCTCGACTCACTGCAACCTCCGCCTGCTGGGTTCAAGCGATTCTCCTGCCTCAGCCTCCTGAGTAGCTGGGACTACAGGCGTGCACCACTGCACCCAGCTAATTTTTTGTATTTTTAGTAGAGATGGGGGTTTCACCATGTTGGCCAGGCTGGTCTTGAACTCCTGACCTCAGGTGATCTGCCCGCCTCGGCCTCCCACCAGAGTGCTGGGATTACAGGTCTGAGCCACCGTGCCGGGCCCACTTTTTTCTTTTTCTTTTCTTTTCTTTTTTCTTTATTTTTTTTTTTTTTTGAGACAGAGTCTCTCTCTGTTGCCCAGGCTGGAGTGCAGCACAGTCTCAGCTCACTACAACCTCTGTCTCCAGGGTTCAAGTGCTTTTCCTGCCTCAGCCTCCAGACCTCAGCCTCCCAGGTAGCTGGGACTATAAGCGTGGGCCACCATGCTCAGCTAATTTTTCTCTTTTCTTTTCTTTTCTTTTCCTTTCTTTTCCTTCCTTCCTTACTTTCTTTTCTTTTCTTTCCTCTTCTTTCTTCTTTTTTTTGACCGAGTCTCACTCTGTTGCCCAGGCTGGAGTGTAATGGTGCAGTCTTAGCTCACTGCAACCTCTGCCTCCCAGGTCCCAGTTCAAGCAATTCTCCTGCCTCAGCCTCCTGAGTAGCTGGGATTACAGGCGCCCGCCACCACACCTAATTTTTGTATTTTTAGTAGAGACGGGTTTTCACCATGTTGGCCAGGCCGGTCTCGAACTGCTGACCTCGTGATCTGCCCACCTCGGCATCCCAAAGTGCTGGGATTACAGGTGTGAGCCACTGCTCCCAGTCTTTTCTTTCTTCTTTTTTTGAGACGGAGTCTCGCTGTGTTACCCAGGCTGGAGTGCAGCGGTTCGATTAGGAACACTGCGAGCTCCGCTTCCCGGGTTTAAGCAATTCTCCAACCTCAGCTTCTCGAATAGCTGGGATTACAGGTGCATGCCACCACGCCCAGCTAATTTTTGTATTTTTAGTAGAGATGGGGTTTCACTAGTTGGCAGGCTGGTCTCGAACTCCTGACCTCAGGTGATCCACCTGCCTTGGCCTCCCAGAGTGCTGGGATTACAGGCATGAGACACCGCACCTGGCCAATTTTTGTATTTTCAGTAGAGACGGGGTTTTACCATGTTGGCCAGGCTTGCCTTGAACTCCTGACCTCAAGTGATCCGCCTGCCTCGGACCCCACAGTGCTGGGATTACAGGTGTGAGCCACCACACCCAGTCAACAGAACAAGCAAATCACTTAACTGCTTTGTGCCAGCCTTGCCTGGGAAGAGGGTAAATTGTTCCTTACCTGTCAGGAAGTTGTTGTGAAGATGAAGTGCCTAGCACAGTGGGCACTCAGTATGGAGAGACTTGAGGTGATGCAGCAACCACCCTTGCACTGGGCCCTGGGAACAGTGGTGGATGGAAGAGACGAGGCCCAGCCCTCATGGTGCTCCTGGTCGGGGTGGGGGTGGCAGACATCAGACCCCGCTGAGGGTGGGATGAGCTCACTGTAATCCAGCCTGTGGCCAGAGAGGCCTCTGAGGGAGAGGGATGGCCCTAAAGGATGGGCCAGGCAAAGAGAGGCCATGGGGAGAAGGGGAGCAGCATGTACAGAGGCCCTGGAGCTGGGACAAAGAATGTTCTAGAACATGGGAGATGCAGGGTGGCCAGTTTGTAAAGGGTGAGAGGGTTTCAGCTGGGATGGGCAAGAAGACCCCTAAGCTATAGCAGAGAAGTTGGGCTTGATTCTGAGGGCTGTTGGGAAAGGCAGGGATGACAGTGAGTGAGATGTGTGGGAGGCCCGTGGCTTCTGCATCACTGAGCAAGTCTTCTTTCTCTTCTAGGAAGCGGGGAAGGGCTCAACAGCCCCAGCACCTTAGAATGCAGCCCTGGGTCCCAGCCACCATCTCCAGGACCTGCCACCTCCCCAGCCTCTCCAGACCTGGACCCGGAGGCAGTGCGCGGGGCCCTCCGGGAATTCCTGCAAGAGCTGCGGAGTGCCCAGAGAGAACGGGTAAGCCTGGGTGTGCATGGCTGGATGGGGAACCTGGAGGGCCCTGGGGAGGTTGCAGGGTGTCAGAGCAGGGGTCTGTCTTTGTTCCCCCATGTCGGGGCTACAGGACGAACTTCGGACCCAGACCAGTGCCCTGAATCGCCAGCTGGCCGAGATGGAGGCTGAGAGGGACAGCGCAACCTCGAGGGCCAGGCAGCTGCAGAAGGCGGTGGCTGAGAGTGAGGAAGGTGAGTCTGATCCTCGGGGTCCCTGTTCTCTCTCCTGTGTTTTGGGCAGTTGAGGCAGGAGCCGGGGGATTGGCCTCTGACCTTGCCGTGGCCCCCATGACCTGACTCGGGGCTGTCTCCAAGAGGACCCTCCTTGGACAGCCTCACCTGTGTGCAGGCCCGCATACTACGAAGGGTGCAGACAGTCTGGCCCTGCACTGGGTGGAGTGCAGGCTGGACATTTTGTGACCTGGTTTGGGTCTCGGGGCTGTGCTTGGCCATGCCTGACGGGGTGGGTGGTGGCTACAGCCCGGCGCAGTGTGGATGGGCGGCTGAGCGGGGTCCAGGCGGAGCTGGCGCTGCAGGAGGAGAGTGTGCGGCGCAGTGAGCGGGAGCGCCGGGCCACGCTGGACCAGGTGGCCACACTGGAGAGGAGCCTGCAGGCCACCGAGAGCGAGCTCCGGGCCAGCCAGGTGGGCAGGAGCTGAGGGCCAGCGGGGCGACGGGGAATCTGTGTACCCGAGTGAGTGTCTAACTCTTATGTGTGTCTCCCTGTGTCTGTCTGCCTGAGTCTCTCTGCAACCCACTGAGGTGACCAGCCTGTGACTCTGTGAAACCATGTTCAGACTCCATCCTCTCATGTCACTTGTGGTCACTAGGCTGTAGAAAAAAGAGCTTGGTCAAGGTGCAGTAGCTCATGCCTGTAATCCTAGCACTTTGGGAGGTCGAGGCAGGTGGATCCCTTGAGCACAGGAGTTTGAGACCAGCCTGGGCAACATGGTGAAACCCCGTCTCTATGAAAAATACTTAGCTGGGCATGGTGGTGTGGGCCTGTAGTCCCAGCTACTCGGGAGGCTGAGGTGGGAAGATCACTGGAGCCCGGTAGGTCGAGGCTGCAATGAGCTGTGATCATGCCACTGCACTCTAGCAAGGCAGAGTGAGACCCTGTAAAAAAGAAAAGAAAAAAAAAAGAAGAAGAAGAAGAAAAGAAAGAGAGCTTGGGCTTTGGGCTGTCATCTGCCTGGTTTTCATTTTCCTAATCTGTAAAAGGAGGAGCAGTGATTACGTCACAGGGTGACACACACAGGCTCTTATCACAGGTGGTACTCAGGGGGCCTCTGTTTTATGTCTCTGTAGTTCTGGGGTTTTTATGTGTGTTTGGGGGACAGCTATGTGTGCCAGTGTGTATGTGCGTCTGTCGGGCAGGAAACTCAGGCCCTGGTGGTGACAGTGCAGCCAAAGCTCCCCTCTGCCCTCCCCAGCCTGTCCCTCTATTACTGCTTCCCCCCACCACCCCCACCCCCAAGGCCTCTGGCCTGGGGCCGAGCTTAGCTGGATTGTTGTGTCTGCGGCTTCAACCCTGGCCATGGGCCCAGCCGCAGGGGCTGCAGGAGGAGGCCAGGAACAAAGCTGGGCAGGAGCCAGAGTGGGGGCCCCAGACAGGGCAGGGCTGGGGCTCTGGGCAGGGTGGCAGAGGGGCCAGGCTCAGGATAGGGGCTGGGGAGGCTCTAATAACACCCCCTGTTGATCCACCCTGTCTCTAGGATAGTACCAGGGATGGGAGGACCCCTAGTCTGCCTTCCTGTCCCATCCCCACTCCCCAGGCCTTTTTCACTGGCTGACCCTGGGCAGGGGAGGGGGAATCACCACCTGAAACCCTAGAACAGCAGGGCCCCCTCAGAACTGTCCGGCTCAGCTCAGTTTGCACGAGTCAGTGGGGCAGGAGAAGGGCCTTGGAATCTGCATTTCTACAGCCCCTCCTCAGGGCTCCTGTGAGCACCCAGGTTGTGGTACCCTGGGACCAATCCAGTGTCCCTACTGTACAGATATGAAATGGGGCCATAGGGCGCGAAGGGGCAGTCCTGGGTTCCACAGCCCATTGGCCTGGGCTAAAACTGGAAGGTGGGCTCTGGGATCTTCACGTCCACTCATCCTGGGAACGCATGGGGAGACCGAGGACCCCAGAGGGTCCCAGGCCGGCCCCAGGTCACGTAGGTCACCCTTCGAGGCTGCTCCCCACTTTCCCCCTAAGGGCCCCAGGGCGTGTGCGGGAGGGCTGCGGGGTGCACTGGACGTCTGGGCCTGAGCCCCATGCCACCTGCAGGAGAAGATCAGCAAGATGAAGGCCAATGAGACAAAGCTGGAGGGCGACAAGCGGCGCCTGAAGGAGGTTCTGGACGCCTCCGAGAGCCGCACTGTCAAGCTGGAGCTGCAGCGGCGCTCGCTTGAGGGGGAGCTGCAGCGCAGCCGCCTGGGCCTCAGTGACCGCGAGGCCCAAGCCCAGGCCCTCCAGGATCGGGTGGATTCCCTGCAGAGACAGGTGGGCCCCTCCCCAAATCACAGCCACAGTGTTCACATGCCCTGTGCCAAGAGCTTTGTAGGCACTACGCAGTCCCCCAACAACCCTGTGAGGCAAGTATTACCCACATCCCCATTTCACAGATGGACAAATGGAGGCTGAGAGGTGATGTCATTGTCTAAGATCCCATAGCTAGTAAGAGGCAGAGCCAAAATTAGAATTCAGGACTATTTGATGACAGCATCTGCATACATAGGAGTCATCTGGGACAAGTTAGAGATGTAGGTTTCACTCATTTCCCTTTTTGCCTTGACTGCTAGGAAGCTCAGCTCTAACTGGAATGTTAAATAATACGGCTAGCCTTGCCTGAACACCCAACAAGGTCAAAAATAAAAAAATTTTAGGGTCGTGGTGGTTTCCCTTTCTCTTCCACAGCAGAGAGGAGAGAGGAGTGAGGACAGGGAGGAGACCAGGGAGTCTGAGACAACTAGGTTGATGGCACTCTGGGCACTAGTAGTTAGCCAGCAATGGGATGGGGCCCAGGTGGCAGTAGGCTGAGCCAGCAGGAGTGCTTAGGAACACTGGGTCTCAATGATGGAGGCCCAGAGAGAAGTGGGAAGGGTGTGGATTGGGCATGCCAGGTGGAGGTCACAGTGGGAGCAGAGGTATAGAGGCCAGATGGGAACAGCCCCGATTGTTCTGGCTGTCCTCCTGCCAGGTGGCCGACAGCGAGGTGAAGGCAGGGACCCTGCAGCTGACCGTGGAGCGGCTGAATGGGGCCCTGGCTAAGGTGGAGGAAAGCGAGGGGGCCCTGCGGGACAAGGTGCGGGGCCTGACAGAGGCCCTGGCCCAGAGCAGTGCCAGCCTCAACAGCACCCGGGACAAGAACCTGCATCTGCAGAAGGCTCTGACCGCCTGTGAACATGACCGCCAAGTACTCCAGGTCTCGGGCCCAGGGTCTGGCTGGGGTGGGCCCAGTGAGAGAGTCAGCCAGTAAGAGCAGGCTTGGAGGGGGGCCCTGGTAGAGAGCCAGCCAATGGGGCAGTCAGTTGGAGCCAATGAGAGCAGGCTTTGAAGGGAGGGCGTGGGCCCAGTAGACCATCAGCCAAGGAGAAGAGGCTCTGGGTATGTCCCGTAAGAAGACAAGGCTACTGGTATAGACTTGGGGGGACCCAGGGGCAGGGTTTATTGGGGAGAGTTGGGGTCTGAGTGGGTCCCACCTTATGCAGGTCAGTGGATAGGCCGTGGATGGGTTTGGTGTGCACCCCACCCTCCAGGTGAGATGACTGCCTGTTTTATGCTCTGTGGACCTGTCCAGAGGTACAGAATAGAGAGGACTCCTTAGGGCTCCCAGGCCAGCCAGGCACCATCAGCCCCTGTCCCCCAGGAACGGCTGGATGCCGCCCGGCAGGCATTATCTGAGGCACGGAAGCAGAGCAGCTCCCTGGGCGAGCAGGTGCAGACGTTGCGAGGCGAGGTGGCTGACCTGGAACTGCAGCGGGTGGAGGCCGAGGGCCAGCTACAACAGCTACGGGAGGTGAGGGCCAGGGTGTGCCCCCTCTGTCCCCAAGACTGTGAGGCCCTAGGATAGGGTGGGGACGTTCCCACCCATCTCAACCTCATCCCAAACCCTGGTGCAGCCTCCAGTAAGGAAACATGGTTCATTCAGAGCATAGTCCTGTTATACAGATGGAGAAACAGACTGAGAGAGACAGGTTTGGCTTCAGGTGACAATTCTCTGATGTGGGCCTCACCGTCGCCTGCTCTGTGAGTGGGCCAGCCTCATTGTCCCCAAGCTTCAGATAAGTATGCTCAGGCCCAGAGGGATTCGGGGCCTGCCTGGCTTCTGTTGCAGGTGCTGCGGCAGCGGCAGGAGGGTGAGGCTGCAGCCCTGAACACCGTCCAGAAGCTGCAAGACGAGCGGCGGCTGCTGCAGGAGCGCCTGGGAAGCCTGCAGCGCGCCCTGGCTCAGCTGGAAGCTGAGAAGCGGGAGGTGGAGCGCTCAGCCCTGCGGCTGGAGAAGGACCGTGTAGCCCTCAGGAGGACGCTGGACAAGGTAGGCTGCTCCCCAGGCTCTCCCCTCACTTCCTCTGGGGCCTAACCGTGGTGGATCCCACTGCACATCCCCAGGGTCTGCTACCTCTGGTGGGGTTAGGTTATTCCATCAGGGTTCAGGAACCTGAGCCCCCTCAGTAAGCTCCTCCTGGCACCCTGATCTCCTGTGGCTCTCCTGCCTAGGTGGAGCGGGAGAAGCTTCGTAGCCATGAGGACACAGTGCGGCTGAGCGCAGAGAAGGGCCGCCTGGACCGCACCCTCACGGGGGCTGAGCTGGAGCTGGCAGAGGCGCAGAGGCAGATCCAGCAGCTGGAGGTCTGACCCCACCCAGTCCGGGACCCCAACTTCATCCCTAGTATGAGTGCTCAGCAATTCCAGTGGAGCTGATGGCCCAGCCAGCCCAGGGCCCATAACCCCCTCCCCCAGGAGCCCTGAGCCTTCCAGTGACCCAGCGGGCCATGGAGGGATGGGTTCTCCCTAAGGTGTACAGAAAAGACACGAAAGGCCTGTTTGCACGTGAGCCTGTGGGTTCATGTACGTTGTGGCCATGCAGCAGTGTGAGAATCCATGTGACGATTCTTGTGTATGGAGCATGAATCTTGTGCATGGTGTGGCGTGTCTAGGTATTATGAATATGTGTTTGTGTACAGATGTTTTCATGCATGGGGGAGTTGGGCCTTTGCACATACACATGCACCTGTGTGAGTCCAGATAGGTATTTACATGCTTGCCTTTGTGCCTGTGTGTATGATGTCTGAGTGTGTGTGTGTGTGTGTGTGTGTGTGTGTGTGTGTGTGTGTGTGTCCATGCACCTGCCTGAGTGGGGGTCATTGGGTGCACTCATCCTGGGCTCGCAGGCTCACTGTCAGGGCCAGCAGGATGGAAGACACACAAGGATCTCTCCTGCCTTCCCCCTCTGCACTGGCCGTGTCCCAGGGAGGTACCTGACAACCCGTCACACATGCACACACACACTCACACTGGGCCAGAACGCGGACCACAGCCCCTCCCTGCAGGCGCAGGTGGTGGTGCTGGAGCAGAGCCACAGCCCGGCCCAGCTGGAGGTGGATGCGCAGCAGCAGCAGCTGGAGCTGCAGCAGGAGGTGGAGCGGCTGCGCAGCGCCCAGGCGCAGACTGAGCGCACCCTGGAGGCTCGGGAGCGGGCCCACCGCCAGAGGGTGCGTGGGCTGGAGGAGCAGGTGTGCAGGCCCCCTTAGAAGGCTGGGCCAGGATGGATGTGTGGGGCTGCAGAAAGAGGAGAGACCCAATCAAGACCTTGTGGGTATAGGCAGTCGATGGCTCCCGTAACCGAAAAGGGTGGGGTTGGCTCTGCGCTGGTGTCAGCCAAGACCAGACCGGGGCCACGGGATGCTCCTGGGCCCCAGGCCTCCTGCCATGGCTCTGTTCCCCCTGGCTCCATGCTCAGGGTAGCCTTCTCCCTGGGTGGCCAGGTGGCCTCAGCAGCTCCAGCCTCAGGTTCTCCCAGCAATCTGTCATCTCAGAAGAGAGCAGGGGCAGAAGTCCTAAGGCTGTCCCTCACTGGCCCGCTCAGATCACATACCCCTTCCTGACCATGCCTGAGCCAGCCTTGTCGGCCGGGCAAGGCTTCTCTGCTAGGCCGGGCTGGGTCACATGTCCACCCCTTGGGTCTGGGCTGAAGCCACGCCCACCCAAGTGATGATGGGGATAAAGAATGGGGGTGGAGTTGCCCTCAAAGGTGCCCAACAGTCAGAAGACGCCTGACTCTGCTATAAGGAACAAAATGAGAAAGGCAGGACAGCCCCTGGCTCTCAGTGAGACCAGACCTTTCCTGAAACTGTGGCACTGTGTCCCTCCGGGTTCCCTGCTGCCTCCCTTTCTCTGAAGCCAGGCTGAGGACCTGGCTGGCCTTACCTTCCCTTTCTTCCCCAGGTGTCCACACTGAAGGGCCAGCTGCAGCAGGAGCTTCGAAGGAGCTCAGCACCCTTCTCCCCACCCTCCGGCCCCCCAGAGAAATGAGCTCCTGCTGGCATCTGGAGAACACCCCTGTGCCTGGGACAGGGGAGGACCCTTCTTTTGGACAGCCCCCCCCCCCAGAGCCCGGTCCCTTGGGGGCCTCAAGCTGGGGTGGGATGAGGAGGCGCTCTGCTGGCAGTGCTGAGGACGGGTACTCCAGCTCCAGGCCTGGAGAGGCTTCCCAGCAACACCTGCAGTCCAGCCCCCCTCTTCTAGGATGAGCCACTGTAGATCATTAAAGTTCCTCCTTGAGAGGCTGAGCCGTAGCCAGGATTGGGGAGAGCCCTTGTCTCTGGTCAGCCCTGGAGCATGGGATCGTGGGAAAGAGGAGGGGGACCAGGCCCAGGGCAGGGGTCAGAGGCCCAGGCCCTGACTTCGGCTTCCCAGAGATCTCTCCGCCTTAGTTAAGAGCATGTGTCGGGAAATTCCTCAGAGTGCTCAGAGTCCCTGTATTTTTATACCTTTTTACAATGTTAACTGTTCAGAACTGTTTTTTGTAACAAAACCTTGTTTTTAAAAAAGTTTGTACAGCTGTGTCCCTTTTCTAGACAATTGGAGGAGACGTCGGGGGGAGACAGGTAGGGTCTGGGGCAAGAGGGATGGGGCCCTCTAGGGAGGGGTGCTTGGGGAGGCGGCAGGGAGAGCAGAGAGGCCGGTATTGGGAAGGGAACTTACCAGCCTCACAGAATGTCAGATGGGGAGGCCTCTGGGGTACTCGGTCACCCGGCCCATGGAACAGATGGGGCTGTTGAGGCCTGGGACTGGGCCCAGCCTGTGCACCTCGACTCCTTCCAGCCTATGCTTTCTTGCCCCTTTCTCTGGCCCCTCCTTAGATCCAAGCCCACCCTCGGGACAGTGACAGGCCTTCCAGGCAGCATGGCAAACAAGTGCAGGTTTGGATGTGAACGTGGGGTCTTGCCCTGGCACCGCTGAGTGATCCTGAGCAAAGCTGCTTAACCTCTTAGAGCCTCAGTTTGCTCATCTGTAAAATGGGAACCTAACCGCATAGGGTGGCTCTGGGGAAGTTCACATAGGAGGTGCTCAATCAGTGTCCGAAGGAGAAATTAACACTCATCCTCACCTGCTGGAGTCCAGCTGACCGATTCAGCCACAGCACTGCCACTGATAGCTGTGGACCCGTGGGTGGGACCCTTGGGTGGGTTACTTAACGTCTCTGGGCTCAGTTTTCCTGTCTCTAAGAAGGGGATATGAATTGCATCCACCACATATGCCTGTTCGGACGGCTAAACAGGAGTGTGTGAGCCTTCACACACAGAGCCCAGGCCCCACATGCTGGTTGGAGGGAGGTGTTACAATGGCTTGCTTGTTTTTGCCCTTTTTTTTTTGAGACACAGTCTTGCTCTGTCGCCCAGGCTGGAGTGCAGTGGCGCGATCTCGGCTCACTGCAACCTCCGCCTCCCAGATTGAAGCAATTCTTGTGCCTCGGCCTCCTGAGTAGCTGGAATTACAGGCACACGCCACCACGCCTGGCTAATTTTTTTTTGTATTTTTACTAGAGACGGGATTTCGCCATGGCCAGGCTGGTCTCGAACTCCTGGCCTCAAGTGATCCGCCCGCCTCAGCCTCCCTAAGTGCTGGAATTATAGGTGTGAGTCCCTGTGCCCCGCTTTTTTTGCCCTCTTAATGGCACCCATCTCCCCAACTTCCCAAACAAAGGCCTTGGATGTCAGTCCGCCTGCCTTGACCCTGTGCCCCCCCCACCCCATGGGCGGCCTCCCATTTTTGCTGTGTTCCTCTGGTGATGGGAACTCAATGTGCTCACCAAGCAGCCCCGGTCATCAGAAAGCTGTGTCCCTGAAGCCTTCCATCTCCCGTGCAATTCCCACAACACGCATGCGCGCGTACACTGTCATGACGCAGCGTTCTGGGCAGGGCAGAGCTGGAGCCGGCGGGTAAGGCGGTGGGGCTGGGACTGCGGAAGCACAGGGCACCTGAGCAGATCGTTCACTCCAAGGGGTCAGGAGCCTCTCAGGACAGTCCGCGTTGGGGGCACTTGGCTGGCCCCTCTGTGCTCTCCACCGAAAAAGTGACTTGATCTTTTGTAAAAACTTGTTTTTAATTTTGTATAAAATAAAGGTGGTCCATGCCCACGGGGGCTGTAGGAAATCCAAGCAGACCAGCTGGGGTGGGGGGATGTAGCCTACCTCGGGGGACTGTCTGTCCTCAAAACGGGCTGAGAAGGCCCGTCAGGGGCCCAGGTCCCACAGAGAGGCCTGGGATACTCCCCCAACCCGAGGGGCAGACTGGGCAGTGGGGAGCCCCCATTGTGCCCCAGAGGTGGCCACAGGCTGAAGGAGGGGCCTGAGGCACCGCAGCCTGCAACCCCCAGGGCTGCAGTCCACTAACTTTTTACAGAATAAAAGGAACATGGGGATGGGGAAAAAAGCACCAGGTCAGGCAGGGCCCGAGGGCCCCAGATCCCAGGAGGGCCAGGACTCAGGATGCCAGCACCACCCTAGCAGCTCCCACAGCTCCTGGCACAGGAGGCCGCCACGGATTGGCACAGGCCGCTGCTGGCCATCACGCCACATTTGGAGAACTTGTCCCGACAGAGGTCAGCTATTGGGGGCAGGAAGGAGGCAGGGTCAGGGTGGAGCTGGGTGATGGGAACCGCTGCCCCTCCCCCAACTCTGGTGATGGGAGTGTTTTGAGGATGAAAAGTAGCAAGGAGGGGAGCTCAGGGTGTCCTGGAAGTGGGCCTGGTGGATAATATGTGTTGAATAAACATCAGGTGGGTGGCTAGGTGGCCAGATAATGATGCGGGTGTGGGGACAGGGGAGGTCTTGGGGAGGTGGCCTTCCTACCTCGGAGGAGCTCCTCATGGGCACACACTGTACGAACACAGATCTCCTTGTTAATGACGTACACACGGCGGAGGCTGCGGGGACAGGGCACGGGAGGTCTCAGCCCCACTTCCACCCAATCCCACTGGGATAGCCCAGACAGAACCTGGCACGGGAGCCCGGACAGAACCTGGCACGGGAGCCCGGACAGAACCTGGCACTGGAGCCCAGGAGTGGAGGAGGTCCCTGGCCCAGGCTCAACCACAGAACTGAGCTCAACTTAAGGACTCACTATCTTTCCTCCAACTCCCACCTTGGCGGGCCAGAGCTGTCCCCTGTGCCCTCTAGCCCCCCATGCTCCGGAATCCTCCCGACAGCTGCCCATCTGTGCTCACCTGTAGAAGCAGACCTCGTTGAGACACTGTTTGCAAGGCCTGTGTATGGAGTAGAGGCGGGTGCACGGGTACTGTTCCTCACGGCAGTCTGGTGACAGGTGGGGTCAGACTAGGAGCCCAGAGTGGGGGGCGGCCCCCAGCCTCACCCACCTGAGGCTGGCTCACAGGGCCTAGTCCCCCCTGTACCTTCAGGCCCCGTGCAGACACCCATACCTACACATGCCCACATAGACCCACGCAGCATTGTCAGACTTCCCAGGGCTGTAATATTCACGTATCAATTCACAACCGCACTTACTATAGAAGCCTAAGTTCAAACAGAAATTTGCACCCACCCATGCATCGCCACAAAAGCCCATACCAACTCCCGAGCAGACGTGCCCACGCTCACAGAAGCCCACATAGGAGCGCTCACACCAACCCACACGAGAGTGAGCACACGGATTCTCCTGCACACACACACCTTGTTCTTTCAAGCTCTCAGCTAGGGCAGCCGGAGGGCACCGCTCAGCCAGCCTGCACTCCCTGGCCCTTCCTCGCCTCCACATGTGCACCACTCAGTCTCTCTGGCTGGCAGGAAGCCCCCAGCACACTCCCTGCCCCTCCCAGTATCTGTGAGGTCAGGGGCCTTCCTAGGCTGCCAATTTAGCCTCCAGCCAGGCACACTGGGGACAGGTGGGACCTCCTGGAGCTGCCTGGGGGGCCTGGTGATGCCAGCCTACGGCAGTCATACTGCCCACACTGCCAAGAGCCCACATGGGCAAGGGCCAAAGACCTCCAGCCCACCAGCACCACCCCCTACTCCACCCCAACTTCAGGGCGTGCCTCCATTTTTCCAGCTGTCAAGAAAGCCCTTACCAAGAGGCCCAGGCTCTGTGGGCTCCAGCTCTGCATTTCCTGGTTCTGGTGTGGAGACAGAGGTAGGCAGACATCACTGGGAGGGGTCTCCTCAGGGCAAGGGGAGTCACCTCTCCCAGCCCTGGCAGACCCCCACTCCCAGGGTTGACAGGGTGGGGAGGGGTGAGGCAGGAGCTGAGACGGGTGGGAGCAGGGTCTGGGGCCTACCTGGGGTTGGGGCTGGGATGACTTCCTGTTGGACTTGCTGCTGGGACTGGAACTGGAACTGTTCCTCGGAGGGCCGAGGAGTCACCTCTGCAGCCAGGGGAGGATAAGGGGGTCTGCTCCCTCTACCCCTCCCAGGGGGTCTCCCCACCCCAGCTGCCGGCCCGTCCTATCCTACCCCTAGCCCGTTACCTTGATAATCATAGTAGTCTGGGTTGTCTGCAAACAAAGATGAAAGTGGAATTGGTGGGAGTAAGGCTAATCCCCCAGCCCCTGGGGCAAACAAGTTCCCTCCTGAGCCAGGGACCAACCCCCAGAGTTCCCATCAGCGTGTCCAGTGCGGTCCCTGGCTGAGCCAGGCACATCTGAGCAGCCAGGCCTCGGTGACCCGGCAAGGCCCTTACCGATCTGGTCGCTATAGTGGGTGTACTGGACGTGGTCAGGGAACGGCGGCAGCGGGTCCAGGTCATACTGGCCCTGAGCCAGCAAGCCTGCTGTGGGGAGGCAAAGCATGTAGGGTACCCCATCGGGAGGGGCAACGGGGGCCCGAGGCGCTTCTGGAGAGTGGAGGCGGGGGTCACAAGGTCAGGCCCATAAGAGCCTAGGACCCCACAAGCAGATTCCTAGAGGATCCAGACTCTTCTTCGATGGTAAAGACCCTTCCCCACCCTGGTCATGGGTCACCTCCCTGACCTTACCCTGCCCCTTCCTGTTGCTGGCCTCCTGGCTGCTCCTAGGACTCCACATGCTCCTGCCTCCCTCAGAGCCTTTGCACCTGACACTCCCTGGGCCTGTGAGGCCTGCTCAGCTCCTTCAGGTCTTCCCTGGAATTTCAGCTGTGCCAAGATGCCGCCCCACCTCCAGCCCACCAGCCCTCCTGCTGATTTCTGTCCAGCACTCAGCACATGCTGGAGTTTCTCATGTCTGCTTGTTTCCTATTTGTCTCCCTTCCCTGGACTGGCAGCATGATGAGGAGCAACGATGTGTCTGCCTGGTTCATCGCTGAATCCCCAGGGCCTAGCCCAGCACTTGGCACGTGGTAGGGACTCAACACATCGCTGCTGAATGAATGAATGTTGGCCCTGCTAGGACTTTTGTGGTCCTCATTGATTCTCTTCATTTGGCCAGTAGGGACCCCCACAAGGTCAGGACTGTATAGAGCAGAAGGGCCCTGAATGGATCTAGAACTCAAGCATCCGGACTCCCTGCCTTGGGTGCCCCTGCACCTGCACATCGGCTCCCAGAGAGGCCTTGTGCCTTGTGCCCACGGAGTCCTTGTGCCTGGGACGTGCCCTCCAGAACCCTGCCTGCCTGCTGCTGTGGAAGGCTGGGGGAAGGGCCAGGAGCTGCCTCCAGATGCTGCCAGGGTTGGCTGGTCCAGTCTGTGGTCCAAGCAGGCAGAAGGCCCTGGGAGCTGGGGAGCTGAGTTCTGGTCATAAGTCGTGACAAAGGCTCACTATGAATTCCCCCTACTAACCCTACTCCTCAGCCCCACATAAGAGGAGCTACCCCCTGCCCCAGGAGCCACTTACCAGGCAGGAATAGCAGGAAGAGGTAGGCAGCTCTCATGGCAACAAAGAGGCAGGCCGGGGTGGTGTCAGAGAGGACAGCTGGGGAAAGACCGGTGGGAGAGCTCTACCCAGGGCCACACCCAGGACAGCAGAGCTCACCTTTGATCCCCTGATTTCGCCCTGGAGAAGGTGGCACCCAGAATAGAAGCCAGGCATGGGAGGGCTGGAGTGGAGGGACATCCCAGTCCCTGCTGGCCCACCCAGGTGTTCAGGTCACAAGGGACAAGGCCTCCAACCCAGCTCCAGGGCTGATCCTGACAAGCAAACCCCGTGTAGTGGGTGTACTTGATGTGGTCAGGGAAGGGCGGACCCTGCCCTGCTCACTAAGGGGACATTCCTAATGTGCTCCCAGCCCAGGCCATTCTGTCCTCACCCACACCCGTGCTCAGCCCTCTGGCCCAGTGGCTCCCTGGGTGTCCAAGGCACTGACTGCGTGAATCACTGAACCCAGGCCCATCCTTGGGACCCCAGCCCTGGCCAGCCGGCATCACCGCCTGGACTCAGCAGCTTCTGCCAAGCCACCACCTGCTCCCAATTAGCCCCTGGGCCCTAAGCATCCTGCTCAGCAGGAAACCACATACACATGGGCCTGCCCGGCCCCCAGAGCGGCCAGGCCGGGCAGGGCTCCCAGCTCCCAGAAGACTCCTCTCCTGCCAGGCCTCCAGGCCTCGCAAGACCTGGCTGTGTGCATCACAGGCTCACGAGACCCGGGCTATTTGCAGCAGCAGGAAGCACGAGAGTGAAGCCTGAGGGGGCTCCTCTGGATCCCAGAAAGGCAGCACTGAAGGGGCCGTGACATCACCCAGGCTGGGGGTTCTGCACCCCCTGACACTGTAGGCAAGTGTGTGTGTCATTTGGAGGGAGAGGGCATGGGGTCCGTGGCTTTCATCAGGCTCCTGACATTCAAGAGCCCAGCCTCCAGTCCTGGCTACACGGTGGGACTTGGGGGAGCCTCCGGTTCCCCACATCCAGCCCCAGCTCAGTGGAGGGCCACCTCAGGTCCGTCAGCCTTCTGTAGGGAGGGCTGCGAGGGCGGGGTCCATCCAGGAGGGCCCCTCCCGGCTGCAACCCAGGAAGTCCTTTCAGAGAGCTAGCTGGAAACCCCAACTTTGGTCTATTTTCCCCACTGGGAGTCCAGGGAGAGGGGAGGGAAAGGGGAGAAAGCAGGAGGTCTTTCCCTCCTTCCTCTCAATCCTGAGGCCTCCTGACCCCCTGGCTCCTCTCATGCATTAGGCACCTCACTAAGGTGGAGTGGGAGCCGGGAGACGAAGCTCAGGACCAAGCTGCCCCAGAGGCGAGGGATAGCTGGCTCCCCACACCCCATTCTGAAAACCCTTGACCTCCTCATGGGAGGGGGATGAAAAGACCCAGAGAGCCTTCCTTGCCCTTCTCCCCATCCGTCAGGTCGGTCGGAGCCCCCGCTGCTCAGCAGAAGGCGCTGAATTGGGGCAAGAGGGGTTGCAAGGTGTTGGGGGATGCCTGTCGGTACCCTGCGGGGAGTCTTCCTCCCCTAGGACTGGCCCCCGAACCCAGGCTTATTGGGGGAAGGAGGCCCACGGGCTAGCGGGGAGGCAGGAAAGAGAGAAGTCAGTGTGGAGTTCATGAACTCCTCCCACGGGACCACATCTCCGAGCTCTTCTAGACGAAGGGGTTTTGGGGCGTGCGGGAGGCCAGGACCTGCCTGGGAGGCTGCCCCACCCCCACCTCTGGCCTCTTCCACAGCTGCGGCCTCCCCCACCCCCGACTCCCCTGCGTCCTGGGAGGTGGGGGACAGGGGGCCCCGACGCTCGCTCAGACATCAGACGGAGGGAGGGCTCTGCCGGCTCCAGAGCCGGGCTCAGGGGGAGGGGTCCCGGCGGGAGAAACCCAGATGTTGCAGCGCCGCACAGCTGGGAACAATCAGCCGCGGAAACTTGCTCCGCGCGCCCTCGCGCTCCCGTCTCTGATCTCTCTTTGTCTCTCTGCGTCTCTGTCTCGGCCATTCCCACCGGACCCCCCCCCCCCACCCCACCCGCCACATTCCAACCTCCCCGGGAGAACAAAAGATGTCCCATCCCCCGACGACCTCACCTCTGGCTCCCCCCAAACTCGGGCTCCCCGCCCTTCCCAATTCGCGTTCTCTCTGCAGAGCAACCCCAAACTTTCCAGGTGCCCCCTTGGCCTCCGCTCTGAAGGCGCGGGGTTCAGGAACCTCCGCGGCTGCCCCAGGATCGAGGACCCAGAGAGCCTGGCACCCTCGCCCCCGCGCCGGGGGACCCGCCGACGCCCCTGACCGCCCCCCGGGGCCCCCAAGCGCCAGGCCCGCGCCTACCTGTCCGGGTCACTCCGCCGCCCGCTCCGAGTCCGCCCGCCGGAGCCGCCCCTTGGCCCGCTCCGAGTCCCCCTCCGGGCCCCCGACGGGGCTGGCGCCCGCCCTCCAGCCCCGGAGCCGCTGGGTCCTAACGCGAGCTGCCCGCATGGGCCGCCACGCCGTGCCCTCGGGGTTCCATCTCCTGGGGGGGGGGGTGTCCCCGGGGTAGAGGCGCCCGGGGCCGTCCTCACGTCTGTGCAAAGCTTCCTCCTCCTCACAGCTGCTCCTCACTCGACGTCGACGGGGTGAGGGGGGTGAGGTGGGCAAGGGTAGGTGTGTTGCCCATTTCACAGAGGAGGAAATCAAGCCTCCCAAAGTGACTCACCCTAGGCCCCTCAGCCAGAAAGTAAGCCTCGATCTCCCTCTGCCTTCTCCCAGCTTCCAGGACACTCTCCTGCCTTGGTTTTCCTTCTGCCTCTCCAGCCAAGCCTGCTGCCTCTCTCAGGCCCGCACCCTCCTCTCCTACACTGCTGAGCTCTGGGCCATGGCTGGCTTCCACAACCAGCGGTTCTTTCTTTCCTTTTCTAGAGACAGGGTCTTGCTGTGTTGCCCAGGCTCGTCTGGAACTTCCGGCCTCGAAATTTTGGCCTCAAGCATTCCTCCTGTCTCATCCTCCTGGGCTGTTGGGATTACAGGCATGAGTCCCTGCCCCCGGCCATAACCAGCACCTCTTTCAGCCCTGACCCAGCCTATGTGTCCCACAAATGTCCTCAAGATGCATCAGCTTCAACAAGCATCCAAGTCCAAATTCACGACCTCCTAACTCTCCCCCAGACCTGGCCCTCCAGGATTCCCAGTCCCCCCTTGGCCCCGCAGCCTTCCATTACCCAGGCTTCCTCCCCTGCCCTTAGCCCTGCATCTAATCCAGCACCCACCCGTGAATGCTACCTGAAAAATTTCTTTTGTGACTCCGTTCACTGCTCCCACCCTGGCCTAAGCCACTGTGAGACCAAGTTGCAATCCCAAGAAACCGCATTTGCTCTTTCTGCTTGTCAGAAGCTGACAAAGCCCTGACTCAGTGACTGGGGGCAGCCCAACGGAAGGATGCCTTGAAGATGGCAGGCAGGGCAGAACACAGGCTCCCACGCCTCTTGCCTGAATCACTGCATTGTTAGAAAATATAAGTTAAATGATCCTGGCTGTGCCTTTTCCTGTACATAAGATAGCACCTGACAGGATTGACGATTATGCCTCTATAATCTATATAACTAGGTGCATCCTCGAACCCAAACCTTGGCGAGATTTGCACTAGTGTAGCTTCTGAAGACATTTGATGTAAATTTTTCTTCTTCTTTTTTTAATGAGACCGGGTCTCGCTCTGTCATCCAGGCTGGAGTGCAGTGGCACCATCACAGCTCACCTCTTGGGCTCAAGTGATCCTTCCACCTCAGCCTCCCAAGTAGCTGGGACTACAGGCAAGAGCCGCCATGCCTGGCTAATTTTTTTTTTTTTTTTTTTTTTTTTGTATTTTTTGTAGAGAAGGGGTTTTGCCGTGTTTGCCCAGTCTGGTCTCAAACTCCTGAGCTCAAGCAATCCACCCGCCTCAGCCTCCAAAAGTGCTGGGATTACGGACGTGAGCCACCGTGCCTGACCATAGCTTCTGAGCACACACAGAACCGCCTGCCTCTGTATCTAAACTGTGGGCTGAAATGCTGCTTTGGCGCAGTCTAACAGAAACTCTCTGAAACCCTCTCCCAGGGTGCAGTCCTCAGTAAGACTCAATAAAACTAACTTTAATTTTTTCAATGGCTGATTTTTTTTTTTTTTTTGAAATGGAGTTTAACTCTGTTGCCCAGGCTGGAGTGCAGTGGTGTGACCTCGGCTCCCTGTAACCTCCACCTCCCGGGTTCAAGAGGTTCTCCCAACCCAGCCTCTCGGGTAGCTGGGATTACAGGCACATGCCAGCATGCCAGGCTAATTTTTGCTTTTTTTTTTTGAGTAGAGACAGGGTTTCACCATGTTGGCCAGGCTCCTGACCTTAGCTGATCCGCCTGCCTTGGGTTCCCAAAGTGCTGGGATTATAGGCATGAGCCACTGTGCCTGGCCAAAAGGTGGATTTTTTCTTTTTCTTTTTTTTTGAGACAGGGTCTTGCTATCTCCCAGGCTGGAGTGCAGTGGTGCATCCTCAACTCACTGCAACCTCTGCCTCCTGGGTTCAAGCGATTCTCATGCCTCAGCCTCCAGAGTAGTGGGGACTACAGGCACCCACCACCATGCCTGGCTATTTTTTTTTTTTTTTTTATTTCTCGTAGAGACGAGGCTTCTCCATGTTGTCCAGGCTCGTCTCGTACTCCTGACCTCAGCTGATCCACCCACCTTGGCCTCCCAAAGTGCTGGAATTACAGGCGTGAGCCACTGCACCTGGTCAAAAGGCTGATTTCTTATTTAGTTGACACCACCATCATTTGCCTGGGCTCTGCGATAGCCTCCACTCTGGGCTCTCCCACGTGGGTCCTGCCTCCCTCACCCCCGCAGATCGTGCCCCTTCTACTGATCGCCTTTCACTCAGGTTAGAGGCTCAACTTCCCTGTGGCTTCCAGGGCCCCGGCCCTTTATGGCAGCCTGGCTCTGCCTCCTCTTCCTCCTCCAGCCACTGGCCTTTGGGGGTTTTCTCCCAAACCCCTCTCCCTCCCACACTGAGGCGTTTCTTCCTCCCGAGCACTGGCTGAGGTCTCCTCCATGGGGTCACAGATCAAACCCTCCCTTCCTCAGAGGGGCCTTCCCTTTTTCCTTTTTTTGTGCTTTCTAGCTTTACTGCTTGCAGTTGTCTTGTTGGCCTATGTCTGTGACCATCTGAGCCCTGTCCCTCTTCCCGATGAGACTGTCATCTTGCCCCGTGAAGGCCAGGACCAAGGCTGTTTTTGCTCATCTTCAGTTTTGCTCATTAAGTTCAGAGCCCGGCTCAGAGCAGCAGTTCAGCAAACATTGGTGGAATGAATGAGTGAACTGTACACTAAACTCTTCCCGGAGAAGCTGGCTGGGGGTGCAGATCCTCTGCGTGAGGGGCAGCCTTCAGCCCTGCCCAGGAGCCTAGGCCTGAGGCGGGAGTGAGAGTTGTAGGGGCTGCGGGCTGGGAGGAGATGAGGATGGCCCCTGATTTAGACCCTTGCCATCTGATCTCTTCATCGCCAGTCATTCCCCCACCTCCCTTAGACTCTGAGTCTTAGGGAGGGAGTAAATATGCCCTGTGCCTCCTTCATTCCCATGCCCCGCCCCCCAGTGTCTATTGCAGGGCAGCAGAGACTTTTGTCACCTGGAGAGAGGTGGGCCCTCAGGCCAGGCCAGCCCAGCCCTCTCTGCCTGCCCTTAGACCCCACTGCTGCCAGGAGCAATCCCACTGGCAAAAGAGAGGAACTCACCCAGCAGAAATGCTGTCCCCTACCCTTGAAAAAAGGAGGGAGGTTGGGTGCAGTGGCTCACACCTGTAATCTCAGCAGTTTAGGAGACCAAGGCGGGTGGACCGCTTGAGCCCAGGGGTTTGAGACCAGCCTGGACAGCATGGCAAAACCCCATCTCTACAAAAAATACAAAAATTAGCTGGGTGTGGTGGTGCTGGCCTATAGTCCCAGCTACTCAGGAGGTTGAGGTAGGAGGATCACCTGAGCCTGGGGAGGTAGAGGCTGCAGTGAGCCACGATTGCACCACTGCACTCCAGCCTGGGCAACAGAGCAAGACCCTGTCTAAAAAAAAAAAAAGAAAAGAAAAGAAAAACTGGGAAACTGAGGGGCTAAAGCTGACAATTCGTGTCCTGGCTCCCATGTCCTCTCTGCTGCTTCTACCCATTCCCCTGGCTGTTTCTTTGGGCAGGGGAGGGGATGGGGCTGTGGTTGCTGTGCTCCCACTACGTCTTTGGAGATGTGCTCCTTCCCTGCCAGGCTTTCACGCTGGATGGTGAACTGCTCGCAGGGTTAGACCATGTTTTTGTCCCGTTTTATTCAGTTTGTTGAGTTAGTCCTGGTGCCTGGCACACACCTGTCCAACAGATTCATGAATAATCAGCTAAGGGTAGAGGAGGGATTTGAACCCAGGCCTCTCTGTGGCTTCCTCTTAAACAGCATCTACCACCCTGAACCGTCGCTGGCTGGCAACACAGTGCCAGGAGCAGAGGTCCACTGTGATGTGCCTCCTGGCAGGACTTTCATCTTCACACCCACATCCCTTCTCCCCAGCATGATTCAACGTTTTCTCAGCCCCTACTCTGGCAGGCCTGGGGATAGCACCAGGGGTTCCAGGAATGAGGTTGGCCAGGGCTTTTGGAAGGCAGGAAACAGCCGGTCTTTCCTGTTCTCCCCTGCCCAGATGAGCCAGACGGCCAAGCTGCCTCTCTAGAGCAGAGGGGCTTGGCCAGGGGCCCGCTGGTGAGATGAGCTCAGAGGCACCCACCCTTCCCTGAGGGATGATGCGCGTGGTTCTGGCTGGGAGATGTGGGCTCCGAGCCTGGATTTCATCTGAGGAAGGAACTGCCCACAAACATGTCCCAGGATGCTGGGGTGGGACGGGGAGGGGGTAAGGTGGGAGAGAGGGAGCTGCCCCCTAGCAAATGCCTCCCAGGCAAGCCTACATCTCCTTGTCCTCCAAAGGAGGGTAGGAGGGTTAGGAACATCGAAGCTGGAGTCAAAGCTATCCGGCCCCACTCTGACTACTTGTGTAACCTCTAAGCCTTGGTTTCTTCATCTGTAAAATGGGAATAGTACCACAGTTGTTGGAAGGATGACATGACAATGTGTGTAAAATGCTAAATGGGGCCAAGCGCAGTGGCTCATGCCTGTAATCCCAGCACTTTGGGAGGCCAAGGTGGGCGGATCACCTGAGGTCAGGAGTTCGAGACCAGCCTGGCCAACATGACGAAACCCTGTCTCTACTAAAAATACAAAATTTAGCTGGGCGTGGTGGCACATGCCTGTAATCCCAGCTACTCGGGAGGCTGAGGCAGGAGAATCGCTTGAACCTGGGAAGCGGAGGTTGCAGTGAGCAGAGATCACCCCACTGTACTCCAGCCTGGGTGACAGAGCAAGACTCCATCTCAAGAAAAAAAAAAAAAAAAAAAAAAAAGCTAAACGGAATATCCAGGCACATGCTGGACACAGAGGAAACATTATTACTGTGAGATGAGGGAACACAGGCCCAGAGAGGGGAGTTGGCCAATGGAGTCTGAAAAACCAGGGGGTTCCAGGGGGTTGTCAGGCTGAAAAACCAGCCTGAAAAACCAGCCCCCCAGGGGGTTCCAGGGGCAGACACGTGCAGGGGCTGCCAGCTGGGCACCCGGGGGTATGTGCATTTCCTCCTGGGCAGGTGGGAGGGTCTATGGTGCCAGGTACAAGACAGGCACAGCAGAGCCAGGAAAATATCATGACTTTATTTGCTACACTGACAGCAGCACTGAGGGGAGCTGGGGGCTGCCACCCCTACGCGGGATGGTCCAAGGTAGGGGACAGTAGTCAACGCTTCCCCAGGGTGGGGGTGGTCTCGGGGGAGGAGTGTAGACAGTCGCCAACCTCAGGGATGTGGGAGGTGGTGGCGGTGGTGTTGCTGGAGAGGGGTCCAGTTGGTGGCTCAGAGGCAGGGAGTTCCAGTGTCTGGGGTGCCCGTGGGCCTGCACTACCTCAGGGGGCCGGCGGGCAGCGGCGGCCAGGGCTGCTCGGCCAGCTCTCGTTCCAGCTGCTTGAAGCGCTTCTTGGAGGCCCGCTTGGGCCGGAGGCGGCGCAGGCAGGCGGGGAGGCACTGGTCTAGCACGCTCTGCAAAGGGCAGGGAGGGTGTCAGGGGCAGCCGGGGCTGAGCTGGGGTCAATGCACCCCCACCTCCCTTCTCTCCCGCTGCTGAGACCCAGGGCGGGCCCCACCTCCAGCATGAAGGCCCCCACGAAGTTGAGGGTGACCAGACCCAGCAGCAGCAGCTTGAAGCCGGTGTCAGTGATGTTCCTCAGCGCCAGCGGCCCCTGCAGGAGGCCGGGGACCAGGACAAGGCCCACCAGGACGGAGCTCAGGAGCGCCAGGGCCACCAGGAAGGGCACTGGGAGCAGGAGAGTCTCTCAGGCAGGAGCCACGCCCCCCCGGCACCCACAGACACACGTGTGCACGCCAGTCTTCCACTCGGCCGGCACCTCTCTCCCATCTGCCTCCCCAGCACCCCAGGGCTCCTCCCTCCCTCCGCCAGCATCTCCCGCCCGCGCCCGCAGTGGCACCATTGGTGTAGAGCGGCCGGCGGAAGGGCGCCCCCTTGGACACGGCTGCAGCCAGGATGAGGTACTGGAAGCTGGACAGAGAGAAGACCACGGTGTTCTCGTAGTTGGGCAGGTTGTCTGGTGCGGCCACTGTCCTGTTCAGAGGCACGAACCTGGGGGTACAGGGATGGGGGTCAGGGAACGAACGTGGGGTGGACAGGGAAGGGGCGGGATGGGGGTGGTCAGTCAGCTCCCTACTCACCATGGCTGGGCCAGGGTCAGGAAGTAGCCCCCTAGCTGCACGCCGGTCACCAGGACCATCTGCAGCAGCAGGCTGCTGAGCACGGGCACGCTGAGCAGCGCCCCCGGTGGCCGCACCCGTCCCAGGACCAGCGCTGGCCCCGTGCGGCTCATGAGCACTGCCACTGTGGTGGTGATGACCAGGTCGATGGCCAGGAACTGCAGGTCACCCAGGTTGGTGTTGATCTGCCACAGGGAAGGGAGGACAGAGGGGAAACTAAGACCTGGCCCTGGCAGCCCCTAGTCTGATAGCAGAGGCCCCACCCCTGCCCCGAAGGAATCTGATGGGTAAGGCATCCCCCAGTCTAATGGGGGCCGTACTCTCCTGCCAGCCCAGCGGAGGAGGTGCCGCTCTTGATGTGAGACAAACCCCTGGTCTGATGGAAAGGGCACCTGTGCTGACCTTGGGGGCCTAAATCTGAGGGGAGGTTTCCCTCCCTGTAACAAACTCCCGGCCCGAAGGGGAGGCTTCGGCTCTGCCTTGCGGAGTCCCTATAGCTACCAGGGCATGCACAGTTCCTGCCCTCAGGGAGCTCCTCGCTTTCAGGCAGACACAGGGACAGACCCAAGTATAAGATGTGCGCCGCCCTGCAGTGTCACCTCATTCGCTGGGGGTGAGCAGGCCATGCCCAGAGCAGGGGAGGGGAGAGCTCCTCCAAGTAGGGTGTGGGAGGTACAGCCAAGGTATGGGGCAAAGCAAGTGCATCTGGGGAAATGGGCAGACCTGTGGGGATGGGGCGGGGGCGAGGGTTTTGGCCCTGCCTCCGTTCAGTCTTCCCTGCAGATTGGGGAGCTCCCAGAGTTGCGGTCAAGATGTTAGCCCATGACAGCTGCTGCCATTTGTGAGGACCTAGTGGGTACCAGGCTCCGTGCCTGGTGTTTTTCTCATCTCCCCCAAGCCTTGCCACCTCTCCAACCACACAGCCGGAGAGTGGCAGGGTCAGGATCTGGGCCCACGTCATCTATTCTGGGACCTGCCAGCTCCAAGGCACAGGGCTGTGTCCCCTCCCTAGTCCTGGGACGGCTCTGGGTACGGAGCTCTGCAGATACTCACCGTGTAGAGGATCAGGACGGAGATGAACTGGGTCAGGCTGTACAGAGCCATGTACTTGAAGACGCTGAACGAAGTGTCAAGGGAACAGCGCCCCTCCCTGGGTGGCAGGGCACGGACATTAGGGGACCCAGGTTGGCTGACCAGCCCTGCTGAGCCCTCACCCACCGGTCCCTGCCTGCCTTACCTGATGACCATGGGCACGCACTCAATACTGGCCATGCTCGAGGTGAAGGGTGAGACCACTGAGGCTTCTGCCTGGGACAGCGAGATGCCGACATCAGCCGCCTTCAGGGCCCCACAGTCATTGGCGCCGTCTCCGCACATGCCCACGCAGTACCTGAAGAGAGGTGTGGACAGGTGTGGCCTGGGGAATTACCCCACCACCCCATGGGTGGGCTGGCAGAATATGATGACAGCTGGGCCCCTAATGCCACATGGTGCCTGGTGTACAGGAGGCGCTCAGTGAATAGATGCAATTATTATTATTATTATCATTATTATTATTATTTTTTGAGACGGAGTTTCACTCTTGTTGCCCAGGCTGGAGTGTAATGGCATGATCTCAGCTCACTGCAACCTCTGCCTCCTGGGCTCAAGTGATTCTCCTGCTTCAGCCTCCCAAGTAGCTGGGATTACAGACGCCCGCCACCACGCCTGGCTAATTTTTTGTATTTTTAGTAGAGATGGGGTTTCACCATGTTGGCCAGGCTGGTCTTAAACTCCTGATCTCAGGTGATCCACCCGCCTCGGCCTCCCAAAGTGCTGGGATTACAGGCATGAGCCACCGTGCCCGGCCTATTATTTTTTGAGACAGAGTCTCCCTCTGTTGCCCAGGCTAGAGTGCAGTGGCGTGATCTCTGCTCACTACAACCTCCTCTGCTGCCCAAGTGCCCTCAGCCTCTTGAGTAGCTGGGATTACTGGTGTGCGCCACCATGCCCAACTAATTTTTGTATTTTTAGTAGAGACAGGGTTTCACCATGTTGGCCAGGCTGGTCTTGAACTCCTGACCTCAGGTGATCTGCCTGCCTCAGCCTCCCAAAGCGCTGGGATTACTGGCATGAGCCACCGCGCCTGGCCTATTACTATTTTTTGAGACGGAGTCTCGCTCTGTTGCCCAGGCTGAAGTGCAGTGGTGTGATCATGGCTCACTGCAGCCGCAGCCTCCCAGGCTCAAGCAACCCTCCTGCCTCAGCCTCTTGAGTAGCTGGGATGACCGGTGTGTCACCACACCTGGCTAATTTTTAAATTTTTAATAAGAGATGGGGTCTCACTTTGTTGCCCAGGCTGGCCTCAAACTCCTGGGCTCAAGTGATCCTCCCACCTCGGCCACTCAAAGAGGTGGGATTACAGGAATGAGCCACCGCACCCAGCCTACAATTATTATTTTTAGCATGAAAGACCTGGGAGAGCCTGCCTGCTTTTGGTGAGGAGGGGTGACAGCTCTCTGGTGCCTGAGGAGGGAGACAGGGCCCTGGGGAAGGACAGATGAACAGACGAACGGACAAGCTCAGTCTCCGCAGGCCCTTGCCCACACCCTCTGCCGAGCACTCACTGAAGCTTCTGTAGCTCGCACACCAGCTCTGTCTTCTGCTCAGGGGCCATGCGGGCAAAGACAGTGCCCTGGACCAGGACCTGGGAGCACAGGGAGATGGGGGAGGGCTGAGGCACCCACCAGGGAGAGCGAGCCGTGAGGAAGGAGACAGAGCAGGGGAGGCGCAGGGCGGCCAGGGAGCTGGGGGCGGCCCTACCTTGGGCAGCAGCTTGGGGAAGTGCTTCACAATGATACCAAAGGTGGGCCCGCTGAGGGCCAGGTGCCTGGATCGGGGGTCTGGCTCCACGGTGTAGCTTGCAGCCTGGTCAGGATCCTGGGGGCCCAGGAAGCTCAGCTTAGCTCCCCCTGCCCACCCTGGAGAGTTGGGGCCTGGGTCAGGTGACACAGGGGTGGGGTCACTGGGTGAGGTACAGCTGGAACTCTGGGTTAGCCTCACCTTAACGCCATTCACGGCTGTGGGGGACTCCATCGGCAGGAACTCGAGAGAGGCAGGCTGACCCCGCTCAGGGTGGGTGGCGTGGACGATGATCAGATGCTCCTGGGGGGCCACCATGCCACAGCCCCGGGCCACAGTCACCGCTGTCTGCAGGTTGTCCCCTGGGGGTTATGGGGCAAGGTGAGGGTCTGAGGCTATCCGGGGAGGCCATCCTCATCCTGATCCTTACAGATGGGAAAACAGGCTGGATGAAATCCGTCTGCCACCACCAGCCAAGTGAGCTGAGGCAGGTTACCAACATCCCTTTGCCTCAGTTTTCTCATCTGTAGATCCAGGCATTGAAGGGTCTTAGGAGAACCTGGAGCCGTGGGCTGGAGCTCCACATATACTCCTTTTTTTTCTTTTTTTAAGACAAGAGTCTCTCTCTGTGGCCCAGGCTGGAGTGCAGTGGCTTGATCTCGGCTCACTGCAACCTCCTTCCTCCTGGGCTCAAGCAATTCTCCTGCCTCAGCCTCTTGAGTAGCTGGGATTACAGGAGGGTGCGACCACACCAGGCTAATTTTTTTTGCATTTTTAGTAGAGATGGGGTTTCACCATGTTGGCCAGTCTGGTCTTGAACTCCTGGCCTCAGGTGATCCCCCTGCCTCGGCCTCCCGGAGTGCTGGGATTACAGGCACGAGCCATGTGCCCAGGCTACATATACTCCTTACTGCTGTGTGACTCTGCTGCCAAGTGCCCATGAATGTGTGTGCACATATGTGTGTGTGCAGGGGCGGGGAGGACAAGGACACAGACCTCTTAGCTCCTGCTGTCTCACCCTAGCTAGAATCTTTTTTTTTTTGAGACTGGGTCTCTCTCTGTTGCCCAGGCTGGAGTGAAATGGCGTGATCTCAGCTCACTGCAACCTCCACCTCCCGGGTTGAAGTGATTCTCCTGCCTCAGCCTCCCGAGTAGCTGGGATTACAGGCATCCACCACCATACCTGGCTAATTTTTTGTATTTTTAGTAGAGACGGGGTTTCACTATGTTGGCCAGGTTGGTCTCGAACTCCTGACCTCAAGTGATCCGCCCGCGTCGGCCTCCCAAAGTGCTGGGATTACAGGCGTGAGACACTGTGCCCGGCCATTTTCGTATTCTTTGTAGAGACGGAGTTTTGCCATGTTGCCCAGGTTGGTCTTGAACTCCAGGGTTCAAGACATCCTTCTCCTTTGGCCTCCCAAAGTGCTGGGATTACAGGCATGAAGTACCGTGCCCGGCCAGAATCTTTCTCTTCCTGCTCCTTGAGCTTGTCACAGCCTCTGAGGCTGACATCATTATCCCCATTTCTCAGAGGTGCCACCTGGAACCCAGGCTGTCTGACAGCGCACATGGGTTCCTTGGAAGTCACTCCACTCCTCTGAGTCTCAGTTTCCTCATCTGTCAAACAGGGGTGACAATTACCACTTGCGGGGGGGATATTGTGAAGATTCACGAAATGTTTAAAAAGGACCTGGCCTGAAGCAAGGGCCCAAAAAGATGCCCCAAAAAGGAATCCCTGGTGCCCCTCTTCTCTGCCAGGAAGGGGCGGATTCTGCCCTGCTAGCCCGGGCCCCTACATGCCATTGTACCTGTCACCATGACGGCGCGGATGCGGGTCCTTCGCAGAGCCTGGATAACTGGCGTTGTCTGCGGCTTCAGTAGGTTCCTCATGACCAGCAGCCCCAGGAGGCTCAGGTCTCCTTCCACAGTGTCCCTGGAGGGTGGGCAGACCTGGATCAGAGGTCATGCAGTGGCCAGGGCCCCTCTCCCAGCCACCAGGCAGGGCATCTTCCTTGGGCTCTGCCTGCGTGAGAGCCTCCCTCTGCCTAGTCCTCAGAGTGGGTGGGACAGGAGACAGGCCCACCTCGTCAGTTGCTGGGCTGCCTCCAGGCTGGGCACAGTGGGCAGTGGCTTGCTGGCCAGGGCCACGACACGGTAGCCAGCAGCTGTATAGCTCTGCAGCATCTGGGCGAAGTCGGTGGGCACTGCCAGGGAGAGGCAGGTGTCACAAGGAGGGGATGGCAGGGACAGAGGCTGGGTACCCACCCCATTCTGTGCCAATGCCCAACCAGGGGGACTCAGGGGCTTCCCCCTGCACCTGTCTCGGGGTTGCAGAGCCCTGCCACCAGCTCCGGGGAGCCTTTGACGTAGGCCTCGGGCTGAGTGGCCCCTGGCCACGCCACCACCACACTCATGCGCTGCAGAGCCGAAGAGAAGGGGAAGCGGTGGAGGACGCTGACTGGCACCGGGGGCTCCTCCTGCAGGGTTGGAGAGGCAGCTGAGGTGCTGGCTGGGGAGCCCACCCCTCTGCCCTGCACCCAACAGGCCCCCCTCAGCTCACCATTGCCTGCAGCTGGGGCTCCCAAAGTGGGGGTCTCATCACTGCCAAGACCTGGGTCCCAAATGCTGAGTCTGCAGCCGGCTCTTCCTCCAGGACCTGGCAGGCAGGCAGGGAAGTTTGGTGTCTGGGGGCTTTGGCTCACAGAGAGATTTGAGCTAGACTCAGGGAAGACTTCCTTCATGGGAGACTGAATGGTGGGTTAAGAATGTGGGCTTTGGAGCCCGGTGGACTCAAATTCAAACTCTAGCTTTGCTACTTACAAGCTGTTGGGTGACCTGGAATACGTCACTCCAAATCTCCCAGCCTCAGCATCCGTGAAGCAACATTTGAGCTTGCTTGCTAGGGCTTGGGGAAGAGGAAATGAGACCAGGCCTCTGTGGCCGTGCGCTGGCGCATAGTAGGCACTCAGCCTGAGGCCTTGCCATTATTATTATGTTACTTTTATTTTAAGACAGAGTCTTACTCTGTGACCTAGGCTGGAGTGCAGTGGTGTGATCTCGGCTTACTGCAACCTCTGCCTCCCGGATTCAAATGATTCTCCTGCCCTCAGCCTCCCAAGTAGCTGGGACTACAGGCATGTTCCACCGCACTTGGCTAATTTTTGTATTTTTATTACAGACGGGGTTTCACTATGTTGGCCAGGCTGCTTTCAAACTTCCGACCTCAGGTGATCTGCCCACCTCAGCCTCCCAAAGTGCTGGAATTACAGGCATGAGTCACTGCACCTGGCCTATCATTATTATTTTTTGAGACAGGGTCTCGTTCTGTTACCCAGGCTGGAGTGCAGTAGCGTGATCACAGCTCCCTGTAGCCTCGCCCTCCCGGGCTCAATTAATCCTCCCACCTCAGCCTCCTGGGACTACAGGCATGCACCACCACGCCCGGCTAATTTTTGTATTTTTGGCAGAGATGGGGTTTTGCCATGTAGGTCAGGCTGGGGTCCCGGGCTCAAGTGATCCTCCCGTCTTGGCCTCCCAAAGCGCCGGGAGCCACGTTACAGGTGTGAGCCACTGCGCCTGGCCTATTATTATTAATGGTGGGCATAATAAGAGACCACCCTGAAAGATGGAGAGGGAAGACAGGGTGGGATTCGTTAGGCCCCACTGCCCAGAGGCAGGGGGCTGACCTGCTTGGCCTCCTCACCCAGCCAGTAGACTCCACCATCTTCAAGTCCATGGGGTCGCCCACGGGGGTGTCCTGGAGCCGGCTGAGGGCATGGCAGGTGGCCAGTGCTCGGAGCAGGGGCCCCACAGGCAGGCGGCGAGGCTCTGGGACCAGGGGCAGGAATGCCTGCCCCTTCAGGGGCACCACCCCCATCACGTCTAAGCCGTCCTCAGTGAGGGTGCCCGTCTGTGGGAGACAGGTGGGTGGGGCAGCGATGAGTCCTGGGATGGGGGTACCCTGCTGAGCTGGGCCTCCAAACCCCAGGCCCGGCGGACCCTATGGGAACCCCAGGAACTCGAGCTGGAGCCAAAAGATGACCTTTCTTGACTGCTGTCCTTGGCACATGTGATTCCCTCTGCTGGGGTCCCCCTCCCCAGCCCCCACCGTCTCTCTGTCTAGCATCATCTCTTCCAGGGTGTCTTCCTCCTTAACTCCCAAGTTAGGGCAGGTGGTTTGCTCTGGGCTCCTACCCATGGCCTCTTCACTTCCCCACACTTGTGCATTGTGGTTAAGGACCCGGCCCACGGTTGGCTCGCTCTCTCTCTCTCATTTATTTATTTATTTATTTATTTATTTTTATTTTTATTTATTTTTATTTTTTGAGATGGAGTCTTGCTCTGTCGCCCGCGCTGGAGTGCAGTGGCGCAATCTCAGTTCACTGCAACCTCCACCTCCCGGGTTCAAGTGATTCTCCTGCCTCAGCCTCCCGAGCAGCTAGGATTATAGGCACGCGCTACCTCGCCCACCTAATTTTTGTATTTTTAGTAGAGACGGGGTTTCACCATGTTGGTCAGGCTGGTCTCGAACTCCCGACCTCAGGCAATCCACCCGCCTTGGCCTCCCAGAGTGCTGGGATTACAGGCATGAGCCACCACGCCCAGCCTCAATATATCTGTTGAATGAGCGCATGAGTCAGTGCCTGCGTTCCCCATCCTAGACTCTAACTGCCCAAGTACGCGTCTGGCTCCTTGGCTAGCCTGGGAACTATAAGAATCTGGTCATCCCCCTCCCCGGTTTATTTATTTTTTTTTGAGACGGAGTCTCACTCTGTTGCCCAGGCTGGAGTGCAGTGGTGTGATCTCAGCTCACTGCAACCTCTGCCTCCCGGGTTCAAGCGATTCTCCTGCCCCAGCCTCCCGAGTAACTGGGACAACAGGCATATGTCACCGTGCCTGGCTAATTTTTTATATTTTCAGTAGAGACGGGGTTTCACCATATTGGCCAGGCTGGTCTTGAACTCCTGACCTCATGATCCACCCGCCTCGGCCTCCCGAAGTGCCGGGATTCCAGGCATGAGCCACTGCGCTGGGCCCCCTCCCCAGTTTAAAAGCGCTCTGTGGCCCCCGACAGCCTCTGAATGTCACCTAGCCTCTGTCAACCAGGCCACTGCCTACCCGGCCCTGTCCTGCTCCACCACTCCCTGTGCTCAGGTACGCAGCACATCTGTGCCACGCCACTCCCTGTGCCCCAGGCACACGGTACATCTGTGCTATGACACTCCCACCTTTTACCCTTGCTTCTCCTCGACCTGCCCCTCACTGAGGTCACTGAGGGACCTGCTCAGGGGGCTTCCTTGACTGCCTTCTCTCTAAGGAAGTGTCCCCATCTAGAACCCATCAAGCTATCCCACTGGCTTCCTTCCTAAAACCCACTGCCCACTCCTCAGCCCCAGCAGCTCCTTTGTGCACTCCTGGATCACTTACTTTGGTGGGGGACACACACACTCCAGTGACCACAAGGATGCCTGTGTTGGTCACTGCTGGGCCCCAAGGGTTGGGAGCAGCACGGGATGCACACTAGGGCCCCAGGTCCCCACCAGTAATTTTTTTTTTTTTTTGAGTTTTGCTCTGTCACCCAGGCTGGAGTACAATGGCATGATCTTGGCTCACTGCAACCTCTGCGATTCTCCTGCCTCAGCCTCCCGAGTAGCTGGGATTACAAGCATGTGCCATCATGCCTGGCTAACTTTTGTATTTTTAGTAGACGGGGTTTTGCCATGTTGGTCAGGCTGGTCTTGAACTCCTGACCTCAAGTGATGTATCTGCCTCAGCCTCCCAAAGTGCTGGGATTACAGACGTGAGCCACCGCGCCCGGCCCCCCACCAGTTCTTGAACACATGAATACATGATTCTAGACATTTCATCTGCCAGACCGTGAGCCCAGTGAGGGCAGGAGTGGGATGGGGTGGATCCTCTGGGGGTTTCCATCCCTAGACAGGACCTGGCATCCTGTGGGTGCTGCTGAGAGAATAACGCGGGTGTGGAGGCCTCACTGGGGCGCCTGTGGCTGTCCCGCTCCCCTGCACCAACCCCACCTGCGGCCCCACCTTGTCGAAACACACCAGCTGCAGCTTGCCCCCCAGGTTGATGCGCAGTGGGTGGATGCAGAAAATGCCCTGTCTCCGCAGTCGGCTCTGGGCGTAGAGCGTGCACACAGTCATGGCAGCAGGCAGGGCAGGTGGCACCACCACGGTCACCAGGTCGAGAGCCCGGATTACAATCTCATTCAGAGGCACCTGGCAGGGGGCACCATGAATGTGAGCACCTGGCTGGTTGGCCCCTGGGCCCTGCTGGCAGCACCCCCCACCCCACCCCCAAGGCTTACCCGGTTTCGGTAGAGGATGAAGATGCTGTAGATGGTGCCGAGGAGAGCTGTGGGGACAGCGAAGGACTGAGTGGGATTTGGGACCCAGGTGGGGGGGGCTATGGGCAGAGGAGGGTGCAGGGGGCCACTCACCCAGGACAGAGAGGGCAGCCACAAACTTCATGCTGTGTTTATAGAACTTGAAGTTGATGGGCCGGGGGTGCAAGATGGAGCTCACCAGGCCCCCTTTTGCCGTGCAGAACCCTGGGGAGGAGGCGGGGACCCCAAGGCAGGGAAGCCAGGGTGAGGGCAGGCCTTCCCCACCCCTAGCCCTCCCGACCCGTGCCTCTGGAGTTGCAAGACATGATGTTTGTGAAATTAGCCATCAGCAGTGTGGAGTCCTAACAGGTCTGGCCCGGCTCTTGTAGGCTTTTTAAGGGCTTTAAACAAGGAACTAGTGGATAGCATCTAAACACTGGGTGGTTCCACTGAAAATCCAGACACAGGGAAGGCTCCTGCCTGCCCGCTACATCCCTGCCCGCTCCAGCACTGTAACCCCGGCGGCTCCTCCAGATCTTGCAATGCTTGGCCTTAGTCTGGCCCAACTTCTGCTAAGATGGGAATGCTCAGACCCCAGATGGGGGGCAACTGGCCCGAGGTCCCACAGCAGGGCAGCAGCAGAGGTGGGCGTGGGGTCCAGGGTTCCAGGTCCCACCCTGCCTCACTCCACCTCTCCCAAGGGTGCTGAGCCCGGGATCTCTCTCAAGCCCAGCCTCCCGGCTCATACCTGTGCGGGTCACCACTGCCAGGACGTGCGGTCCCACATAGGCCCGGGCCTGCAAGATGAGGGTCCCGCAGAAGAGTGTGTGCCGCCGGTGTGTCTCTGCACAGTAGGGCCCCAGCCCCTCCGGCAGTGCCGTCTTCAGCACTGGAATGCTCTCTCCTGGTGGGGAACGTGGTGTGAGGACCACTCCACACCCCTCCCTCCCACCAGCAAACCAGGAGTTCTGTGTAGAATTGTCCCACAAGCTCTAAGTCTCAGTTAACTCTGTAACCAGGTGTGAACAAGAAATCACAGCCCCATTTTACAGAGAGGAACACTGAGGCTCAGAGAGGACGGAGATATAAAGGCACAGGGAGACACTCCTGGAAGCAGGTGGCAGCCAGCTCCCTGGAACCAGCGGGGGGGGGGTGGGTCAGACAGAGCATGTGTGGGCATCATGTGTGCAGTGGGGCAGGGTGGGGGAGTCGTTCTCTTTCTGCTGGAATTATTTTATAACATGCATGGAGTGCTTTTCTAACTCCAACCAACAGAAATATTTACAAGGGGCCAGATGCGGTGGCTCACGCCTGTAATCCCAACACTTTGGGAGGCTGAGGTGGGCAGATCACTTGAGGCCAGGAGTTCGGGACCAGGCTGGCCAACATGGTGAAACCCTGTCTCTACTAAAATACAAAAATTAGCCGGGTGTTGTGGTGGGCATCTGTAATCCCAGCTACTTGGGAGGCTAAGGCAGGGTAATAACTTGAACCAGAGAGGCGGAGGTTGCAGTGAGCCGAGATCGTGCCACTGCACTCCAGCCTGGACAACAGAGTGAAACTCTGTCTCAAAAGAGGAGGGGAGGGGAGGGGATGGGGTAAGGAAGGGGAGGGGGAAGGAGGAGGGGGAGGGGAGAGAAATATTTACATGGAGGGGGCAAATATTTCCATGAGTTGGAGTGAGAAAAGCACTGCATGCTCGCCATGGCCCTGTGAAGTCCTGGGCAGGCTGCCTAGCAAACAGTGGCACTCCCTTACTGAATGCCTGCAGGCTGGGACTATTGAGCACCTACTGTGTGCACATTCCTGCAAGGGAGTCAGACAATCCTGCCATGTCTGCCTCACAAGAGATGAGCAGATGAAGTATGTGTGGACAGTTTGTGGAGGGCAGGGCTCAGGGCGTGTGCCCACAAATCATACTGATCACAATTACTACTTTTTTTTTGTTTTCTGAGACGGAGTCTTACTCTGTCACCCAGGCTGGAGTGCAGTCGTGCGATCTCGGCTCACTGCAACCTCCACCTCCTAGGCTCAAACGATCCTCCCACCTCAGCCTCCCAAGTACCTGGGACGATAGACGTGCACCACTACACCTGGCTAATTTTTTGTATTTTTGGTAGAGATGGGGTTTCAACATGATTTCCAGGCTGTTTTCGAACTCCTCACCTCAGGCAATCCACCCACCTCTGCCTGCCAAAGTGTTGGGATTACAGGTGCGAGCCACTGCGCCTGGCCTACGATTTGTGATACAAATACAATGCCAGCCAGAAAACTTCCCTGGAAAAAAACCACTATCCTGTGGTTTTTAGTAAACTCTCTCCAGTATCTACCACCAAAATATAACACATCTCAGAGAAAGAAATACTTGCACACATCAAGAGACACAGGACAAAGCTGCTCCTGTGGCGTCCTTTGCAATGGCTGGAAAATCACATTCTAAATACTCATGGCGAGCGGGCCGGTTGAGTCAGTTACGATACATCCGTATTGTGGACTCTCATGCAGCCATGAGGTGGGGCCATCCGTGCTTGTGGAAGGATGCCAGGAGAAAAAGCAAAGTATGGAACAATACACAGCATACAATCCCACGTTCAGAACAAAAGGAGAGGCAAATCAGCCCATGTGCACACACGTAATGCAGAAAAAGGCGTGGAAGACACCTCACACCCTTCACAGTGGCTGCCCTGGGGAGGGGAAGGGAAGGGGACTGTGGGGTAGTGAATGGGGACCGCAGTCTCTCACTCTGGGAGAGGGCTTCCCACTCTCCTGTGCCATCTGGAATCTTTATGACCTGAAGGTGGGCACTGGTATAGAAACAGCTCAGATGCAGCCAGGTGCTATGGTTCATGCTTGTAATCCCAGCACTTTGGGAGGCTGGGGCGGGCAGATCACTTGAGGTCAGGAGTTCAAGACCAGTCTGACCAACGTGGTGAAACCCCATCTCAACTAAAAATACAAAATTAGCCGGGTATGGTGGCGCACACCTGTAATCCCAGGTACTTGGGTGGCTAAGGCAGGAGAATCGCTTGAACCCAGGAGGTGGAGGTTGCAGTGAGCTGAGATCGCACCATGGTACTCCAGCCGGGGCAACAAGAGTGAAACTCCATCTCAAAAAAAAAAAAAAAAAAAAGGAGAAATAGCCCAGATGCACTGGGTGGCTGGCCATTTATGCTGCACCTCTCACACTCCTAAGCACTTTGCACAACTCTGTCCAGGAGGAGTGACTGACAGCCATCTTACAGAAGAAGGAACTGAGGCACGGAGATGATACGTGGTAACGGCCCAGGGGTGTGAGGTTAGCAAGTCCTAAAGCTGGGATTGTTGCTTGAGAGAAAAAGGAAGAGGAGGCGGAGCGCTGGCTCACGCCTGAAATCCCAGCACCTTGGGAGGCCGAGGTGGGTAGATAACCTGAGGTCAGGAGTTCAAGACCAGCCTGGGCAACATAGTGAAACTCCATCTCTACTAAAAATAAAAAATTAGCTGGGCGTGATGGTATGCACCTGTGGTCCCAGCTACTCAGGAGGCTGAGGCACAAGAATCACTTGAACCTGGGGGGTGGAGGCTGCAGTGAGCTGAGATCATGTCACTGCACTCCAGCCTGGACAACAGAGTGAAACTCCGTCTCACAAAAAAACAAAAAAGGAAAAGGAAACTCAAATGAAAACTTTTGCCGCAGGGCAAAGGGTTGGATGGCAGGGGAGGAAGGAAGCTGCAGGCCAGGGGCTGGGGGCTCACCTGTCAGAGAGCTCTCATTCACCATGCACTCGCCGGCCACCAGGGCGGCATCACAGGGCATCAGCCCACCCTCCTGGGGCAGCACCAGGCAGTCTCCGGGCACTAGCTCACTGGAGTCCACCCACTCTTCCTCTGCAGGCAGGCAGGAGAGGAGCTCAGCTAGGTGGGGCCAGCCCCAGCCATGCCCCCCCACCCTCCCACTCCTGCCCCCGCCCCCTGGGCCCTAGCTCCTCACCTCCCCCTGGCCGGCACACGCACACCCGCATGGACAACTTGACCATGTCCCTTAGAGTCTGGCTTTGCTGTGGGCAGGGGACAAGAGGGCCGTGAGTGGGTGGGGGCCCCTGGGGACCCACCTGTCCCGTCCCCACCCACCTTATGGCACTCACCTTTCTGGTCTTGTACAGCGACAGGCAGATGGAGATGGAGGAAATGAGGAAGATGCACAGGGCGTACCAGTAGTAGTGGTCAGCCAGCCACAGCGCGATGCTGAAGGCCTGGAACCCATAGTAGGGGTTCAGTGCCTGGGGGAGGGGCGGGAGGCAGCGTCAGGGCCGCGTCCCCCAGGGCAGCCCAGCCACAGGCTGGGTCTCCTGTGCCCATGGGAGCAGAGGGCCCAGTGGCTGCCAAAGGACTGGAGCCAGGCCTTTCTCCTGGTCAATCCCATCCCCACCCAACCAGACATCCCCAGGGCCCTCAGTTTCTCCGCTCTAAAGAGGACAAGGGTTTATGACCAGCCTGGGCAACATGGCGAAACCCCATATCTACAAAAAATACAAAAATTAGCCTGATGGGGTGGCCTGTGCCTACGCTCCCAGCTACTCAGGAGGCTGAGGTGGGAGGATCACTTAAGCTGGGGAGGTGGAGGGTGCAGTGAGCTGAGATCGCGCCACTGCACTCCAGCCTGAGTGACAGAGGGAGACCCTGTCTCAAAAAAAATAAACAAATAAATAAATAGGATAAGGGTATTTACTGAACCCCCACTACACGCCAAGTGCTTTATCTAAGTGTCATACAATGGCAATGACAATTCTACAAGGCCGGTACCACCATTAGCTCCATTCTACAGATGAGGAAACCAAGGCATGGACAGGTGAAGCCACTGGCCTAAAACCACATAGTTCCAGCCAGGTGCGGTGGCTCATGCCTATAATCCCAGCACTTTGCAAGGCCGAGGCAGGTGGGTCATCTGAGGTCAGGAGTTTGAGACCAGCCTAGCCAACATAGTGAATCCCCGTATCTACTAAAAATACAAAAAAAAAAAAAAAAAAAAAAATTAGCTGGGCGTGGTGGCAGGCGCCTGTAGTCCCAGCTATGTAGGAGGCTCAGGCAGGAGAATCACTTGAACCCAGGAGGTGGACATCGCAGTGAGCCGAGATCACGCCATTGCACTCCAGCCTGGGCAACAAGAGCAAAACTCTGTCTCAAAAAAAAAAACAACAAACAAAAAACAAAAAACCACATAGCTTCTAAGTGACAGACTGATTTCTATGGGGCCAGACTCAAAGATCTCTTTCATGGTGCCTGCCCCCGATCAGAGGGCTGGGATGTTCACACTTTATTCTAGTTGTGTCCAGGTCACTGGCTTCTCTTTGTCCCTGTGTGACCTTGGCCATGTCACAGCCTCCAACTGAAGCTTGGATTTCTCAGGTGTGAACAGTGCAGTCCCAGGCCCAACCCACGGGACTGTTGGGAGCATGAAAGTGGAGGACGCACAGAGAGGACCCAGGCTCTAGGGCGTGTCTCTGGGGACCCCATAGATGCTCAGGCTGCGTGGATTTGCCTCTTGGCCTCCAATCCCTACGAGTGGGGCCCCAATCTGTGACCCAAGCCTTGGGCAGAACCTCCAATTCCTGGACCTGGTCTCTCTGGCTAGGCTGACTGCGGCAGGTTCTGAGATGACGATCCACTATGGAGAAGGGGACAGCTGGTCTGGTTGCCACCGTAAAGTGGCCCAGAGGAGGCAAGCCCTGGGCCAAGGTCACACAGCACGCCAGGCAGGGCTGGGGCAAGACCCAGGGACAGCCCTACCTCGTCCACCAGCAGCTGGGGGTAGGACTTGACCGGTATGCTGATCACGTTGGGGCCGTAAATGGCCTTCCTGGAAGAGGGGATGAGGCCAAGCCATCAGAAGGAGGAGCTGTGGCTGGACCCTCCCGGGGTGAAGGAGCTCCCCACTTTCAGCTGGGGGAACTGAGGCCCAGAGAAGGCAGGTGACTGGAAGGCAACCACATTGGGGGGCAACACAAGGAGCCCCAGTTCTCAGGGCACCCCGGTCCAGGGCAGCACTGACCTCACCATTTGGTCCTGGAGGCTGAGGCCATGGCGGGAGCGGTGGACGTCGTCACAAGAGCGGCCATGGTCCAGGAGGCTGGGGGTGGGTGCGAGGGGACACGCATGGGCCATGGGGCCTGAGGTCTGCATCCCCCACCCTGTGCAGGCTGGAGACTATGGGCTCTAGGCCCCCCATCCCCGTTCTGCCACACTGAGCTCCTGGGAGCAAGTAAGCCCCCTTGAACCCAAGGCTTGGCTTTGCCCTTTTGTTCCTCTCACTGGGTTCCAAACCAAGTCACTGAAGAAGGAGAACAGCGAGAGATGATGCTAATAATATGAACAGTGAAAAGAGTAGCTGTTATTTAGTGATAAGGGCACTATTTACACTGATGATACCCTGGGCAAGTCACTTAACCTCTCTGTGCCTCAGTTTTCTCATCTGCAAAATGGGGGCAGTGACAGCACCTACCACATAGGGCCATGGGTAGATTAAGTGGGGCAAGCCTCGGGGACTGCTTTGGACGTGCCTGCCACTTGCTAAGTGATGAATGCACGGGTGATTTTTGCTATTATCCCCATCATGCAGCAGAGGCTGTTGCTGCCATCCCCATCTCCCCTCTGCCTCACCTCCACATGACAGCTGGACCCTGAAAACACCTGTCTTTACCTGAGGCCTTCTGGCTGCATGTGAATCCCCTGCCTGTGAGCCCGGAAAGCGTGGAAGACTTTGTGTCCCGTGACTGATAATGGCAGGGAATTTGATGGTAACTGTCCTCACTCCCTGTGTGAGGTCGCCCAGAGGTGTGTGGTCTACGCTGGCCCAAGGAGATCCCCAGGCGACTGAAGTCCGGGTGTCCACAGCTGTGGCAGCCAGCATAACCTCCCTCCGTGCTTCCATCCCTTCCCCAGCACTGCCTGGGATCAGCTTCAAAACAAACTCCCTGCCCTTGAGCCCTTGTCTGGGGGTCTGCTTCTGCGGCATTCAAACTAAAGTGTGTGAGCAGGGCCCGGTGGCTCATGCCTGTAATTCTAGCACTTTGGGAGGCTGAGGCGGGTGGATCACCTGAGGTCAGGTATTTGAGAACAGCCTGGCCAACATGGTGAAACCCCGTCCCTACAAAACATGCAAAAATTAGCTGGGTGTGGTGGCATGCACCTGTAATCCCAACTACTCGGGAGGCTGAGGCAGGAGAATCGCTTGAACCCAGGAGGCGGAGGTGCAGTGAGCCGAGAATGCGGCATTGCACTCCAGCCCGGGCAACAAGAGTGAAACTCCATCTTAAAAAACAAACAAACAAACCAAAAAAACCACACACACACACACACACACACACACACACACACACACACATACACACAAACTAAGGTGTGTGGTGAGCTTGTGTTTCTTTTTCTTTTTTTTTTTTTGAGATGGAGTCATGCTCTGTCATCCAGGCTAGAGTGCAGTGGCGCGATGTTGGCTCACTGCAACCTCTGCCGCCCAGGTTCAAGCGATTTTCCTGCCTCAGCCTCCCAAGTAGCTGGGATTACAGGCACATGCCATCACGCCCAGCTAATTTTTGTGTTTTTAGTAGAGATGGGGTTTCAGCATCTTGGCCAGGCTGATCTTGAACTCCTGACCTCGTGATCCACCTGTCTTGGCTTCCCAAAGTGCTGGGATTACAGGGGTGAGCCACCGCACCCGGCCTGAGCTCATGTTTCTTAAGCCTTTTGTAGGTGGCAGAGCAGTGACTAAACCCCAAGCAGACAGTCTGAGTACAGAGCTGATAGTCTGATTCACAGTGGTGTCACAACCTCAGATCACATTCGGTGCCAAGCTCTACATAAATTATTATCTATTTCACCATCAAAACAATCCTAGGAGGCAGAAGTTATCTTCATGCCCTATTTATAGACAGAGATCCCAGGCCTGGAGGGGCTCAGTAACCTGCCCAAGGTTTCAGACAGCAAAAGCATCAGAGCTGAGAGGGGAGCCCAGGCCATGCCATGCCACCGTCTGTGCCCAAACCAGTGCCACTCTGGGAGGTGACATGAGCCACACAGGCCCTGACTCCTACCTGACCTGGTAGAAGGCTTGCTGGGTCTCGATCCAGATATAGCGCTGGCCCTGGAAGAGGTAATACCGCAGCACCCGCTTCTGGGTGGGAGAGAGGAGAGGATGGGTTGGAAGCTGGCCCCGGCCCCAGAAGCAGTGTGCTTATGCTGGGAGCCGAGGGATGGGGGTAGGGGGCAGGGACTGGTGTCACCAGACAGAGAGGTGGGGAGAGGCCTGAAAGTGTAAACGTGCTCAGACAGCATCCTGGATGTTTGGGACAACAGAACTAAAAGGTGGTGGGAGAACATGAAGTCTGACTCTCCCATTGCACAGATCATGAAACCGAGGCCGAGAGAGGGGCAAGGACTTTTTCAGAACCCACCTGTCCGACACTCACCGCCTCCTCGCTCTTGTGGAGCTGGGCCGTATCCTTCCAGGCACCCTCTGGTACCGCCCCAACTGCCGCCTGGCTCCGGCCATCCTCTGCCTGGGACTGTGGGGACGGCTCCAGGCTGGGGAAGCAGGTGAGGGTTACTCTCGAGCTCTGGGAGCTGCCCTGGCACCTCCCTGTGCTCACAGAGCCATCTTCCCTCCCTAGGATGGGAGGCGCCAGAGTCAGCCTTTATGGGGGGGCCGAGGGTTGGGGAAGTTGGGGAGGCCAGGGTAGCAGGGGCTTCTGGGAAGGGGCAATGGGGCTGCCTCACCTGCCCTCGCCGATGGCCTCAGTCTGCACCTGGACAGTGAAGAGCTGCCAGGAACTATCCTGGAACACAGAGGTATGGACTCAGTCTCAGAAGAGTCCCCTCCCCTCCCAGGCCCTGTCCTACAGCCAGGCGGCCCCTGCTGGAGAAGGCAGAAATCAAGGCTATGGGGAGCCCTCCAGAAACCACCCGACCCGTCCCTTCTGCCCAATGCTCAGATGGGAAAGCTGAGGTCCAGAGAAGAGCGGGACCTGCCTAATGTCCCATGGAAAGTCAGTGGCCGGGTTGGCACCCAAGCATCCTCCACCCCCGACCCTGACCCTCACTGCGCTTCTCTAGCCCCAGGCTCAGCCTGACTCTCACCTCTTTGTCTCTTATTTCGATAACGAGTGTTTCGGCGTGGGCCAGGTTGCAGGGCCGGAGCCGCAGCCGCACCCCCCACAGGGGCTTCCAACGGAAGAGCAGCAAAGGGATCCCAGCCATCATCCAGACCACGACGTGATAGCCGATGACCCTCCATGGACTGCCACAGTAGCCGCTGAGCCTCTGCGAACGCAGCGAGAGAGGGCCCAGGTCGGGGTGGGAACGGGGCTGGAGTAGGAAGTTGGGGTGTCTGGGTGGGCCTGGGCATTCACCCCCTGCAGCTTTTCCCCACCCCACTCTGCCCACTTACCACGGATGAAACTGAGGAGCTGAGGGGATCTATTGATGTCCCTATCGTCAGGGTCCCATAACCGGTGGGCGTGCTGCCCACGAGAGGGCTGCTGTCTGTGGACAGAAAAGAGAAAGGTCATTTGGGGAGGCACCTTCTCCTCTTGCTTCCTTAAAAACAATAAACATCAGCCTGGGCGCGGTGGCTCACGCCTGTAATCCCAGCACTTTGGGAGGCCGAGGCGGGTGGATCACCTGAGGTTAGAAGTTCGAGATCAACCTGGCTAACATGGTGAAACCCATCTCTACTAAAAATAAAAAAAATTAGCCGGGCGTGGCAGCGCGTGCCTGTAATCTCAGCTACTCAGGAGGCTGAGGCAGGGGAATCACTTGAACCTGGGAGGTAGAGGTTGCAGTGAGGCAAGATCACACCACTGCACCCCTGCCTGAGCAACAGAGTGAGACTCCATCTCAAAAAACTAAACAAAACAAAACACAAAACAGTAAGCACCTGGTCTGACAGAGCCCAAAGCTCATGTCTTCCTGTGTCCTTTATCTGGCTCTTCTTTCCGTCGGTTCTTACTTACCGTATCTTTTTTTTTTTTTTTGAGACGGAGTGTCACTCTGTCACCCAGGCTGGAGTGCAGTCACTTGATCTCAGCTCACTGCAACCTTTGCCTCCCAGGTTCAAGCGATTCTCCTGCCTCAGCCTCCCGAGTAGCTGGGATTATAGGCATGCACCACCATGCCCAGCTAATTTTTGTATTTTTAGTAGAGATGGGGTTTCACCATGTTGGCCAGGCTGGTCTCGAACTCCTGACCTCAAGTGATCTGCCCACTTTGGCCTCCCAAAGTGCTGGGATTACAGGCATGAGCCACCGTGCTTGGCCAGTAGTGTCTTGTTTCCTTGCGTGTGTCGGTCTTTCTGCTGGGTATGGCCCAGAATTGGAGAATGGGGCCTGGACAGTGCCCCAAGCCCCCATGGTGCTCGTGCATCCAGCCATTAGCTTCCTTGGAGCTCTGGGTCTCACTTTTCTATCCTCATCCAGTCCCCACCCTGAGGGCAGGGGTCAGGGATGCTTATCTTCATTCCATGCCCGTGCCCAGCCCAGGTCTGGCAGTGAGGAGATGCAAAGTCAAGTCTGGACTAATAAACGGTCAGCCCTGCAGGCCTATCTTTACAGATGGGTAAACTGAGACTTGGGGAATGGTATCAGGTGGTTCTATTGCAGATATTCTTTTTTTTTTGAGATGAAGTCTTGCTCTGTCGCCCAGTCTGGAATACAATGGCATGATCTCGGCTCACTACAACCTCTGCCTCCCAGGTTCAAGCGATTATCCTGCCTCAGCCTCCCGAGTAGCTGGGATTACAGGCGCCCAGCTAAGTTTTGTATTTTCAGTAGAGACGGGGTTTCACCATGCTGGTCAGGGTGGTCTCAAACTGCCGACCTCAGGTGATCCACCCGCCTTGCCTCCCTGAGTGCTGGGCTGACAGGCTGAGCCACTGCGCCCGGCCACAGACATTCTTTTCACTCCTTCCTCCTGTGCTGTAGAGCTGTGGCCTTAGCAGGGCAGGCAGCCAGTGGATGTTCTGGGGCTCCAGAGCGGGTAGAGCTCACCAGCCCCACCCTTGGACAGCCTCTGTCAGGGTTCATCTACGGTCCCAGACCACCTGGAGCACCTTTTACATATGCAGATGCCAGGGCCCTCCCCAGACTGGCTGGATCAACTCCTCAGGCCGGGGTAGGGATGGTGCTAGGCATCTGTGGTTTCACAAGAGCCTCTGAAAAAGCTCACTAAGCTGGAAAAGCTGGGCGGGTGCGGGGTAGGCTGCTGATTTTCTGGGCTCCCTCCTTCATCCCCCAATCTGAGCCCTTCTAAAATTTTTCCTTTTTTTTTTTTTTTTTTGAGAGCGAGTCTCGCTCTGTCACCCAGGCTGGAGTGCAGTGGCGCGATCTCGGCTCACTGCAAGCTCTGCCTTCCGGGTTCACACCATTCTCCTGCCTCAGCCTCCCAAGTAGCTGGGACTACAGGCGCCCGCCACCACGCCCGGCTAATTTTTTGTATTTTTAGTAGAGATGGGGTTTCACCGTGTTAGCCAGGATGGTCTCGATCTCCCGACCTCGTGATCCGCCCGCCTCGGCCTCCCAAAGTGCTGGGATTACAGGCGTGAGCCACAGCGCCCGGCGAGCCCTTCTAAAATTTCTACCCAAAGAGTCCAGAGTGCCCCAGGCAGCTGCTGTGGGCACAGCACCCCCAGCCTCTGAGCAGCCCCATCCCCAAGCACTCTGGCTTCAACACTCCTAGAGGGCTCACTGTGCACAGGGTACATGGCTAACGTATCAACCCTGCCAGGTAACCTCGGTTGTGATGTCCTTTCATTCATTCATTCATTCATTTATTTACTTATCACTCTTGTAGCCTCGGCTTCCCAAAGTGCTGGGATTACAGGCGTGAGCCACCATGCCCAGCTTACAGTTTTCGTGTATAAGTCTTTTTTTGAGACAGTCTCTCTCTGTCACCCAGGCTGGAGTGCAGTGTTGCGATCATAGCTCACTGCAGCCTTGACCTCCCAGGCTCAAGCAATTCTCCCACCTCAGCCTCCAAATAGCTGGGACTACAGGCACAGGCCACCATGCCCAGCTAATTTTTTTTGTAGAGACAGGGTTTTGTCTTTTTGCCCATCATTTGTTCCTAAGAATTTCTTTTTTGATGCTGTGTTTCATACAGCAAGTGCCTTTGCCTCTCTGGGCTTCCATTTCTCATCTCTAGGATGATAGTCCCGAAGCATCCAGCACACAGGGAGGTAGAAGCATTTGAAGTTCCTGGGGGGGTTGCGTGGACAGGTGGGCAGGACCCGGCTCCCAGGTCAGGGGGGCGTGGCTTCTGCTTATCCATTTCCCAGGCTCTCTTCTCCTTTCACATCACCCTGTCTGAAGCCCTGGCTGTCCCACGGCTCCCTAGGCCCATTCAACAGTTGCTCCTTGTACCTTAAAACCCTCAGGCCGGCCGTGCGCAGTGGCTCACGCCTGTAATCCCAGCCCTTTGGGAGCCCAAGGGGGGCGGATCACGAGGTCAGGAGGTGGAGACTAGCTGAGACCATCCTGGCTAACACGGTGAAACCCTGTCTCTACTAAAAATATAAAAACCAAATTAGCCGGGCGTGGTGGCAGGCGCCTGTAGTCCCAGCTACTTGGGAGGCTGAGGCGGGAGAATGGTGTGAACCCAGAAGGTGGAGCTTGCAGTGAGCTGAGATCACGCCACTGCACTCCAGCCAGGGTGACAGAGCAAGACTCAAAAAAAAAAAAAAAAAAACCCTCAGGCCAACAGCCCAGCGGGCTCAGGGATGATGGGAAAGGAGCCATCCCTGCGGTGCTGATTTGATTTCCTCCCGCACCAACCCACAAGGTGGGCTCTCTTACCCAGTTTGACAAACGAGAGCACTGAGCCTCTGGGGCAGTTGCCCTCAGACTTGTCTCAAAGCTGGAACAGGGCTGGCCTTACTCCCAGGTCCTCTCTGCCCAGCACATCTACTCCTGACATTCCCCTCAGCATCAGGCTCAGATGGGTGTCACTGCCCTTACTGCTCACAGTACCTGCCATGTGCTCAGGGGTCAGGAAACACTGATTGACCGACTGACTGAATGAATGAATGTCTGTCTCTTGGACACAACAGAGCTTGAAGGCAAAGGTGCTGGGAGTTGGGGGGAGGGGCTTGAGCCTCTTCCTTTTTTTTTTTTTTTTTTTTTAAAAGAGACAGGGTCTCACTCTGTCACCCAGGCTGGAGCACAGTGGCATGATCCTAGCTCACTGGAGCCTTGACCTCCTAGGCTAAAGGAGGTACTCTTGCCTCTGCCTCCCAAGTAGCTGGCACTACAGGCAGGTGCCACTGCACCAGGCTAATTTTTTTTTAGTAGGGACAGGGTCTCATTTTGTTGCCCAGGCTGATCTTGAACTCCCGGCCTCATGCTGATCCTCCTACCTCAGCCTCCCAAAGTGCTGGGATTACAGGTGTGAGCCACCACACCCGGCCTCAAGACTCTTTATGAAGAAAAGGTTCTTCAAAAAGAGGGCAGAGTCCCCAGTATGTAAACAGCGGTCCCCCTGGGAAGTTCTTCCTCATGGCAATCGTATGACTGTCACTTCACAATGACACTCTCTCCGTCAACCTTGGCAAAGAGGAAAAGGGGAGTGGAACTTGAGGGAGGAAGTCACAGCTGTGGAAACCTCCAGAGCCCCTCCCTGCAGGGATCAAGCCCAGGGCACTCTCTCCTGCAGTACATCTGTTTATCCCCAGCCACAGCCCAGTCTCCCCAGGGCTTCTGTGGGCTCAGACCAGCCCAGAACAGGCACCCACAGGCTGTGTGGGGGGGCGAGAGCACCTTCATCATGGCATTGCTCTTTTTTTTGAGATGGAGTCTTCCCCCCCCGTTCCCCCCTTCCCCCCTGCCCGTCTCCCAGGCTGGAGTGCAGTGGAGAGATCTCAGCTCACTGCACCCTCCACCTCCCAGGTTCAAGCAATTCTCCTGCCTCAGTTCCTGAAGTAGCTGAGACTACAGGCACATGCCACCACACTCAGCTAATTTTTGTATTTTTAGTAGAGACGGGGTTTCCCCATGTTGGCCAGACTGGTCTTGAACTCCTGACCTCAAGTAATCCGCCTGCCTCAGGCTCCCAAAGTGCTGGGATTACAGGCGTGAGCCACCACGCCTGGCCTGTCATTGCTCTTCTGATGAACAGCAGCTCCCATGGAGTGCTCACCATGCCCTGCGGAAGCCCTTCAGTGTGCTAACTCAATGAAGCTTCACACACAACCCTCTGGGGTAGTGACTATTATTATCCCCATTGTACACCTGGGGAAACTGAGGAACAGCATGTGAATCCCTTGTCCAGGGTCATAGAGCTTGAAAGGGGAGAAGCTGGAAATGAGTGTGTCTGAATGGGCACATTCTTTCCCACAGCCATTCCATGAAAAGTACAGATTAGGATTCCCATTTAAAACGAGGCCCAGAGGAGTAGATTGACAAGCACAAAGTCACACAGCTATGAGGGGCCAAGACTGGACTTGAACCTCGTCTGAGGTCACAGCTCGGGGCAGTGTCACCAGCACTGTGGATCAGAGGGGCTAGAGCCATTTGGGACCTCTTATTTCCTGCGGAAGCCTTGGCTTCCTGCTGGTGACCTGGCAGCGGCCCAGGGCGGCTGCCTCCTCCCTGGCTGTGGTTCCCGGCGGCGGGGAGCTCCTGTCTTCTGCCAGGCTGAGGCGGGAGTGTGTGTGAACCATCTTCCCATCTTTGGATCTGGATTCTAGGGGCTGTCTTTCCTCATTCCTTCCCCTCCCTCGCCGGGGGGTGCACTCTAGGCTGTGGGGCTGGGGGCTGAGTGACAGACACTGAGATGAGACCTTTCTGGATAGGGGAGGAGGACTGGCCCCATTCCCGGCAGGTGGGATTTAAATTAGACCCTGGAGGAGTGGGCGTAGGACATCTGGCCAGGGATGGGTTGCATGGAGGGTGTGGCCCTTGGCCCTGGGTGTGACGGGTTTTCTCTGGGGTCTGAGGCAGGAGGTCAGGAGTGGCGCTGTGGCCCAGGACATCTACCCAGGAAATGGAGTCCCGACTCCCCCAACGCCATTCATTCATTCATTCAGCCCAGAGGGGTTGCCCAGAGGCCCGAGGATGCAGCCGTCTCCCCCACCTGGACATCCGTCACTCGGGGTGGGATCCGATTAAGTGGGCGTGGGGTGGCCTCCCCGTCCCCGCACGGCCCCAGGACCCTCTTGCACAAGCGCCCGGCTTCCAATCCCGCGGCTGAGGGGTGCAGGGGAGGGGAGGGACCGGCTGCGAGCGGCGGCGCCATCCCCAGCCCCGGCGTCTCTGGGAAGAAACCGGGGCCGAGTCCCCGTCAAAAGGGAGGGGACGGGCCAGGATCCCCAACCAGGTCCCGCTTCCTGGGCTCGCGACCCCGCGGTGGGGGGCGTCGCCTCCCCTCTCCCTCCAAGGGGTGACGACAACTGGCGGGCCGGGGACCGCGCCGGGCTCGGGGCCGACCCGGACTCCGCACTCACCTGCGCTCATGCCGGCTCCTCGCGCTCATCGCCGGCCCCGGCGCTGCGGCCCTCGGCCTGGGCCCCGGCGTGCGCAAGGCCCTGGGCGGGGGCGCGGTCCGGACGGCCCGGGGCGAGGGGCGCTGGGCTAGCGCGGGGCTGGAGCAGGGCTGACGCGGGCGGGGCACCTGGGCCACCAGGCTCGGCGCGGCTCCGACACTGCCGCAGTCCCTCCGTGCGCGCCGCAAGCCCCGCCCGGCCCTCTGCGGCCCTCGCAGCGCCCGCGCCGGGGCTGCCGGGACTTGTAGTCCCCGCCTGCTCCTCCGCACACACCGGGGGCGGGGCGACCGGAGACACACACCTCACGGAGGTAGCCCCCGCCAGCACGTCCCAGTGGTTAGGGACTGTGCGTGCTGGTCCAGCTCTCCATGTCTTCCAGGCCGCGCGACCGTGAGCAAGTCACTGATCCTCTCTGGCCCTCTTTTCCCAACCTGTAGGATAGCAATGCCTGCTTCACAGAGAACTGCTGCGAGGATCACACAAGAAAATGCTTGTCAACTGGGCGTGGTGGCGCATGCCTGTAATCCCAGCTACTCGGAGACTAAGCCAGGAGAATCGCTTGAACCCAGGAGGCGGAGGTTGCTGTGAGCCGGGATCATGCCATTGCACTCCAGCATGGGCAAAAAGAGCGAAACTCTGTCTCAAAAAAAAAAAAAAAAAAGAAAATGCGTATCAAGCACTTGAGACAGTGCCTGGCGCTGCTTGATGAATGCAAAGAAGGAAGACACACCTGCCCAGAGATTCACAGGGTCAGATGTGGGCCCACAGAGACCCAGGGAGAGTCTGCCATGATGCACTGGAGGCCTTGAAATGCCAGAGAAAGAGAAGCCTCACAGCGTGACCTGCAGACACACCTGCACTGGGGGGATTCATGAAGACCCCTGAAAGGCACCAGAGATGTCTTACCTGCGTGCAGCATTTATCCTGCTACCCCATAGTGACCGGCACAGGCATAGTGTTCCCTGTCTCCAGGACCTCTGGACAGAGGAGCTCCAAAGGGGAGAGTGGATCTGTGAGATCCTAGGGCAAACAAGGGAAGGTTCACGTTAGGGCCAAGGATAGACGTGGGCAGGATCACTGGTCATTTGTCCAGTATGAATTTATGGAGTGCCAGCACCACTGTGGGAGCCAGGAACGTGAGAGTGAACAAAACAGAGATGCCCCTGTCCCTGCGGAGACTGCTGTCTACTGGGAAGTAGCCCTAGTCAAGGAAAGGAAAACTCCAACGATCCCTATTGTGGAAGGGGCTGGAAGGAGACACAGCTGTGATGGTGGTGAGGGTGTGGGTAGGGGATAGACCCCAGGAGGGAAAGCAGCACCTGATTCATAGCAAGATCCCAGTGAACATTTGGTACAGGAACACACGTTGGCAGGACTTGCTGGTGGATAGGATGTGGGGGTGCAGGAATGTGTGGAATTCAAGATGCTCCCCAGGGTTTTGGCCTGAGCAGCTGGGTGCCAGTGGAGCCATTTACTCAGCTGGGGCAGGCTGCCCGAGCCAACCAGTTGCGGGTCATTCCTGTTGACCACCTGGGCCATGGGACTGGCTTCCTTGGGTCAGGTGACAAGAGTTCTTTCATCTTCCGGTGACACTTCCAGGGGAGGCAGGCTGCTTAACTTTTCAGAACTCCCATGTCCTCCCCCAGGGCTTAGCTCAATTTCTGGCAGGAACCCAGCCTCCAGGGCAGCAGGAAGGCTGGGTTTGGAAATGGCTAGCCCAGGTGGCCTTGGCAAGAGGCAGTATGGTACAGTGGCAAGGGGCTGGGTTCTGGCATCAGAAAGACATGGATGCATGAGTTGCTTTCTAGCTGTGTGAGCTTTAAAATGTCACTTTCCTTCTCTAAGGCTCTCCTTCCCCTCACCTACAAAATGGAAGGCATGGAGAGGATGAAATGAGATGGCAGGAACTTGGTAGAAGCCAGCTGCTTGCTTTAGATCCTGGCACTGGATTAGCGGCTTCATAAAAGCAGAGGTACTCCAGTCTGGGTGAAAGACTGAGACTCCCTCTAAAATAAATAAATAAATAAATAAATAAATAAATAAATAAATAAAAGCAGAGGGCTTGGGGACTGCATGGGGGACTGCCTTGCAAGGGTGCCCCCTTCATTCTTTTTATTGCTAAGGCTGCCTGGCCTTAAAGGGGCTCTATTCCCTGAGCCAGCTGGGAAGGAGCCGCACCTGCAGCTCGTCCCTTCTCCTTAATGAGGGAGGAGGCCAGAGGAAGCTTCCTTCCAAACCACAGAGCATGTGGGAGGCCTTGCCATCTGCTTGGGGTTACCTTTGGGGAAGTGGCTCTCGGTGTGTGGTCATCGAGGAGGTCTGTGGCCCAGGCTGTCTTCCCGGATAACCGTGTCTGAAATTTCCAGTCCCACGTGGGTGAGAACCGACTGAACAGCTTCCCTTCTAGGCTGTGGCTCTCTTGGGAACCCACGGAGAGGGCGTAATAGGCCTGGTCCCAGTGGCAAAAAGCTTGAGAAATCACTAATTTGGGCGAGTTTATTCCAGAGCATTGCTTTACTTTTCGACTTCTCTAGTTTCACTAGATTTTTGCAACAAAAGAGGATTTTTTTCACCTAGTAACAAACCCTGTTGGTAGGATTATGGCTGTCTAGACACATAGTAAAGTGGGGTTTCAGTTTTTGTTTTTGTTTTTTTTGTTTGTTTGTTTTGAGACAGGGTCTCTCTCTGCTGCCCAGGTTGGAGCACAGTGGCATGATCTCAGCTCACTGCAGCCTCGACCTCCTGGGCTCAAGTGATCCTCCCACCTCGGCTCAAGTGATCCTCCCACCTCAGCCTTCTGTGTACCTGGGACTACAGGTGAGCGCTACCACACCCAGCTAATTTTTCTGTTTTTTTTTTTTGTAGAGATGGGGTTTGCCATGTTACCCAGGCTGGTCTCGAACTCCTGTGCTTCAGAGATCCACCTTGGTCTCCCAAAGTGGGATTACAGGAGTGAGCCACTGTGCCTGGCCGAGTTTCAGCACTTTGTATGGTAGTTATCCTGGTGCCAGGAAGGGAAGGGGCCTGAAGAGAATTTGACCAATGGGAGTCCCTCCCTGACCTGAGCAGTGTGACGGGAGAGATGAGAAATAAGCAATATTAGCCTTGCACGGAAAAACCATCCTCCCAACAGGGAGGCCTCTAGCTCTGGCCAGTCATGTCAGAAACATGCCAGCTGTCAACTCAGGGTTGGGAAGGAATTACTCTTGCAGCCTCCCAGCATTCACTCGAGGGCCTTTCACATAGTAGGTACTCAAGACAAATCCGTTCACTTGAGTTTATGGAGCATTTACTCTACTGCAGGCAAGATGCTTTCACATTTACTTTTAGACTTCAACCATAATTCTGAGAGGGGAATGCTGTTAATTCCCATTTTACAGATAGGAAAATAGAGTCACAGATGTTCAACATGTCCAGAGCTAGGTAAGAAGGGATGGCTGGCTTCAGTCCTACGAAATTCTATTTTTATTTTTAATTTCTTTAGAGACAGGCTCTGGCTCTGTGATCCAGGCTGGAGTGCAGAGGCACGATCCTAGTTCACGGCAGCCTCTAACTCCTGGGCTCAAGCAATCCTCCCACCTCCCAAAGCGCTAGGATTATAGGCGTGAGCCACAGGGCCAGGCTGGAAGTATTATCTTGTAAATGAAGGCACACTGGGCACAGAAGTAGCATACAGGACAAAATACTGTTCCCCACACAGGTCTGCAGTTTTACTGGAAAAGCCTTTGTGACTGTTGCAATAGAACATTTGTCTCCAATTCAATGAAAGATTAAGCAGTAAATTAAACTATCAGTTGATAACATATACCAATTTAACTTGGAGTTCAACTGCGGAGAGTGACCATCAGAGTCAACCCAGCCTCTGATGACGCTGATCTGAAGTGGCGACTCCTAAGCTACACCCTGCCTCTTATCAGTTGTTGCGGACCCATCTTTACAAAGCATTAAGTTGTTCATGAGAAGCAGGGTGTGCTTGCCCACACCTGTAATCCCAGCACTCTGGGAGGTCGAGGCAGGTGGATCGCTTGAGTTAGAGATCAGTATGCTCAACAAACATGGTGAAACCCTGTCTCTACTAAAAATACAAAAATTAGCTGCGTAACGCCTGTTAACCCCAGCTAGTTGGGAGGCTGAGGCAGGAGAATCGCTTGAACTTGGGAGGCGGAAGTTGCAGTGAGCCAAGATTGCACCACTGCACTCCAGCCTGGTGACAGAGCGAGACTCCAAAAAAAAAAAAAAAAAAAAAAAAAAAAGTCATTCATGAGAAAAACCCATCTTTCCCTACAGATCTGGAGATTAGAAGCCAAGTCAAATTATCCATGAATCCAAGGAATGTGACCTTTCCCCAGGCTGATAGAAAGCCATTAGGTCTGAGCTGGGGAACAGAAGCTATCCACAGACATGGCCCGCAGTTCAAGTTCCACTGTCTTTCAAGAAGCCAGTGCACTCCACAATCTTAGGCTTCAGCGCCGCAGGGCCAAGTACTGTGTGTCTCACTGAGATAGTCAAGAATTCCAAGATGCTGTAGGGAGGGGCACACGGCCCTGTTCTTGAAATTTCTGATGTTTGTTCCTTTTCCTTTGTGACCTTGGCTCCTAGGTGGCAGGCAGGCAACAAATCTTGTTCATCCTTGTCCCCAGCACCTCACCTTCCATAATGCCTGAGACAGATGCTTGTTGAATCAGCCCTTTAAGCCAGAAAATGCTCATTAAGGCTCATTCTCGGTGAGTCACACGTTTTCTCAGCTGCTTGCCTCAGGATGCATGAAACCTTTGTTTTCCGGATGATCCAGAGGTTTCCAGCTACGACTTAAAAAAGCAGCCTTGGATGAAAAGGTGAATAGGGACCACCCGAATGTGCCTTAGTAGGGGAATGGTTAAATAAGGGTACACCCATGCCACAGTGCTCTTAAGCAGGAGTTCCAAAAATTTTTACATACACACACACACAGATAAGGGAGGTCTTGGCTGGGCACGGTGGCTCATGCCTGTAATCCCAGCACTTTGGGAGGCCGAGGCGGGCGGATCACGAGGTCAGGAGATCGAGACCATCCTGGCTAACACGGTGAAACCCTATCTCTACTAAAAATACAAAAAATTAGCCGGGCGTGGTGGCGGGCCCCTGTAGTCCCAGCTGCTCTGGAGGCTGAGGCAGGAGAATGACGTGAACCCAGGAGGCGGAGCCTGCAGTGAGCCGAGATCGCGCCACCACACTCCAGCCTGGACGACAGAGCGAGACTCTGTCTCAAAAAAAAAAAAAAAAAAAAAAAACACACAACAAAACAACAACAACAAAAAGGTAGGTCTTTATTAGCACTGAAATCCCTTCTACATTGTGAGGTAAAAATAGAGGCCGGGCGCAGTGGCTCACACCTGTAATCCCAGCACTTTGGGAGGCTGAGACGGGCGGATGACGAGTTCAGGAGATCAAGACCATCCTGGCTAACACGGTGAAACCCCGTCTCTACTAAAAATACAAAAAAATTAGCCAGGCATAGTGGCGGGCGCCTGTAGGCCCAGCTACTTGGGAGGCTGAGGCAGGAGAATGGCGTGAACCCGGGAGGCGGAGTGCAGTTTTTTTTTTGGGACTCTGTCTCAAAAAAAAAAAAAAAATAGCTGCTGGCAGACTATAGGATACCCCTTTATTTTTAAAATCTTTTTTGGTATGTTAAGAAAAAAAAGAGACAGGGTCTCACTATGTTGGCCAGGTTGATCTTGAAGTCCTGGCCTCAAGCAATCCTCCCACCTTGGCTTCCCAAAAGTGCTAGAAGCCACTGTTCCAGGCTTTTTTTTTTTTTTTTTTTTAAAGGAATGGGGTCTCACTATGTTGCCCAGGCTGGAGCGCAGTAACTATTCACAGGCGCAATCATGGCAAACCATAGCCCCGACCTCTTGGGCTCACGTGATGCTCCCACCCCAGCCTCCTGAGTAGCTGGATTAGGGGCACACGCCACAGCTCCTGGCTCTATGGTACCTTACTTTTGAAGGGAGAAAGTTTTATATATGCTGCATAACTGTAATAACGTAGAGTGTGGAAGGAAATGTCTAAGCTATCAACGGGATGAGTTTGGAGGAGCTTCCACTTTTACTTTCCCCCTTTCTCCTTTTTTGCATTGCTTTTTTGTTTTGTGGAGACAGGGTCTCACTCTGTTGCTCACACTGGAGTGCAGCGGTGTGATCTCGGTCACCGCAACCTCCACCTCCCAGGCTCAAGTGATTCTCCTGCCTCAGCCTCCCAAGTAGCTGGGATTACAGGCATGCACACCCACTGCCCAGCTAATTTTTGTATTTTTAGTAGAGACGGGGTTTCACCACGTTGGCCAGGCTGGTCTTGAACTCCTCACCTCAAATGATCCTCCCGCCTCAGCCTCCCAAAGTGCTGGGATTACAGGCGTGAGCCACCACGCCCGGCTGTGCAGTGAGCATGCCAGCCAAGGCAGCAGTGCTGTGGAGTTGATGTTTGCAGTGAGAGGCCCCACGAGGTCATTTGTGGAACTAACTGGATTCACAACTGACCAGGGTCATTGCTCTGTGCTGGAGGAATCTCAAACCTGGCCTCACCGACGTATCCAAAGACTTACCAAGATTTGGTTTTCAGTAATTCTGGTACTGAAAACTATAGAAACTGGGAAGATACAGAACACTAACACTAACTGAGTGTTCAGAATAAGTGCCAGGCATTCTCATACCAGATGAATGAAGTAGGCACAATTATGGATCCCATCTTACAGATGGGCGAATGGAGCAGCAAAGAGGTGAAGGAACTTGTCCAAGGTTGTCTAGCTGGTGAGTGGCAAAGCTGGGAACAAGCTGCAGGCCCTGCGTGATGTCAGTTCCACGGCTCATCACCTCCTTCCAGCTACGGTACCCCCACCCCCGCTCAGCTCTGAAGCCCTGTCCATCTCTCCAAGGACAAGGACTCCTGGCACCTTCACATTCCCCTGCGGCAAGTAAAGGAACAGGTTCTTTTTTTTTTGTTAATAAAGTAGAATAACATTTATTTCTTAAAATTTTTATTATACATGCTGTATTCATGGAAAACCAAGATCTTTAAAGGAACTCAAATTAGATATAAATTATGTTCAGCTCTGAGCTGGTTATAAATCATGTTTAGCATGGAAACAGTTAAACTGAAGCTTTCTTCTCCTTATAGGTTGCCATCATTTTCTTGATCTCTGCAATAGCTTTCCCTGGATTCAGACCCTTGAAAAAAGAGAAAAGAATCAATAACAAATGATAACTGAAACTGAAAGGGAAAACCCACAATCTTGGGTGAAACTCCTTCCTCAGCTGGTTCAGTGTCCAAGCAAGGTGAATGCAAATCAAGTCCCTCAAAACCATAGGGGTTGGGCTAAGGGCTCTCTTCTGTCTACCTTTTTTAACATTTGAAGATGGTCAGCTCCCTCTGGCAAGAGCTCTGCCACGTTGAATTCCTTCTTGTGTGGCTCACTCTAACAGGTAAACAGGCCCAGGGCAGAGGTGCACTCTCTGACTGCTCAAAGACACTCAGGGTAGTGTCTCTTCTAGGACTACAGGCCAATGTCAAAATCAGCCAGACATCTCTAAATCTTTTACATCATCATTATTAAATAGGCAGCAGCAGAAATCAGCATATACCAGCTCTCAAAAGTATGTGGAAGAAACTACCCTCTCTATTAACCCTTTGTAAAACCATGATGATTTCAACTGGCCAATACCATTGGTATTAGCTGCAGTTTGCCCCTACAGCTGTTAACATCTGCTTTGCAGGAGGCACAATAATTAAACCCACTGAATGCCAGCTTCATTGAAGTAGAAAGTAGGAAGTACTTTACCAAGTACTTGCTTTTACCAAGCAAGTACTTGGTAAAATGAGACAAGTACTCATCTGACGTTAGTGAAGGTTCCCCTCATTTTAGAAGGATAAGTCTACCCCCCTAAAAAAGTGTTGTGGAAAGAAAGAAGAAAAGGAAAGAAAGAAAAGAGATCTTGAGAGAAGAAGAGAAAGAAAAAATATATATTTTTTTGACAGGGTCTTGCTCTGTCATCCAGGCTGAAGTGTGATCATAGTTCACTGTGGCCTGGAACACCTGGCTCAAGTGATCCTCCGGCCTCAGCCTCTCAAGTAACTGAAACTACAGGTGCGTGCCACCACACCTGGCTAATTAAAAAAATTTTTGTTTGTAGAGATGGGATCTCACTACGTTGTCCAGGCTGGTCAAAAAGACACTCTTCATATACCAACATGGGATAATCTCCAAAATATAGTGGGTGAAAAAATACAGATAAATGTGATATAAGAAAGACAGAAGAGGACACATATGCATTTGTGTGCAGCATAAAACACCTCTGAAGTTCACACAAGAATCTGACTTCTAGGGAGGTGGCTGGGTGGAGTGGGAGGGAGAATTTTCACTGTATATCCTTCTGAATCTGGATCTACCTGTGTATTTCCGGTCCCCACAGGGTCAGTAAGGGTGTTTAGACTTAGAAGGTTGGTACATACCCAATCCATGCAGGAAGAAAGAGCACTGGATGGGGAGGCAGACGGCCTAACTCTAGTCCTACCTTCCCACTGACCTGACAGTGATCTGGGGCGAGTCACTCCCCTCCCCACCTGGGGCTCAATTTCCCCATCTGTATAAGGGGATTAAACTTGATGGTTTTCAAGTCCCTTCCAGTTTCATGATCGGCCTATGTCTATGTCTCAGTCCCAACTTCCAGCCCTGTTTTACAGAAGGGAGGGCAAGGCACAGAGAACCTGTTCTTGGCTGTCTCAGTTGTCTGCTGCACCCATCCCCTCCATGCACAGGTTTGTGACCAGGAATGCACCTTAGAGTCACTCGCAGAGCTTCTGAAGAAACACACAGCCAGGCCCCACCACTGAAGATGCTATCTCTGTCTCAAACAAGCCCAGTACTCATGTTTTTTTAAAAAATAACATAAGGTGACATTTATTGGGTGCTTACTATGTGCCAGGCACTGTTCCAAGCACTTTTATAGCATAACTTGCCTCAGAGGTCAGTAGCTATTCACAGGCACAATCATGGTAAACCACAGTCCTGGGGACAGGACCCAGATGGAAGCCCAGGCAATAGGGAGCTGAAGCCTGTGGGCTCCCCCAGCGAGGCCACTGGAAACACAGAGGGTTTCCAGGCAAAAAATAAGTGAATTCTACAGCTTGGATTTCATGTTTTCAAACACACAGTGTGATCTTTTTTTACGGCTAACTGGCCACCCTACAGTTTTCCACCTTGCCGCCCACTGACTCACTGCAACTTTTGAGTGAAATCACCCATAGTCTTTGCTCGGAGGGCAGCCGTGTTCTGAACCACACAGCCCTAGCCCTTCCCTGCCCACTGGGCAAGGCTGACTGGACCAGGGCTGACACCTGCTATGGTTTGAATGTGTCCCCAAAAGCTCATGTGTTGAAAACCTAATCCCCAATGCAACAGTATTGAGAGGTGGGACCTTTAAGAAGTGATTAGATTATGAAGGCTCTGCCCTCACAAATGGATTGCCATTATCATAGGAGTAAGTTCCTGATAAAAGGATGAGTTTGGATTAGTCAGGTGTGGTGGTGTGTGCCTGTAGTCCCAGCTACTCAGGAGGTAGGAGGATCACTTAAGGCCAGCAGTTCCAGGCTGCAGTGAGCTATGATTGCGCCACTGCACCCCAGCCTGGGCAACACAGTGAGACCCTGTCTTTTAAAAAAAACAGATGAGAAGGGCCGGTCGCGGTGGCTCACGCCTGTAATCCCAGCACTTTGGGAGGCCAAGGTGGGTGGATCACCTGAGGTCGGGAGTTCGAGACCAGCCTGACCAACATAGAGAAACCCTATCTCTACTAAAAATACAAAATTAGCCAGGCATGAGTGGTGCCTGCCTGTAATCCCAGCTACTCGGGAGGCGAATGCAGGAGAATCACTTGAACCTGGGAGGCGGAGGTTGTGGTGAGCTGAGATCGATCGTGCCATTGCACTCCAGCCTGGGCAACAAGAGCGAAACTCTGTCTCCAAAAAAAAAAAAGGCTGAGCTTGGGCTCCCTTTCTCTTGCCCTTCTGCCTTTTGCCATGGGGTAATACAGCACGAAGGTTCTTGTTAGATGCTGGCGCCAGCCTCTAGAGCTGTGCGTCAAATAAACTTCTTTATAAAATTACCCAGTCTGAAATTCTGTGATAGTACCACAAAACAGACTGAGACAGAACCTGGCCAAAGGGCAGCCGGTCTGTAGCCAGCTGTGGCCTCTGATGTGCAGGCATGAGAAGGTGAGCTGGGCCAATGCGACACCCTCTCAGGAAACTGTGCTGAGAAGGGCTGGGAGGCAGGCGGGTGGCTGAAGCTGGAAGTGTGCTGGGAGGCAAAATCCAGGCCAGAGTGAGCCAAAAGCAGCAGCAAATGCGAGCAGGAAGAGGAACGAAAGCCAGAGCTTTGAGTCAGAGAAAACCTCCACAGAGCCGAAGGAAAGAACAGGCTGCTAGAGAGCAGAGCAGATTAGCAGCTGACATCGCGAGAAAGATGGAGAAGAAATGAAGTCCTCACAGCTGCCCACGTTCCAACGGCTTTCGCTTTCTGTTTCCTGGGAAGGTTGAACGCAGGTACCTGCTCATGGGTTCCTCTGCATCCTTAACTCCCACAATGTCCCTGTGTAGCCTACAAATAAAGCCTGCTCCTGAGGTGGCCCGAGTCAGTCTACTCCTTGCAACTAAGAGCCAAACTAGCCCCTAGGCTCACACTGAAAGGACAGGCATATGCTGGTCCCTTTCCTTCTCAAATGACTAGGGTTGCTCTCTGCCAATCACCTCTTTGTGAGCACATGCTACTTCTGGCGTGTCAGCTCTGAGGCAGAGCTGAGGGTCACCAGCCCCACGTACCTTAGGACAGGTCCTTGTGCAGTTCATGATGGTGTGGCAGCGGTATAGAGAGAATGGGTCCTGCAGCTTGGCCAGGCGCTCCTCTGTGAAGTCATCTCTGGAGTCAATCATCCAGCGATAGGCCTGGAAAACCAGGGATGATTAGCTGAGCTGCCAATCAACAGGCCAGAGCGGCACCCTGGCTCAACTCAAAGCTCTGGGAGTGCAGAGGAAAGGGAATTCACTCAGCTTAGATGCCTCATCTCCATACTCTTTAATTCTTGTCCATCTTTCAAGGAAAGGTTCCCAACACTTGTAGCTTCACTTGATTAATGGTCCCTGCAAACCTTTGATCCATACTGCACCTGGTACCCGGGTGCTTAATTATACACACTGGGTATCATCTCCTAATTATTTCACATTGCTCAATAGCTTCCTACCCAGCTTATAATTTGGTGAAGGCAGGGACTGTATCATATAACTCTTATCTGTCTTCATGGCACCTACCCATGCTGGACTTGCTGTCTCTGAGTAAAGGAATGATTTAACAGACCTGTCTACAGATAGTATTTGTCCCACTTAATGATTCTTTGAACTTACACAGCGCTCTCAGCAGCCTGAGATCAGCAGGCTGAAACGAGTTAATCACATGACCATAGGCCTGCTCTAGCAGTGTTACTTAGAGGACCTCTACATCCCCAACTCGGAGCAGCTGGTAAAAGTGACAAGTATGAGTGTACTTCATTATCCAATCTTCACATGGCTGGGAATCAATATTGCTCATGTGGTCACACAAACCTGTAACTTCTCTTTTTGTGGGAAAATGAGAAAGAGAAGTTGGTTTTTGAGTTGCCTAGAGTCTGTGAAAAGCACGTATCTAAAAAAGCACAAGCTTTCTGGGAACAAAGACAGTGACTTTCTTTGCAGTGAACATCAATACTATTTTCTTTCTAAGCAACCCCTAAATCCAGGCTTTCATTAGCTGGGAAACAGCTTCCAATCTCATAGCTGGGCAGCTGCCCTTCAAAGACACTGCTTTCTCCCCTGCTTGCTCGCTACAAATCTTATGTTACAAATCCTATGAGAGGGAGAGGGGGAGCCTCTGACCACCAGGCAAACGGAAATACATTTTAAACATCTGCAAGGCATGGTTTGCGCCCCCTTGGGGTGACCCTCACTGCACTGAAACAAAGGCAATTTGCAGACAAGGCCCCAGATTTACCGAAAGCAAGTGAATACAATGCAACCAATTACCCTGTTTGGACTGGATGGCAATGAAGGAAACCAGGCCCCTCAGAATGGCTGGCTTACAGCAATCTATTGTCCTCTTGGACTTCTGGATGCTTGAGTTTCAATTTCTCTTAAAGCAATTAAGGAGCACCTCACCTGCATAAGAACTGCAGGCCCCAGATATTTGTCTCCGTTCCACCAGTAGCTGGGGCAGCTGGTGCTACAGCAGGCACAGAGAATGCACTCGTAGAGCCCGTCCTGTATGGGGAGAAAAGAGAGGCAGGAGCTTGTGACGGGAGAGACTCTGCTATGTCTTCAGCTGATTAAATGTTACCTTTGGGGTCAGTGCATGAACAAAGTGCCTACTTGCATGTGAATTTTCTTAGCAAAATCCAAGGGGTGATTTGCAGATATTTAGCAGATTAATAAAGATCTTGCAAGTGAAATGTAAACATCTGCCCAGGGTTCTTAAATCCACGTATAGTGCACTTTCCCTTTAATAAACAAGAACCTCTCACTTGTCTAAAAAAGAAATAGAAAACAAGAACACAAAAACAACTCCCATAAATTCCAGCTTCCTGGAATGAGGTCAAGACGGGAGAGATTCAAAAGCCTAGGGGCTGAAGCAGCAAGAGTCTGTAGCTGCTTCTGCCCTGGGCTCAGCAGAAGGGCCCTCAGGTTTTCACTGGGAACATCAACATCATCCCCAGTGACTGCCACTGCCAATCCTGACGGAGGCCCTGCGCCTCACACGCTTTCCTTAACTGATCATCACAGTAATCCTGTGAGGTGACTCCAGCAAGTTCCACTTACAGGTAAGGAACCAAGGCGAGGAGAGTGAGTTAGGCCATGTGCCCAGGGACGTGCCACTATAGGCAGCAGAACCAGGATGTGGCCCCGGCAGCTGGCTCTGGCTTCCTGCACTTTCACACCTGCCACACTGGGTCAATCTGCCCAACAAGTCCCAAACACAAACCGGACTTTCTGAGTTTGGAAACAACAGAAATGGATTAAAAACAGCAAAATGAAAGGGGCCCACTGACACCTGAAGTGACAGTTGAGAACAGATGAGACAGAACTGATGGTTGTGATTGAACCATGAGTCTTCAACCAAATCTATGTTATGTCCAGACAGCTGGTGGGAGTGTCAACTGGCCCCACTGGTCTAGAAGGCATAAGGTCACAGGATTAAGAGCCTTAAGAATAGTCATATTCTTTAACCCACTCCTAGAAAAATCTGTAATAAGAAATTAGAATGTTTTGGGCAGAACTTGAAGGATAAAGATGTTCATCTAGCCTTATTTCTAATAGTAAAAAATTGGAAACAATTTCATTGTCCAGCAACAGTGAAATGGTTTTATGGCGCATGGTGCATACATCTGAAGCAGTAGAAAGCAAAGTGTAAGTTAATGCTTATGAACAATTTTAAGAATATGAAGAAAATGCTCACAATAACATAAGTGAAAAAAGCAGGATATAAAAGCATATTTACATTTTGATCCCAGCTACATAAAAATATAATGTAATAAACAAAAAACAAAGGAAACTATAAATATTAACAGAGATTATGTTTTGGTGGTGGAATTATAAATTCTTTTTTTTTTTTTTTTTGAGACAGGGTCTTGCTGTGTGCCCCTGGCTGGAGTGCAGTGGCACAATCACAGTTCACTGCAGCCTGGAACTCTTGTGCTCAAGCAATCCTCCCATCTCAGCCTCCTGAGTAGCTGGGACTATAGGTGCATACCACCATGCCTGGCTAAGTTTTAAAGTTTTTGTAGAGACAGGGTCGCCCTATGTTCCCCAGGCTGAAAATTATAGCTTATTTAAAAAATGATGGAGCCTCTCTGAACCTATTTTGGTTTGGGGGCTGCCCAATTAAAAATAAATACATACATAAATTTCTCCACATTTTCCAATTATTTATTAAGTTCAGCATACTAATTTAAGGAAGCCAAAAAATGTTAAATGTTTGGTATGTAAATGAGTAAATGAGTAAATTTCTATTACAGGTTGGGCATCCCAAATCTGAAAATCTGAAATCCAAAATGTTCCAAAATCTGAAACTTTTTGAGCACCAATATGCTGCTCGAAGGAAATGTTCACTGGAGCATGGATTTCAGATTTCGGATTTGGGGTGCTCAACTAGTAAGTGTAAGGCAAATATTCCAAAATCTGAAAACATATGAAACCCCAAACACTGAAACCCAAGCATTTAGGATAAGGAATACTCAACTTGTATCTAGAAAACCAAACATGCTCAGGGGAACTCTTCAATCCCTAATAATACCACATCAGGGAGATGTTCACTAGCTACGCACCAGCCTTGCCTAGGAATGCAAAGGACTCGCTGGGCCAGAGGGCCCGGTTCAGCCTGGACTCTGGGATGCACAAGACTCTGGGAGGTAGAAACTGAGGAGCAGAGCTGCAGTCTGAGAAGAGCAGCTCTGAAGTCTCATCCCAGGCTTACTCTGACTTGCAGGCCACTGTGCTGACCCTCACTATCTTGATGGTGACAGACTGGGCACACTTACTAGGACTCCCCTTTTTCTCTTTTCTTTTTTTCTTTGAGACGGAGTCTTGCTCTGTTGCCCAGGCTGAAGTACAGTGGCACAACCTTGGCTCACTGAAACCTCCACCTCCCGGGTTCAAGAGATTCTCCTGCCTTGGCCTCCTGAGTAGCTGGGATTATAGGTGTGAGCCACCACACTCAGCTAATTTTTGTATTTTCAGTAAAGATGGGGTTTTATCACGTTGGCCAGGCTGGTCTCGAACAACTGACCTCAAGTGATCCGCCCACCTCGGCCTCCCTAAGTGCTGGGATTACAGATGAGCCACTGCACCTGGCCGGACTCCCCTTTCTTAACGTTTTATGGGCAACAGGAGAGGATGCTAAATATTTACCAAGTCTCAAAAGGTAGAATTAATTTATTCATTCATACAACTGATACTTTTCATATATTCACATATATGTATATGTTTTAGAGACAAAACCTGGGCTATGTTGCCCGGGCTGGCCTCAAACTCTCAGACTCTCAAACTCCTGGGCTCAGGTGATCCTCCTACCTCAGCCTCCTGAGTAGCTGGGACTATCAGAATGCACCACTGCATCTGGCCTTTTAAAAAATTTATATATATTTTTACAGTATTTACATAACTAATATTTATGGATAAAATAACATGCGCCAGGGCCTAGGGATCCAGAAAGGAAGAAGACACAGCCATTGCCCTTGGCCCTGTGCAGACCTGCAGGTGGGGCTCTGTCTCCATTTGGTCCCCTTCCTACCTCACGTCCACAAGTATGCAGGGAGTATGCAAATCAGAGAAGACTTCTTCGCAGAGGAGTAGAAGTAGTGTAGAAGAAGAAAGACTGAAAACTTGATAATGATGCCTCCGCTTTAAGATTTTACAGCTTGTACACAGGAATGGCAACTCCCAGAGAGTGAGCAGGCCAGGAATAATCCCACCCCACAGATCACCAGAAGTATGGTGTCAGGAAAGAATATCGATGACTCTGTTTTGCCATTAACATTTCACTCCCATTTGTAAAGCAGGACGGTGGTAGTTACAACTGGCCAGCATATGTGTTTCATTTTGCCCCCAGTGAGGGAACAGTTCTGACTTAGTGGTCACTTTTTAAAGCCCAGGCAATTTACATACTGGTTTCTTTTGAAAAAGATGGAGTAGCCACACAGCAACCACCCGCCCCTGCAGGCGGGGCACAGGGCTCTAGCTCCTTGGTCCACTCTGGGCCATTCACGGGTTCACACTACTCACCCGGCCCTAAGAGGATGAGTGCCCCACCCTTGTGCCAGTTCCTCTCCAGAATACACTAAATGGCTTGCATCAGCTTATGTTCCCTGCCAAGCCACACTCCTGGCAATCATCTTTGCAATAAATTCTTCAGATTGAAACAATAAATAGGGACTAATGACCAGTTTCTCACGCTCTTCTATGGACTGCAGATACTGCTGCTTGCCTTCCTGAGATTCATCCTTCTTCTTCAAATAAGGCTCAATGGATTTGTACTGTGCATAGAAGTTGCTCAAATCCTGTGGTTAAGAGGAAGAAGAAGAAGAAGAAGAAGAAAAGGATCAGATTCCATCATCACCTCAGCTTTATTTACCCCATTTCTTGGACACTGACTACTCGTCCACTCTATGCCAGGCAGAAGCCAGACTCTTTTCCTTTGTCATGAATATATGCAAAGATTACAAAAGGAAAAATGGTCACAATGTTAAGCATGGTTAGGAAACCTCTCCCTCACCTACTTGGGAAACCTGCCAATCCCACAGTCCTTTCTGCCCTTGAAAACACCACGTCAGCAAAGGTGTTCAAATATAGGGAGGTAGAAATTAAAGTGGGACTCATAAACAGCTGTTGCTTTCCCAACTGGCATTTTCCACATGATTTCTTTGTAGTTATGGCCAAATTATTCATTTCTGGGAATGTTCCAATTCTAAAATTCTGTGCCCCATTATTCTCAAACAAACCTCACCAAATGAGCTGCTGGAGGATTTTCTAGGCGTTTATCTTCTGCCATTCAAATTCTTTAATTAAACTCTGGCCACACTGTCTCAGATCTGGAGATTTTCCTAATCTCTCAGTGACACTGTGGTCCTCCTCCTGCCATAATATAGGAAACAGTCCCATCTATTTACTATCTGACTAGAAGAGGAGCCTTAAATACTCAAACAAATCCTGCCCTGAAAAACTAATAGCGTAACACACATAGCACTGCCCCCCATGCAAATAAAAACAAAACCAGAGAGATGCAGAAACTCACGGGAACAAGATCCTTTATCACATACATGTGTGGAAGAGGGTAGATTTTTGAGACCTTATTGAGGTTGGTGTCAATCCTTCGGGTGCAAGCTAGAGTGTTGCCTCCATTGATGTTCATTGCACAAGAGCCACAGATGCCTGAAAGAGACACACATTTAACACATCCTCACCCATATCCGGAATCAGTCCTGCCCCAAATACTTTCTTCTGGATCCTCCTTGCTGTGCCATCAGGGGCAGCACTGACATGCAACATTCCTCTGACAGAGGTGCCTGTTGGCTTTTCTCCCTTCCCTCCTTCTTCCTGCCTCGAATGTGGTTCTAATGGCTTGAGTTCCAAAAACTACTCTATGACCATGTGGCAACCTTGAGGTTAGAAGCCACATGCCAAGTATGGCACTGGAGGAGGCCAGAGGCCTGGGCGCTGCTGGCACCATGGAGTTTCCACAGCAGTTCTAGCTCCATGTGTCACGTGTTTTGAAGAAAAATCAGCCTGTTTTTTTTTTTTTTTTTTTTTTTTTTTTTAAAGAAAGGGTCTCACTCTGTCACCCAGGCTGGAGTGCAGTGGTGCAATCACAGCTCACTGCAGTCCTCAATGCCTGAGCTCAAGTGATCCTCCCACCTCAGCCTCCTAAGTAGCTGGGACTACAGAAGTAGCCCACCACACCCAGCTAATTTTCTGGTATTTTTTGTAGAGACGAGACTTGCAGAGACAGGGTTTTGTTATGTTGCCCAGGCTGGGCTTGAACTGCTGGGCTCAAGTAATCTGCCTGCCTTGGCCTCCCGAAGCACTGGGATTACAGGTCTGGGCCACCACACACCCGTCAAGCCTATTTTTTTTTTTTTTCTTTGAGAAGGAGTTTTGCTCTTGTTGCCCAGGCTGGAGTGCAATGCCGCGATCTTGGCTCACTGCAACCTCCGCCTCCCCAGTTCAAGTGATTCTCCTGCCTCAGCCTCCTGAGTAGGGGTGGGTGTGGTGGCTCACGCCTGGAAACCTAGATTTTTTAAAGCCACTGTTATTTGAACACAAATCTAACAGACACAATACCCAAAAGTAAAGTAAATCAACATTGTCTTGGTCATCTTAAGGTTGAAGTGACCTGGATACAGATTATTAAGAGATAGCTCTTCTTCTTTTTTTTTCTTGGCTGAGTCTTGCTGTGTCACCCAGGCTGAAGTACAGTGGTGGAGTCATAGCTCACTGTAGCTCACTTTAGCCTCAAACTTCTGGGCTCAAGCGATCCTCCCACCACAGCCTCCTGAGTAGTTGGGACTACAGGCACATGCCGCCATGTGCGGCGAATTCAAAAAAATTCTTTGTAGGTTGGGTGAAGTGGCTCACACCTGGAATCCCAGCACTTTGGGAGGCTGAGGTGGGCAGATCACTTGAGGTCAGGAGTTCGAGACCAGTTTGGCCAACATGGTAACCCCCTGTCTCTACTAAAAATATAAGTCGTGGTGGGTGCCTGTAATCCCAGCTACTCAGGAGGGTGAGGCGGGAGAATCATTTGAACTGAGGAGGAGAAGGTTGCAGTGAGCAGAGATCGCGCCACTGCACTCCAGCCTGGGTGACAGAGCAAGATTCCATCTCAAAAAAAAGAAAAAAATAATTGTTTTTTGTAGAGCAGGTGTCTCACTATATTGCCCAGGCTGGTCTCTAACTCACGGCCTCAAGTAATCCTTCTGCCTTTGCCTCCCACTGTGTTGGGATTACAGGCCTGAGCCACTACACTTGACAGAGGTAAGGCTTCTTCTATTGTCTTCATAAAATACGCAGCATAGTACCCTGGGGCTATGAAATCCACAAAAGCTGACTCAGCATGGACTTTCCAAAGAGGAGAAGAATGAACTAATATGAAACTGAGGCAAAGCAAAGCAAACTAAACAAAAAACGTGCTGACCCAGGACCCCGACATGAGAATTTTCTTAGCCTGGACCTACTTCCTGTATATGGAAATTTCCTGGGTGTTTTGGAATTTAAAAATGATTATGTACTCTAAACCTCTAGTGCCAGTCCTCTGAAGCTGTTTTTTGAAGATCATTAGGTCAGAGAAACCTGATTGCTTGAGAAAGTTGCACTGGTTATCATCTTTTTTTTTTTTTAGATGGAGTCTTGCTCTGTCGCCCAGGCTGGAGTGCAGTGGCACGATCTCGGCTTACTGCAACCTCTGCCTCCCGCGTTCAAGTGATTCTCCTGCCTCAGCCTCCTGAGTAGCTGGGATTATAGACGCCCGCCACCACACCTGGCTAATTTTTGTATTTTTAGTAGAGACGGGGTTTTACCACGTTGGTCAGGCTGGTCTCGAACTCTGACCTTGTGATCTGCCCGCCTCGGCCTCTGAATGCCTGGCCTCACCTTTTTTTTTTTTTTTTTAAATGGAAAGGGAGTCTATGTTTCCCAGGCTGGTCTTAAACTCCTAGCCTCAAGCTAGCCTACCACCTAGACCTCCCAAAGTACTGGGATCACAGGCGTGAGCCACTGCGCCCAGTCGGTTATCACTTTCATAAGACTAGAAAAGACAATAAGACTCTCCTTCTCCTGTAAATCTTAGAAAGAGTGTAAGGGAACCCAAAGATGTGTCTTAAGCAAATACTCCTAGAGTTCCCCAAGAGACTGGATATTATCAATACATTTATGTATACCTGGCATCCAACTAGAGCAGTTTGCTTTTACAAGAAATGGCATAAAAATTAAAAAAATAAATCCAATGAACTTTCTCTCAAAAAGGCTCCCTGGGAATTCTCTTACAAGATGGGAATTAAAAAAAAAATAAGAAAAACAAGATGGGAATAAAAAGGAGTAGCAATTGATACAATTCTGCTTTATTTTTTTTAGTCCAGATGGGTCACACCTTATGTTCTTGGCTCTGAAAGAGTCCTACAGGGAAAGGTTACTGAAAAGCATCTACCTTTCCTGTGTTGCCAGGACTTAATGGGGAAGGCTGCTGTTTAACTGCCGCAGAATGTTCCCTGAACAGCAGGACTCAGCCGAACTATCATAATATCCATCAGCATTTGCAACGCTAAATAAGATTAGCTGAATCAAAACAGATGTCTTAAAAGACTTGAAATGCTTGAAATGTACAGCTGAACAGATAAAAAGCCATGGGCCGGTATCAATACTGGCTTTTCCTTTTTTTTTAAGGTTTTCTTAGAAAAAAGCTCAGTGTCCTCACAGAATCAAGCTACTCTCTGCTTTTGTTTTATCCCAGGTGTTCCAAGCCAAGTCAGTGCCTGAGAGAGCAGATCTGGAGTCTGGAGTCTGACAGCTTTGGCTGACTCCCGGCTCTCAAGTCACTCTCTATGTGTCCTTGTGGAAGTCCATTACCCTCTCTGGGCCTCACCTTTAAATTGAAGGTAGATAATAAGCACAGTCATCTACCTCATGTCCAGTGCACAGAACAGAGCCGGGCACACAGTCTGGCTCCACGGACATCAGGCCAGTCGGTCTTCACTGCACCCTGTGCAATTTTTGCTATACCTGAGAACCACCTGAATCAACTTTCTTTAAAGTATCTCTTGGGTTTTCTTTAACTTGTTTTGCTTAAATTCACATTAAAAAACCACTTATATCCCTATTATACCATCATTAGTAATTATATTTTTCTTTTTTTTTTTTTTGAGACTGTCTCGCTCTATTGCCCAGGCTGGAGTGCAGTGGCGTGATCTTGGCTCACTGCAAACTCCACCTCCCGGGTTCCTGCCTCAGCCTCCCGAGTAGCCAGGATTACAGGCGTCCGCTATCACCCGGCTAATTTTTGTATTTTTAGTAGAGACAAGGTTTCACCATGTTGGCCAGGTTGATCTCGAACTCCTGACGCCAGCTGATCCACCCGCCTCGGCCTCCCAAAGTGCTGGGATTACAGGTGTGAGCCACCGCACCCGGCAGTAATTATATTTTTCTAATACAGAAAATGAATACATTGCTATTCATGTAGAAAATGTTAGTCTGCACACTGCCTCAAATGGGCTCATGTGGCACCAGCAGCACAAGTAACCACATGCTGAGGGAGACACTGTACCAGCCAATCCAGAACACAGCTACCAAGGACATGTCATGCTGGGAGCTGAGGGAGACTCACACATCTCCCCTGCTGGACAAGCATAAGTGCCAGACAGAAACTCTCCACTGCTCCCTTAATAAAAGAGCTCAGCAGCATGGAAGGTGCCAGCCAGCAGGTCCTAGCTAGGCCTTGAAGCGTGGAGCAGCTCACAGGGACCGCCAGATGCAGTAACCACAGGATAGAATGCTCCTGAAGGAAAGTAAACTCAGAAACCAGAACTTGCACCATGGTTAGAATTTTGGATGCATTTACCCAAGAAAAGGAATTAGGTTGCACAGCAAGTTCACCCAGCAGAGAGCTGCAGCTGTTTTCCAGATGTCTCTATCAGCTTTGGCCAGCCCAAGCCTCTTTGGAAGACCACAAGTATCTGGAGCCCAACAGGAATGAAATGCTCACCTTCTCTGCATGATCTTCGGAAGGTCAAAGTAGAGTCAACTTCATTCTTAATCTTGATTAAAGCATCCAATACCATGGGGCCACATCTAACAAAGAAAAATATCCAGTGGTATTTATGTAAAGTTCAACCTCCCTACACTTTATCATAATATAATCGGAGACACCTGGATGTATTAGCTTATCCATTTGGTCTTCTCAGGTCACCTTCGGAATTTGTTCTGTAGTTTTGTTTTTGCAGATTCTTACATTTTAAGTACTGCACAGTTCTATTTTGATGATCACAGTGCAAACACATTTCTAGGAAATGGAAAGCTAAAGTAGTAGTAGACAAGTATGACACAACTTCCATACAGTGGCCGAGTTTTTGTTTTTTACTTCTGAAGCTCCCTGCAAAGTTTTTCCAAATAATTTATTTCAAATTTTAGTTTGATTTTTAGGATGTAGACAATAGTTTTAAATAGTAATTAATAATACATAACCATAAGAGAAGACATAGTACAGAGAATAAAAGACACCCAATCACTCACAGTCCCCCAGTCAAATCACTGTGAGCCTCCTAGAACATACAAGGGCAGTGACATGGTACTAAGCGGAGCATCCCTGGGCGTGGGACCTGGAGTGCCGGCCTGGCAGCCAAGAGACTGGTCTGCACCATGGCTGAGCCACTTACCAGCTTGCAGGCAAATGATTTAATTTCTGCCTAGGCATTTAATCCACTGAGTGCAGAGAGCAGCACCTGCATCCCACAGGATTGCTGGAGGTGAGTTAATACACACGAGATCTTTACAGCAGCATCTGACATATAAATCATAGTTTAACTATAATAATCATCATGCAGAAACTGTGATTCTACGGAAATTACTCTCTGAACCTCAGTTTATCTGTAGAGTTAATATTTACACCACAGGGTTACTGTGAAAATTACATAAAAATATGTAATTTTTCATAGTACCTGGCATACAGTAAGTGCTCCACAAATCTATTTTCTGGTTGCCACCCTGCCCCCATTCCACTCACTAATTTTCTATGCATGAGATTAAAAATATACTTAAAAATACGCCATTTGCTTTAGTACTATCTGTATTTCATTTTTTTTCTTTTTTTTCTTGAGACGGGGTCTTGCTCTGTTACCCAGGCTGGAGTGCAGTGGCACGATCTCAGATCTGTAACCTCCGCATCCCAGCCTCAAGAGATCCTCCTGCCTCAGCCCCCCAGTAGCTGGGACTACAGGTATGTGCCACCACATCCAGCTTAATTTTTGTATTTTTTTGTAGAGGTGGGATTTCGCCATGTTGCCCAGGCTGGTCTCTAACTCCTGGACTCAAGTGATCCTCCTGCCTTGGATTCTCAAAGTGTTGGGATTATGGGTGTGAGGCAATGGTGCGATCTCGGCTCACTGCAACCTCTACCTTCCGGGTTCAAGCGATTCTCCTGCCTCAGCCTCCCGAGTAGCTGGGATTACAGGTGCATGCCACCACACCCGGCAAATTTTTGTATTTTTAGTAGAGATAGGTTTTCCCATGTTGGCCAGGCTGGTCTCAAACTCCTGACCTCAAGTGATCCACCTGCCTCAGCCTTCCCAAATGCTGGGATTACAGGTGTGAGCGACTGCGTCTGGCCCATTATCTGTATTTGTATCAGCACTATGTAGACGTCCTTTCTGCTGGACCTCTGCTAACACTGGGAATTGGAAGCTTTAAAAACCTTTGCTATTCTGATACTGGAGAAGTGTTATTGTTTTCAGTGTTTTAAATCGAGACTTTTGAATACTACATAGGTTGAATGTTTGTCATAAATTTACTAATTTTTCTTTATTTCCCAATTATTTATTGAACATTTACTCTGCCAGGTTCTGTTCTAGATGCTGGGGATGTAGCAGAGAATAAAAGAGACGAATACCACCTGCCCGCACAAAGCTCTGTTCCAGAGGACTCATTCTAGAGACTCAGTCTGTCCACATTCTTTGCCTCTGTTTACCAGGGTCTTGGAAATTCTTTTTCATGATCTGAGGCTCTTATATATTATATCTGTTGCCATTTCTGCTTCCTCCCTCACTGCCAATAGTAATGTGCTATTTGACTTCTAATTTTGGTAACAGAATTTTAAACATACATGAGTTAAATGTTTACATTAATAAAGGTGGCTATTCTTTCTTTTATAACATTATCTATCACTTTTAAGCCTAAACAGACCACTGCCCTTCCTGAGGTCTGATAAATACTTTACGTTTTTTTCTACTTAAAAAAAATTTTAAGTTACTCCCCTAAAACTGCAAAAACTGTATCAGTTGTCCCAAATCACTGACTAAATCCTCTTTTGCTTCTTATTTGTAATACCTTTCTCCCATATTTAATACTGGGAACTTAGATAAAATTGAGTCTGTTTTGTTGCTACATTTTTATTCTAATGATCTGCCTGTTCTTGTCCTAGCATATTTTAAATGACAACAACATCTTTGTTTTTTTTACATTACAAAGGCTAATATTTGCAGCCTATAAAAATTTCAAATTGGCCAGGTGGGTGGCTCACGCCTGTAATCCCAGCACTTTGGGAGGCACTTTGGGAGGCCTTGGCGGGTGGATCATGAGGTCAGGAGATTGAGACCATCCTGGCTAACGTGGTGAAACCGTCTCTACTAAAAATACAAAAAATTAGCTGGGTGTGGTTGCACGTGCCTGTAGTCCCAATTACTTGGGAGGCTGAGGCAGGAAAATTGCTTGAACCCCAGAGGCGGAGGTTGCAGTGAGCCGAGACCGCACCACTGCACTCCAGCCTGGGAGACAGAGCGAGACTGTCTCAAAAAAATAAATAAATAAATAGATAAATAAATAAATAAATTCAAATCAAAGGTAAAAAGTAATCCTGCAGATCATACTGGGACAGAGAAAAATATTAAAAAGTCAAAGTCCTCTCTTTAAGCTGTTTCATGCTAAATTTCCTAATAGGTAGGGCTCATTAAAGAGTACAACATAAATTTTCTCAGATTTTACATAGATACCAAAATTGTTTGATATTCTGGGTCCCTTGCATTTCTATAAGATTTTTAGAATCAACTTGTCAACTTCTGCAGAAAAGGCAGGTGGGATTTTGATGGGGATTGCAATGAATCTGGAAATCAATTTGGAGACCACTGCCTCCTTAACAACATTAAGTCTTCCAACCCACAAACAGGGCATGTCTTTCCATTTATTTATGTCTTCTTAAATTTCTTTCAACAATGTTTTACAGTTTTTCAGCATATAAGTCTTTTACTTATTTGATTTTTGAGACAGGATCTCACTCTGTCGCCCAGGCTGGATGGAGTGCAGTGTTGTGATCACAGCTCACTGCAGGTTTGACCTCCCAGGCTCAAGTGATTCTCCCACCTCAGCCTCCAAGTAGCTGGGACTATAGGCACAGGAAGGTCATCAAGCCCAGCTAACTTTTTTTGTAGAGATGGGGTTTTGTCTTGTTGCCCATATAATTTGTTCCTAAGAATTTCTTTTTTGATGCTGTTATATGGAAAATAGTTTTTAAATTTCATTTTAGGATTGTTCATTGCTAGTGTATAGAAATCCAATTTTTGTTTTTTTAACAGTACTTACAGGCTTTTTTCTAGGTAAGCAGGGTTTTACATATATAAATATAAATATTTATATAAATATGAATATATAAATATAAATATTTATATAAATATGAATATATAAATATAAATATTTATATAAATATGAATATATAAATATAAATACATATATAAATATATATGTATACACACACACACACACATTTTTTCTGTAGAGACTAAGTCTTGCTATTGTTGCCCAGGCTGGTCTCAAAACTCCTGGCCTCAAGCAATCCTCCTGCCTTGGCCTCACAAAGAAAGTGCTAGTATTACAAGTGTGAGCCACCATGCCTAGCCTAGAAAAATACATTTATCTGCTAATATCTGCTACACGCCAGTATTTTCAGAAAAAGAATTATGCTGTTGTGAAAATGAAAGAATATAGCTATTTTTTGTGTGTGTATACATAGCTACAAAGTAGGGTTTCAGAGTCGGATTAGAAGGAAATAGAACTATAATTAAAACATGGTACAATATAAAATGAAGACTGACAGACATAGGTTGAAATAAACATGGACAAATTATGCATAATAAAAAACTAAACTACATTTGATTTCTGTATACCAGTTTTGTGTCCTCCAACCTTGCTGAATTTGTTCATTAGTTCTAATAGTTCCTAGGGGGCAATGTCTTATATTTTCTTTTCTTTTTTTTTTTTGAGACAGCGTCTCCCTCTGTTGCCCAGGCTGGAGTGTAGGGCATGGAATCATGGCTCACTGCAGCCTCGACCTCCTGGGTTCAAGTGATCCTCCCACCCCACCCTCCCAAGTAGCTCGGACTACAGGAGTGTGCCACCACACCTGGCAAATTTTTTGAGACACAGTCTTGCTCTGTTGCCCAGGCTGGAGTGCAGTGGCGTGATCTTGGCTCACTGCAACCTCTGCCACCTAGGTTCAAGCAATTCTTGTGCCTTAGCCTTCCAAGAAGCTGGGATTACAGGTGTGTGCTACCATGCCTGGCTAATTTTTGTATTTTTAGTAGAGACAGGGTTTTGCCATGTTGTCCAGGGTGGTCTTGAACTCCTGGACTCAAGTCATCTGCCTGCTTTGGCCTCTCAGAATGTTGGGATTACAGGCGTGAGCCATCGCACCCAGCCTGGCTAATTTTTTGTTTGCTTTTTTGTAGAGATGGGGGTCTCATTTTGTTGCCCAGGCTGGTCTCCAACTCCCAGGCTCAAGCAATTCTCCTGCTTCAGGCCAGGCACAGTGGCTCACACCTGCAATCCCAGCACTTTGGGAGGCCGAGGTGGGCAGATCACCTGAGGTCAGGAGTTCGAGACCAGCCTGACCAACACGCAGAAACCCCATCTCCACCAAAAATACAAAAGAATTAGCTGGGCGTAGTGGCAGGCGCCTGTAATCCCAGCTACTTGGGAAGCTGAGACAGGAGAATTGCTTGAATCCGGGAGGCGGAGGTTGCGGTGAGCCAAGATTGTGCCATTGCACTCCAGCCTGGGCAACAAGAGCGAAAACTCTGTCTCAAAAAAAAAAAATTCTCCTGCTTCAGCCTTCCAAAATGCTGGGATTATAAGCACAAGCCACTGAGCCTGCCCAAGGTTTTGTGTAAAAGATTATGTTATCTATGAGAGACAGTTTTACTTCTTCTTTTCCAATTTCCTTTTCTTTCTTTTTCTCACCCAATTTCCCTGGCTAAGCCTCCAGTAAAATTTTGAATGGCTGATGTTAGCATAAATAGAATTATCTGTAGCCATTGAAATACACACACACACAAATAGTATTTTGCATATTGACCTTACATCCTGCAGCCTTGCTAAATTTACTTATTCTTTTAGTTTTGTAGACTCCCTGAAATTTTCTATGTAAACAATCATGTTACCTGTGACTACAGTTAGTTTAATTTCTTCCTTTCCAAGCTTACATATGCCTTCTACTTCTTTTACTTGCCTTTCATGGACTGGCTAGAACCTTCAGTACAATGTTGAACTCAAATACAGAGTGGACAACCTTCCTTATTCCTGATCTTATGGGGAAAGTGTTCAATATCTCACAATAAAGTATGCTATTAGCTGTGATTTTCACAGTCTTCATCTGGCTGATGAAGTTCCCTTCTTTTCCTATTAGCAGTTATTATTTAAGTAAAATTAGGACTATTCCTTTTAATTCAAATTCCTTATAGTTTTATTTATTTATTCTGTTAAAATATACACACTGTGAAAATTATTTAACCCATTATCATTTTTAAAAATCATGAATGAGTGTTGAATCTTGCCAAATGCTTTTCTGCATATATTAAAGCAATCAAATGGGTTTTCCCCCTTTATTCTGTTAATATGGTGAATCACATTGATTTTCAAATGTATTTCTTTATTTTTTCTTGCGCTTTTTCTTGCACTTAAAACAGCATATGGTTGGGTTTTGCTTTTTTTAAAAAAATCTATTCTGACACTGTTGGCTTTTTAACTGGGAGTATTTAATAGTTTTTACATTCAATACAGTTATTGACGTGGCCGGATTTAGGTCTATCATTTTACTATTTGTTCCATCATTTTGCTGCTGTTCTCTTCTTCTTTTCTTATTCTAAGTAATATTTTTAGACTAAGTAAATATTTTTAGAAATCAATTTTAATTTATATATTGGCTTTTTAGCTATATCTCTTTGCATTTAAAAAAATAATTACTCTTGGCTGGGCATGGTGGCTCACACCTGTAATCCTAGCACTTTGGAAGGCTGATGCAGGAGGACTGCTTGAGCCCAGGAGACCAGTGTGGGCAACATAGTGAGACCCTGTCTCTACAAAAAAAAAAAAAAAAAAAAAAATTGGCCAGGCATAGTGGTACATGCCTGTAGTCCCAGGGACATGGGAGGCTGAGGTGGGAGGATTGCTTGAGCCTAGGAGGTCTCAGGGAGGGAGGATTGCTTGGTTGAGCCTGGGAGGGTTTAGTGAGCCATGATTGTGCCACTGCCTTCCAGCCTGGATGACAGAGTGAGGCCCTGTCTCAGAAGAAGAAAAAAAGTTACTCTAGAATTATACTTTACATAATTTACATCTTTAACTCTTTATACCTGTTTAGAGTTACTATTGTGCAACTTTATGTAATGCAAGAATCCTGCTACATTATTATAGGTCTATTTACCTGCTGTTCCCAGCCCCTACGCTATAGTTATCATATGCCTTACATCTATGTGAGTTATATATTACAGAATATAATATAATAACTTTGCTTTAAACAGTCATATTAATTTTAACAAAATTAAGAGGAAAAATCCTTTTATATCTACTATGTCCAGCGCTCTTCATTCCTTTTCTAAGAGCCAAGTTTCCACCTGGTATTATTTTTCCTCAGCCTGACTAACTTCCTATAGCATTTCATGTAGTACTGGTCTTCTGGCCATGAATTCTTTTCTTTTCTGTTTACCTGAAAATGTTTTTATTTCATAATCATCTTGAAGAATCTTTTTTTCTGAACGTGGAATTCCAGGCTGACAATTTTTCTTTTAGTACTTTAAAGATGGTATTTCACTGTCTCTTGGCCTCTAGTTTCTGATGAGAAGTCAGCAATTTTTCACCTGGTTTCCTTGTATGTAACATGTTGTTTTTCTCCAGCTGCTTTCAAGATTTTCTCCTATTTTTGGTCGTCAGCAACTTGACTTCATGGAACAGGGCATAGTTTTATTTTTATTTACCTAGTTGGGGTTCACTAAGCTTCTTGGATATGTAAATTATGTCTTTCATGGGCTCAGGAAATTCTTGGCCATGAGTTCTTCAAATAGATATTTATTTTGCCTTTTCTTTCTCTCCATTTTTTCTGGAAGTCCAATTACATGTGTGTTACATCCATCCATCCACTCACCCATGCATGGTCTTACTCTGCTGCCCAGGTTGGAGTACAGTGGCACAATTATAGCTCATAGCAGCCTCAAGTTCCTAAGCTCAAGCTGTCTTCCTGCTTCAGCATCCCAAGTAGCTAGGACTACAGGTATGTGCCACCACGCCTGGCTAATTTTTCAAAGAAAAAATTTTTTTAGTAGAGACAAGGTCTCACAGGTTGCCCAAGCTGGTCTTGGACTCTTGGCCTCAAGTGATCCTTTTGCCTCAGCTTCCCAAAGTGCTGGGATTACAGACATGAGCCACCATGCCTGCCCTAGACCTTTTGATGCTGTTCCATAGATCACAGGAGCGCTTTCCCTTTTCAAAAATCTTTCTTTTTCTTAAGAACAGATAATTTCGGCCGGGCATGGTGGCTCACGTCTGGAATCCCAGCACTTTGGGAGGCCGAGGCGGGTGAATCACTTGAGGTCAGGAGTTTAAGACCAGCCTGCCAACATGGCGAAACCTTGTCTTTACTAAAAATACAACAAATTAGCTGGGCGTGGTGGTGCACGTCTGTAATCCCAGCTACTCAGGAGGCTGAGGTGGGAGAATCGCTTGAGCCTGGAAGGCAGAGGTTGCAGTGAGCCAAGATTGCGCCACTGCACTCCAGCCTGGATGACAGAGCAAGACTCCGTCTCAAGAAACAAACAAACAAACAACAACAAAAAACTATATAATTTCTATTAATATTTTTAAGTTTGCTGATTCTTCTTATTGCCATTTCCAATCTGCTGTTAAGGCCATCCGGTAAATTTTCCTTTTCAAATATTATATTTTTCAGTACTAGATTTTCCATTTGGCTTTTCAATAGTTTCTACTTCTCCACTGAAATTTCCTATTTCATTATGAGCATAATTTCCTTTATCTATGAGGAAATTTAAAAATTCTTTAAATTCCACTGGGCGCGGTGGCTCATGCCTGTAATCACAGCACTTTGGGAGGCTGAGGTGGGTGGATCACCTGAGGCCAGGAGATCAAGACCAGCCTGGCCAACATGGCGAAACCCCAACTCTACTACAAAAATTAGACGGTGTGTGACGCGCGCCTGTAGTCCCAGCTACTCAGGAGGCTGAGGCAAGGGAATCGCTTGAACCCGGGAGGCGGAGGTTGCAGTGAGCCAAGATCGCACCACTGTACTCCAGTCCAGGTGACAGAGTGAAACTCAGACTCAAAATAAAAAAATAAAAAAGAAAAAAAAGAAAAATTAATATGCTGTAGAGAATCTGGATTGCATTATGTTTTTCTGAAAAGTGTGGATTTTAAAATTTTACACAGGCAATTAATATGGCTGCACGCAAGATGTGGGCAGAGTTCATGAACAGCATTTAGTGCTCCTCCTCTGTGTTTCTCTTCTTTCTAGGCTTTCCCCCTCATTTCCTAGTGGTTGTGGAAGGCCCAAAATGTGTCTTCTCGTTATTCAAGCTAAGATTTTTTTTTCTTTTTTTTTTGAGACAGAGTCTCACTCTGTTGCCCAGGCTGGAGTGCAGTGGTGTGATCTTGGCTCACTGCAACCTCCGCCTCCCATGTTCAAGTGATTCTCCCCCATTAGCCTCCCAAGTGGCTGGGATTACAGGCATGTGCCACCATGCCTGGCTAATTTTTATATTTTTAGTAGAGATGGGGTTTCACCATGTCGACCTGCTTTGGCCTCCCAAAGTGCTGGGATTACAGGCATGAGCCAATGCACCCAGTCGGATTGTGGTTTTCCATCCAACTGTTAGTCCCGTTACTTCCCATACCAACTTGGACTTGTCCTCAGCAAAATCATGTAAGAGTAAAATGGTAATTTGTCCAATGCCATTTCATTCTTCCAAGTATCAACTCCCCTCCAATGTCTGCCCACTCGTGGTCCTTCTCTACTGTTCAGGCAGTTGTTTCTTATATTTTTTTCCGGAGTTGATCATTGTTATTTGTAGGAGGGTTAGTCTGATGAGAGCTACTGTGACAAAACTGGAAGTAAACCCAAAGATTCTTTAAATTTTTTATCACTAAAAAATCGTTATGGGCTGGGTGCTGTGGCTCATGCCTGTAATCCTAGGACTTTGGGAAGCTAAAATGGGTGGATTGCTTGAGCCCAGGAGTTTGAGACCAGGCTGGGCAACATAGTGAAACTCAATTTCTACAAAAAATACAAAACTTAGCTGGGTGTGGTGGCATGTGCCTATAGTCCCAGTTACTCAGGAGGATGAGGCAGGTGGATTGCTTGAGCCTGGGAGGTTGAGGCTACAGTGAACCGTGAGCATGCCATTGCACTGTAACCTGGGTGACAGCGAGACCCTGACTCAAAAAAAAAGGAATTTAACTCTTCCAGTTTTAGCCACATTCTCTGACATTCTCTAAGTTTTGATTTGCAACGTCTTTATTTTCTAAGTATCTGGCAATATTTTTTACGTGTTCCTGATCAAATAGTTAGAAGTGTACTTTTTTTTAGTTTCTAAGCAGTAGGGTTTTTTGTTTTATGAGTTTTTTTTTTTTTTTTTTTTTTTGAGACAGAGTCTTGCTCTGTCACCCAGGCTGGAGTGCAGTGGCACGATCTCGGCTCACTGCAACCTCCGCCTCCCAGGTTCAAGTGATTCTCATGCCTCAGCCTCCCAAATAGCTGGGATCACAGGCACCTGCCACAACGCCCAGCTTATTTTTATATTTTAGTAGAGATGGGGTTTCACCATGTTGGCCAGGCTAGTCTTGAATGCCTGACCCCGAGTGATCCACCTGCCTCGGCTTCCCAAAGTGCTGGGATTATAGTCATGAGCCACCGCGCCCGGCCTGTTTATATTTTTAATATGAGTTTAGTTTTATTGTATTTCGGTCCAAAACTGTGGTCTGTGCAATTTCTATTCCTTTGAATTTTGCTAGGGACTTTTGGTTGCTGAGTATTTGAAAATTTTGTCTATTTAAGAAGGTTATATATCAATTAATGCTACCTCATTAACAGCACTTACTTGTCACCACAGAAAGTCAAAGTAAGCATTTAGAGTATTCGTGGTATTCAAACTTTTTTTTGGTGCCACAGAAGCTTTTGTTTGAAACAAATAAAACACTTATTCACTTACACATAAAACAGATCAGAGAACAGTTCTGGTTATATGGGGGCGTGGAGTGGAGCAGCAGGAGGCTAGAGACTAACTTGCTAGATTCTTTCTTTTCTTTGGCTAACTGTGGAGTTCCTTAAAAGTGAAAGATGTTGGAAGAAGAGTGGTTTTGAGAGATGTGATGTGAAGAAGAACTCAACCTGCTGCTGCTGCTTTTGACGATGGAAGAAGAGGCCAAGAGCCAAGGAGTGCGGCAGCCTCTGGAAGCTTGGAACAGCCCTCAGCTTACAGTCAGCAGAATGACAGAGACCTCGGGCTCACAACCACAAGGAACTGCATTCCACCAATAGCGCAAATGAGCAAAAAATATTTTCCTCTAGGCTCCAGAAAGGAATGCAGCCTGCTGACACCTTGATTTTAGTCTGATGAGACTATACCAGTCTTTTGACCTACAGAACTATAAGATAATACATTTAGGTTGTTTTAAGTCACTAAGTTTGTGGTAATTTGCTCTGACAGAAATAGAAAACTAACACGCCAGTCCAATTTTTAACATTTTAACCACATCCCTACCTTGTCCATTCAAGGCAAGTTTCTGGCGGTTCTGTTATTATTATAGAAAACACAGGTCCAGATGTATAAGATATAATCAATACATTCAGCATTAAAAAAATGGTAATATATTAAATGACTTTAAATACTGTGCATAAAGTTAATTATACCAGTATTTCTAGAAATTTGTCATACTTTCATTTGGGAATTATTTTGGTATTATTCTTCTGAATCAGGTAACAACCTCATTTTTTTTTTTTTTTTGGAGACAGAGTCTCACTCTGTTGCCCAGGCTGGAGTGCAATGGCATGATCTCAGCTCACTGCAACCTCTGCCTCCTGGGTTCAAGCAATTTTTGTGCCCCAGCCTCCTGAGTGGCTGGGATTACAGGCATGAGCCACTATACCCAGCTAATTTCTGTATTTTTAGTAGAGAGGGGAGTTTCACCATGTTGGCCACATTGGTCTTGAACTCCCAACCTCAGATGATCTGCCCGCCTGAGCCTCCCAAAGTGCTGGGATTATAGGCGTGAGCCACCGTGCCCGGCCCAAGCTCATTCTTGTTTTAAAAACAGAGCCATCGGATGATCTCAGATTTTTAAGCCTTCCAAGGATGTGAAAAGCATGTCCCTAAATCAAATCAAGAACTCTTCTTCAATAGCTGGCTTTCACAGAGATACTCACTTATTAAGGTCAACTTCATAAGTCTGCATATGAGGTTTGTCTCCAGCCTTGTCTGGGTCCCATCGATAGATGGCAAATTTCTTGATACGGGGAGCTGTGGCTGCAGCTGTCTGGGCTCCTCGGGAGGCCTGAAATTTTTTAAAGTTCACAAAAAGGAAAAAAAAATTAGAAATACAAGATAATTCCATTTTGCTGGCACAACAGATGTAACGCTGGATATAAACTCACACATTACTGACACATAATCTTCTTAGAAAAGGCAGGCATTCAATATCCAACAAGTATTAAGCACCTATCATATGCTAATATATCAGACATGGTATTAGGGGCTAGTGACACAGCACTTAATACACAAAAACCTTCATCTTCACAGAACTTACTTTGTAGTGAACAAGAGTTAAATTAAACATTCACGATGAATATAAAGAGCGATACTGTTGGGAAAGTACAGGGAGCTCTGGATGAATACAGCAGAGACTTCAATGAGTGAAGAGTCAGAGAAGGCTTCCTCACATGTCATCTAAGTGGAGGCTTGACAAACCAGAATTAAGGGGAAGGAGTGTGGGGTGTGGTCTGAGGGTGGTGGCTCATGCCTGCAGTCTCAGCACTTTGGGAGGCAGAAGTGAGAGAATTGCTTGAGCCCATGAGTTTGAGAGCAGTCTGGGAAACATGGCAAAACCCCATCTCTACAAAAAATAAAAAAATTAGCTGGGTGTCGTAGTGTGCGTCTCAGGAGGCAGAAGTGGGAGGACTGCTTGGGCCCGAGAGGTTGAGGCTGCAGTGAGCCAAGATCATGCCACTGCACTCTAGCCTGGGCAACAGAGTGAGACTCTTTTTCAAAAATACAAAATAAAAAAGAAAAAAAGAAAGAAAAGACTATACTCCAGGACTGCTAATTTTTAAAATAAACTGATATAGAAAAGTAAAAACTCGGAAGGTTAATTGACTAATTACAAAAAGATGCAGTGGTGTTTATTACTGAGGCAGGAGAACAGGGTTTAGAGACAGGGAGTCTTCACTACAGCCTCTGATTCGTCTCGGGCCAAGTCTTCATTTGCATAGGGTGTAACTAATAGGAAACCCGTACAGGGTACTTTAATCCCAGAAGACTGTGCAGCTGGGGCTCTTGAACCACTTGCTCAATCCCACTCCTACTCTATGGAGTGTACTTTCATTTCAATAAATCTATGCTTTCGTCTTCTGTTGCTTTGCTTGTGTGTTTTGTCCAATTTTTTGTTCAACATGCTAAAAACCTTGACGACTTGTGGTCAAGACCGTCTACCAGTAACATTATTTCTTGGTAAAGTGTCCCGTATTAACTGAAGCTGAAAATACAAACATCAGCTAACAGTAGAAAAGAAGAAAATATATGAAGAAAATGAAAGTTAAGATGAAAGCTATGTTTTACCTTATCACCAAGCTGGCTAAAATCATCAACAAAAGGAAAGCCATTTCTACAAATGTTTTTCACCGGGAACCCCATTTTGTAAACTGACATGAACATCTAATGCCACCTTGTGGTATTTGGGAGGAAGTGAGAGGAAAGATTCCTGAAGGTATCAACTCCAGTGGACTTTGCTTGCTTAATGTCCCATTTTTTTTTTGGTCTTTTTTCTGTGAGATTTAATAAGGTATAATTCATTATAATAAAATTCACTAATTTTAAGGGTATAATGAGTTTTGACAAAGCAATGTAATCCTACCACAATTACAACAGAGTATTTCCATCCAAAAAGGTCTTTTGTGCCCTTGATGGCAAACATAAGTCCCCTTTTCCTACCCTTAGCAACTGATCAGCTATCATCACGAGTCTGCCTTTTACAGAATTCATATAAATGGCATCATACGGTACGTAGTCTCATGTCTAGCTTCTTTCACTCAACATAATGCTTCTGAGATTCATATGTTACTGCATATAACCATAGTTAAATGCTTTTTTAAAAAATTAAACTATTTATTTATTTATTTATCTTTGAGACTGAGTTTTGCTCTTGTTGCCCAGGCTGGAGTGCAATGGTGCAATCTTGGCTCACCACAACCTCCGCCTCCCCGGTTCAAGCAATTCTCCTGCCTCAGTCTCCCGAGTAGCTGGGATTACAGGCATGTGCTACCAGGCCCGGCTAATTTTGTATTTTTAGTAGAGATGTGGTTTGTCTATGTTGGTCAGGGTAGTCTCAAACTCCCAACCTCAGGTGATCTGCCTGCCTTGGCCTCCCAAACTGCTAGGATTACAGGCGTGAGCCACCGTGCCTGGCCAACCTTTTTATTTTTTAATAATTATAGATTCATATGCATTTATAGAAAATAATACTGAGGCCAGGTGCAGTGGCTCACACCTGTATCCCAGTACTTTGGGAGGCCAAGACAGACGAATCACTTGAGGTCAGGAGTTCAAGACCAGCCTGGCCAACATGGTGAAACTCCGTCTCTACTAAAGATACAAAAATTAGCCCGGTGTGGTGGCACATGTCTGTAATCCCAGCTACTCGGGAGGCAGAGGCAGGAGAATCGCTTGACCCTGGGAGACGGAGATTGCAGTGAGCCAAGATTGCGCCACTGCACTCCAGCCTGGGTGACAGAGTGAGACGCTGTTTCAAAGAAACAAAACAAAACAAAAAGAAGAAAATAATACTGAGACTCCACATACTCTTCTCACCTGTAATCCCAGCACTTTGGGAGGCTGAGGTTGGGAAATCACCTGAGATCAGGGATTCAAGACCAGCCCAGCCAACATGGTGAAACCCCATCCCTACTAAAAATACAAAAAAACGAATTAGCAGGGTGTGGTGGCGTGTGCCTGTAATCCCAGCTACTAGGGAGGCTGAGGCAGGAGAATGGCTTGAACTTGGGAGGTAAAGGTTGCAGTGAGCTAAGACTGTGCCACTGTATACCACCCTGGGTGACAAAGTGAAACTCAAGCTAAAAAAAAAAAAAAAAAGAGAGAGAGTTTTGCTCTGTCACTGATTGTGCAGTGGCATGATCACAGCTCACTGCAGCCTCAACCTTCTGGACTCAAGCGATCCTCCCATCTCAGCTTCCCCAGTAGCTAGGACTACAGGCATGCGCCACCATGCCCAGTTAGTTTTTTTACATTTATTTTTGTAGAGATAGGGGTCTCACTGTGTTGCCTAGGCTGGTCTTGAACTCCTGGCCCCAAGTGATCCTCTGCCTGGCCCTCCCGAAGAGTTGGGATATAGGCATGAGCCACCATGCCAGGGCCCACATACTCTTTACCCAGTCTCCCCAACAGGAACATCTTGCAAACTGTAGCACACCAGCACAACCAGAATACTGACAGTGCTAGTCAAGATAGGGGACATTCCCATAAGCACAGGATCACTAACATTGCCCTTTTATAGCCCTGTCCACTTCCTCCCACCCTACCTCCCCTGTACTCCGTAAGCCCTAGCAATCACTAATCTGTTCTCTACTTCTCAAATTCGGTCATTTCAAGAATGTTATATCAATATAATCATCTGGTATGTAGCCTTTTGGAATTGGCTTTTTTTATTCAGCCGAATTCTCCGGAGATTCATCCAAGTTGCTGTGTACAGCAATAGCTTTTTTCTTGTTATAGCTGAGTAGCACTCCAAGGTATCATGTACCACAATTTGCTTAACCATGTAACTACTGAGGGACATTGGGGGTGTTCTAATTTTTGGTGACATGAATAAAGCTGAGATGAACATTTGTGGACAAATTTCTGTGTGAACGTTACATCTTCATTTCTCAGGATAAACACCCAGGTGTGTAATTGTTGGGCTGTATGGTAGCTACAAGTTTAGTTTTTTTTAAGCAACTGACAAAACTATTTTCCAGAGTGGGTGGCTGCTGTGCCTGAGGCAGATAGTAGGGTAAGTGGGACAATATGCCTTTTAAAAAATGGGGCTACTTCAAGTTTTTACTTCTAATTTGGACACTTTTATTTTTCATTTATTTTTTAAAATATTTATTTATTTATTTATTTTGAGATGGGGTCTCACTCTTGTCCCCCAGGCTGGAGTACAATGGCGCGATCTCGGCTCACTGCAACCTCCACCTCCCGACTTCAAGTGATTCTTCTGCCTCAGCCTCCTGAGTAGCTGGGACTACAGGTGCCTGCCACCACGCCGAGCTAATTTTTATATTTTTAGTAGAGACGGGGTTTCACCATGTTGGCCAGGCTGGTCTTGAACTCCTGACCTCAGGTGATCCGCCTGCCTTGGCCTCCCAAAGTGCTGGGATTATAGGTACAGGCCACCTTGCCCGGCCTTTATTTTTTATTTTTATAGACACATGGTCTAGCTTTATTGCCCAGGCTGGAGATCATGGCTCACTGCAGCCTTTAACTCCTGGGCTCAGGCGATCATCCTGACTCAGCCTCCCAAGTAGCTGGGACTATAGGTGCACACCATCATGTCCAGCTAATTTTTGTAGAGACAGGGTCTTGCCATGTTGGCTAAGCTGGTATGGAATTTCTGGGCTTAAGCAATCCTCCCATCTCAGCCTCCCAAAGTGTTGGGATTACAGGTGTGAGCCATTGTGTCTGGCCCTAACTTGGACTTTTTTTTTTCTTTTTTGGAGAGTCTCATTCTGTTGCTCAGGCTGGAGTGCAGTGGCGCGATCTTGGATCGCTGCAACCTCCACCCCTCAGGCTCATGCAATTCTCCTGTCTCAGCCACCCGGGTAGCTGGGATTACAGGCATGTGCCATAAAGTCCAGCTAATTTTTGTATTTTTAGTACAGACAAGGTTTTGCCATTTGGCCAGGCTGGGCTCAAACTCCTGGCCTCAAGTGATCCACCTGCCTCAGCGTTCCAAAGTGTTGGGATTACAGGTGTGAGCAACCGCGCCTGGCCCCTAACCGGGCTTTAAACAGAATCTGGGACTGGAGTATAATCCCCTAGTTCTTTTTTTTTTTTTTTTTTTTTTTTTTTTTGTGAGACAGTCTCACTCTGTCACCCAGGCTGGAGTGGAGTGGCGAGATCTCTCTGCCTCCTGGGTTCAAGCAATTCTCCTGCCTCAGCCTCCCAAGTAGCTGGGATTACAGGCGCGTGTCACACGCCCGGCTAACTTTTTTGTATTTTTAGTAGGGATGGGGTTTCACCGTTTTAGCCAGGATGGTCTTGAACTCCTGATGTCGTGATCCACCTGCCTCAGCCTCCCAAAGTGCTGGATTACATACAGGTGTGAGCCACTGTGCCAGGCATAACCCCCTAGTTCTAAAGCCTGATTTAGTATTGTCAGTGGGCAACAGGCATTAGGCTCTATCAAGCTGGGTATCAGAACCACAAGGCCTGTGGGATGACTGTGGTTACCTGCAATGAGGTTTTCCCTTCAACATTTCTTTATAACATTTAAATATCTGTTTCATATCCACTCTACACGGATAATTGATCACGTATTATCTTTCCAAAAGAGACTAAGTTTGTATTAGAGCTAATTTAAATTTTTAAAAAGTCTTATCATATGAATGATGTGAAATAAGAGCAATGCCAGGATGTACTACACTGAATATCTAAGTCGACATATCCCAACATCAGTTTTGGAGTGCCCCAAAATGTCATCATTTTTTTTTTTTCAGTACAACTAATTTAAATTTGTTTTGTGTCAAAAATGTATTTTATAGGCCAGGCGTGGTGGCTCATGCCTGTAATCCCAGTACTTTGGGAGGCCGAGGCAGGTGGATTACCTGAGGTCAGGAGTTCGAGATCAGCCTGGCCAACACGGTGAAACCCCGTCTCTACTAAAAATACAAAAAAATTAGACAGGCACGATGGCGGGCACCTGTAATCTCAGCTACTTGGGAGGCCGAGGCAGGAGAATTGCTTGAAATCCGGGAGGCGGAGGGTACGGTGAGCCAAGATTCCGCCACTGCACTCCATCCTGGGCAACAACGTGAGCGTGACTCTGTCTCAAAAAAAAAAAAAAAATGTATTTCATACAATATTTGGTGGGGCAAAGGGGGTTTACCAGAATGAAAGAAGATTCTGAAATCAAAATCACCAGAGTGGTCATGGTTCTGAAAGTGATAGAGCTTTGCTCATCTTGAGGTCTGTACAAAGAGTTAATTCTCAGGATTATGTTATCTGTGTTCCACCAAAAAATTCGTTGAATACATATATCTAAAAATTTGCCAGATTTCATTCATCGAACCTTTATAATCTGTCACACACGGTGCCAAATAATCTCTAATCTTTATAACATCTCTATGAAAAATGTTTTGTTGTTCCCAGTTAAAAGACGAGGATAGGATCATATAGCAACACAGGTCACTTGATTCAAAAATCCAACCTTTTAGCCATTATAACCAGTGGTGAAAACGCAAACATAAAACGCAACAGTGCAAAAAGATAATTCCATTTCACAATGAGATCCAAGGAACAAAAGAAGTTGTTGCTCTAATCATACAATGAGACTATATGATTTTTTTCCCCTTGTTACCTGCCCAGCAATTTATACTACAAATCCAAAAGGAAAGAGGGCCCCTTGAAAGCATTTTTACGTTAATCTAAAGACTAATGAGTATTCAAGGCAGAAAGTACATTCCTAGGAAATCTTGGATAGTATGAATTTCATAGTTTATAATTTAAGCAAGGTAAGCAACAACTGAACTGAGAAGGGTGAATTCTGAATGGTGCTGAAGGCTGGTTGTTGCTCCTCCAGTAAAGTGTCCTTAGGGTGCAGGCTTGGAGTTGGATGGAGTGGATAAAGATTTGGAGGCCAGAGAAGAAGGTGGGGAAATAGAGAGGAAGAAAGCAAAAAGGACTGTATGAAGATAAGCCTGAGTAAAATACAAGGTGCAGGCTTGCTGAAAAGTGTGATTGGTGATGCTTGAAATCCAAGCTCTATCACTTACAAGCTGTGTATTCTTCTGCAAATTATTAGCTTTTCGGATTCTATTTCTTCCTTTGTAAAGGGTGGGTAGTATTAATATCTGCCTCATAAGATAACCGGGGGGAGGGGGGGTCAAGTTTCTAGCATAGCCCAGAAAATAATTTTTGCTCTACAAGATTGGCAACCTTATCAGTCTTTGTATTATTCTGATTTGTAAATAGGTATCCTAGCCCTGCCAGCCTAAGGAACAAGATGCACATTTTTTAAATTTTTTTTTTTTTTTGAGACTGAGTTTCGCTCTTGTCGCCCAGGATGGAGTGCAATGGTGCGATTTCAGCTCACTGCACCCTCCACCTCCCAGGTTCAAGCAATTCTCCTGCCTCAGCCTCCTGTGTAGCTAGGATTATAGGCGCCCACCACCACGCCCAGCTAATTTTTTTATTTTTTATTTTTTTAGTAGAGACGGGGTTTCACCATGTTGGCCGGGCTGGTCTTGAACTCCTGACCTCAGGTGATCCACCCACCTTGGCCTCCCAAAGTGCTGGAATTACAGGCATGAGCCACTGCATCTGGCAAGATACACACTTTTAAGTAGGTAGTTCTTGTCCTAAAGGAGTTCATAGTCCAGATGAAGAAATAAGGCAACACAAACAATAGTTAATATACTACAGTCAAATACTTACAGGCAGAATTGTGGTTCAGTGGTCAGACTATAAGCATAAAAAGAATTCAGAACCTGAACCTGAATGTTACCCACAGGTAACACACCAAGCTCATTACTGAATTCTTTTGAGGTGGCTTTTGTGGGTATACATGTACATTCCCACAAGGAAGGGGAGGCCTTGGGGCTCTTCTATTTTCTGTTGCCCTCAGGAGGCCCTGCAAAGACCTTGCCTGGAATTACAAAAATGACCTATGAAATTAGCCTTTTCTACAATGCATTCTTAGAAGAGGGGCTTGGAACTCTCTCGTTAGTGGGGCTCTCACAATTTAATTGTTTGCTCAGCAACTATAAAAGGAACAGGTAAACAAGCTCATTATCAATCATCAATTTAATACTGAGAGGATGTCAGCTTGAGGCTCTGGTAGGCTGTCTTCTTCCTCTATCTCCCCTTTTCAGAAAGGCTGATGCAGACAGAGTGGATCCAAGTTCACACACAGCATGCTGGATAGAACCAGGATTGGAACATGGGCAATATGTACTGTGTTATGCAGCCATAGCAGGCACTTAAGATGAAAGATGTCCTCATTTAAGTGCAAGAGAGGAAGAGGAACTAAAATTTCTTGGACACCAACCATGTCCCAAGATCTATGCTAAGGAGTTTTTCTGGTACCATGTTAAAAAACTGCCTCAGGTCTGCTTCTTGGGAATGTGATATTTTGAGCAAGCCAAAAATTTTCTTTCTGGGGGCCTCAAGTTTTCAAAGCTCCAAAAAGGAGGGTAAGGATTCTTGCTTGCCCACCTTAAAGGGGTTGTTGAGAATCCCAGAAGAGGAACAGACTTAGAAAGGATTTGCAAATCCTTAGTCCCTTATGTATACAAAAGCAATTTCCCTTCCCCTTCTAAATGTTCCCACTTAGAAGGCAGGTCAGAAATGTGTTGTTTCTTGGCCATACAAGGGGCGTGGGAAAATCTGTTACTGCACACGGCATAGTAATAAACAAGAACAGCGCCAAGCCCTCTACCTGTCATTCCATGTCAACTCTATGAGGTCCGTATTATTATATGACCTTTAGAGTCAGAAACACTGAGAGGATACTAGTGAAACTGTGGTGACACTGCTTTAAGGAACCCAGTCTTTCCTGCAACCCCCACCACCCACCTCCGGGATCCTTCGAGGTAGGGGGCTGGGTGCATTTCCCTCCATCTCTCCCTTCCCCTGCCCTGTCCCCAACAATTCACATGTCCTTTCCTCACCCATCCCGGTCCTCAACCTCGCACCCTTGAGGAATTACCTCGCTTCCCAATTCCCATCCTTCACACCCCGCAGGTCTCCCTTTTCTACAGAGGCGATAGTTTGGTGGCAGAAAAAGGGCTTGGAACTCCAATGTCTGGATTCAAATTCTGGTTCCAGCAGTCATTCGCTTGCCATGTGACCTTGAGCAATTCAAGTCCCCTTTCTGAACGTCCCCCCCCCCCGCACCCTTAGCTGTAAAAAATTGCCCGTGCCCTAACTCACAAGCTGCTGCGAGGCGCAGAAAGATAACTTGACAGGGATGCTCGAAGCCAAACCAAAGCACTGCACCAGGGGGAGGAGGTCCTCCATCTCCCTGAGGCCTTGCCCTATGCTTCCTCAGTCTCTCCGCAGCCCCATCAGCTCCAGGCAGTCTCTGTGGCTTTCCTGACTTTTCCCTCTCTGAGGCTCCAGGACTCACCTGCAGGCAGGCTCCGCCAAGGGTTGTGGCCGGCAACCGGCGCCTCAAGGAGAGTGCGACCACCGCCGCCATCTTGGCTCCTGACGTCAGCCCCACCCCTTAACCCCGAGGTCGCTCTCCGCCGGTGTCCCGTCGAACATCGCGGCGCCCAGCCTACATCCACTGAGGACCCACTAGCCGCGTACGAGCAACCAAGTGGGAGGCGGCTTCCGGTTTCCCGGGTGGGCGGAGGGAAGGCGGGGCAAGCACAGCGAGCGTGCGCAATAGCGCAGTAGCGGCGCATGCCCATTTGGCTTCCCCCGTGACCTTCTCAGAAAGGGGAGGAGTCTGAGAGGCAGGGCGACTTTCAGGGGGTGGGGCTAAGACTTAGATGGGGCGGAGCCATCCTATCCGGGTCCCTGCCCCGATTTCAACCTCTTTATTCCTGGAATTTTTGTTTGTTTGTTTGAGATGGAGTCTCGCACTGTTTCCCGGGCTGGAGTGCAATGGCGCGATCTTGGCTCACTGCAACCTCCGCCTCCCGGGTTCACGCGATTCTCCTGCCTCAGCCTCCCGAGTAGCTGGGATTACAGGCGCACACCATCACACCCGGCTAATTTTTTGTATTTTTAGTAGAGACGGGGTTTCATCATTTTGGCCAGACTGGTCTTGAACTCCTGACCTCGTGATCCGCCCACCTTGGCCTCCCAAAGTGCTGGAATTACAGGCATGAGCCACTGCGCCCGGCCAATTTTTTTTTTTTTTTTTCAGACAGGGTCTCACTCTGTTGCCCAGGCCGGTGTGCAGTCTTGGCTCACTGCAGCCTCGACTTCCCAGGCTCAAGCGATCCTCCCACCTCCAGAGTAGCTGGGACTACAGGCGTGTGAGCCACCATACCCGGGTAGTTTTTTTTTTTTTCTTTTTTTTGAGATGGAGTATCGCTCTGTCTCCCAGGCTGGAGTGCAGTGGCGCGATCTCGGCTGACTGCAACCTCCGCCTCCCGGGTTCAAGCAATTCCCTGCCTCAGCCTCCCGAGTAGCTGGGATTATAGGCGTCCGCCATCATGCCCGGCTAATTTTTTTGTGTTTTTAGTAGAGATGGGGTTTCACCATCTTGGCCAGGCTGGTCTTGAACTCCTGACCTCGTGAGCCACCCACCTCGGCCTCCCAAAGTACTGGAATTACAGGCATGAGCCACCGCGCCCGGCCACCCGGATAATTTTTTTAAAAAATTATTTGTAGAGATGGAGTCTGGCTATGTTGCCCAGGCTGGGCTCAAGCAATCATCCTGCTCCAACTTCCCAAAGTGCTGGGATTACAGGCGTGAGCCACCACACCTAGCCTCCCTAAGAATTTGTCAGTCTTATTATTCATCTCTGACGCTTACTGGCTTGAGTCAGCCCTTTCTGTCGCATACCGTGCAGCTTGCCCGAGGCTGCCCAGGTTTCTGCACTGAGAGTCCCAAACAAACTGGGCAGTTGGTGAATGAGCTGAGGTGATTTCAAGGGTGGCTGGCAAAGGTGCCATTCTTTTGTTCGTTCATTCATTCATTCATAAATACGAATGGAGTGGCTACTATGTGGCAGGCACCAAGTGCTGGGATGCTGCAGGGAATGAGCAAGCCAGGTGGTCACTGCTCATTGAATTTACTCTCTAGTGGTGGAGACGGCAAGTGAGCAGACAGCTAGACACTGTGAGCTCTGTTCTGTACGAGAGGGTGTGCCCAGAGAAGGACACCCAGTCCTTGGTGGCTTTGTTAGCCATTTAATATAAGAAACCATTTCTACTCTGTGCCAAACATTATGGTCCATTATCCCACTTAATCCCCACAGCAGTTCTGTGAAGAAAGTTTTTTGGTTTTGTTTTTTACTGAGTTTCCATTTTAGTCATCTCAGCTTCTTTTTCCAGCCCCCTCCATGGATCTGCTCAGAGCTGGCCTCACTCTTGGGACTTACCTTGGGCAGGAGTGGCCTGGAGCCTCCAAGGCACCTGCCTCTTCAGTCACTCCACGCGTTTGTGTAGATTGTTAACCTTGCAGGTCCCGGGGTTTCGTAGGAGTGATTTTTTTTTCCCCTTTCTGCCTGCTTGTTTTGGACATGTGAAGGGCGCCTTTCTATAGTCTTTGGTTTCCACTCTCACAGCTGATGTGGATGCTACTGGAGACATTGAGATGGCCAGGTCAATTGGCTGGATGGGCTGTTTCTGGAGTCCTTGACTGGAACCCCGCTATACCGCCAGTGTGGCCTCATTAAAGGGGGTGTGTAGTGAGGCCTGAACCTCTAGGTCTAACCTGGAATATTCTCTTCAAGGCCATGTGACCTTGGATAAGCCCCTCCCCATCTTTGACCTATAGTTTCCTTGCCTGAACCATTAGGGTGTTGGGCCCTCTGATTTAAGATTCTGTGATTCACGTGGCTGTCTTGTGGATAACTGGTAACAATGCTGAGGTCACCTTGACTTTCACTGGCGCTGACCCAGGACTGGAACAGGGCCCCTCTGGTCTGCCCCATGGGGCCTCTTGGGTCACCCAAACTGGCTGAGATATGGGAAGACTGCCGCTCTGTCTCTAACTCCTCCTAACTGAATTGTCGTCTGAGCTGAAGAAAGCTCTTCCTGAAAGGAATGTATTTCTAGAGAATTGGTCCTCTTAGCATTTTCAGGGTTCTTTCATCTCAAAGGCAGATGCCACCCCTAGATAAGCAACTACCCTTTCAGTTTGCCCAGGTCACCTTGGAAAAAGCAGTCTGAGGCCAGCATAAGTGAGACCTTGATTTATGGAGGGGCTGTTGGTGCCAATGGGCCCACATGCCCTGCAGTCACATCATTCCTGGGCTTCGTGGGGATTTGGGGAGCTCAAAGTTATGGAGGAATAAATTCCTGGGCGGCTGTACCTCCGCCCTGGACTTTGGGATGCCAGAAAGTCACAGCTGCAGAAGGACTTAGAAATTTTCATGGCCTGATCCTGACATATTTTCCAAAGATGTCCTCATGATAAGACCCTAGGTTTTTTTGGTTTATTTCCATTCGTCTAGAGAGTGACATATTGCTTTTCACCAGACAGTCTGCTAGACACTATGTTTATACTGAACTTTATCACTTGCAAAGGTGTTTACATAAACAGTCTCATTTAGTCCTCATAACCACACTTTTGGGTTGGAAAAGCTGCTCCTGTTTTCCAGACTCTCTCAGTCTTTGGACAGCAGGAAAACTGAGCAGCCTTAGGTGAGCGTTTTGCTTTAGGAGGTCTTTCTCCCCTAAGAGCTGGAAATCATGTCCAGAATTGAAAATTAAAACCAGCTGGGCAAAGTGGCTCATACCTGTAATCCCAGCACTTTGGGAGGCTGAGGTGGGAGGATCGATCCCTTGAGCCCAGGAGTTCGAGACCAGCCTGGGCAACATGGTGAGACCCTGTCTCTACAAAAAAATTTAAAATCCGCCAAGCATGGTGGTGCAAACCTGTAGTCCCAGCTACTTGGGAGGCTGAAGTGGGAGGATTGCTTGAGTGCAGGAGGTCGAGGCTGCAGTGAGCTGTGATCACACCACTGCAACTCCAGCCTGGGCAACAGAGCAAGAACCTGTCTCAAAAAAATGAAAATAACAAAATAAAAAAGCATTATGTTGTATCAACTGTCATTTGTACAATCAATTGTAGTCTGGTGTCTTGTAATTTAGGGCAACCTGGATGATTTCTGCCAGCCAGAGGGTGAAGGAGGGTTGGATTTAGGAGGAAATATCAGATGTTGCCTGGGAGATTCATTTGCCTCTGGGAAAAACCCACAGCAACAGATTGCTGTGGTGGAGCTCTGGGGCCTTCTCATCTAAAATTTAGGATTTTTTTTTTCTTTTGAGATGGAGCCTCACTCTGTTGCCCAGTCTGGAGAGCAGTGGCACGATCTCGGCTCACTGCAAGCTCTTCCTCCCGGGTTCACGCCATTCTCCTGCCTCAGCCTCCCGAGTAGCTGGGACTACAGGCACCTGTCACCACGCACGGCTAATTTTTTGTATTTTGTTTAGTAGAGATGGGGTTTCACTGTATTAGCCAGGACAGTCTCGATCTCCTGACCTCGTGATCCACCCGCCTCGGACTCCCAAAGTGCTGAGATTACAGGCATGAGCCACTGCGCCCAGCCAAAATTTAGGATTTTATTTGCCTTTGGCCAGTGGGCTTCGTCCTTTCCGTCTCCCTGGCTGTCTCCTGAGCATCTCCATCTGGGCGTCCCAATGGTCCTTTAAACCCAACCTATCCCAAACGGTACATCTCACCTGAGGAGTTTATACTTGTCTTATTAGCACCACCATCTACCGGATATCCAAGCCAGAAACTCGATGTCATCTTGATTCTTCTCCCCACCCCATATCCAATCAACCATCAACTCCCACCATAGCTCCAAGGCTCCCCGGCTCCCCCGCGGGCCCTTCCAGTTACTTCTGTCCCTGTAATACAGCCTGCTCTATTCCCCGCCTCATTTCACACCTCCAAGCCTTTGCGTACGTCCGTGTCTTGGATCTGGAGTGTCCTTTCCTCCTCCTTCATGTGGTTGACTTGTCATCATTGAAGATTCAGCTCCAACTTTTTCCTCCCTTAGGAAGTCCCTCCTTGATTGTCCCTATCAAAATATCCTCTGCATATGCCATCCATGCATGCAACACCTGTTTTAACAATGACCCATGAATATGTCTGCCTCCCCAGACTATGGGCAATTTGAGGGCTTGACCCACTTGACTCTATTTGATTTTCTTCATATAACTTATTGCTATCTGCAAGTTTGTTTTTAATTCTTTTTTTTTTGAAACAGAGTCTTGCTCTGTCACCCAGGTTTAAGTGCTGTGGCATGATCATGGCTCACTGCAGCCTCGCACTCCAGTGCTTAAGTGATCCTCCCACCTCAGCCTCCCTAGTAGCTGGGACCACAGGCATGCACCACCATGCCCAGCTACTTTTAAAAAGAATTTTGTAGGCTGGGCTCAGTGGCTTGTGCCTGTAATCCCAGCACTTTGGGAGGCCGAGGCAGGTGGATCACTTGAGGTCAGGAGTTCGAGACCAGCCTGGCCAACATGGTGAAACCCGTCTCTACTAAAAATACAAAAATTAGCCGGGTGTGGTGGTGGGAGCCTGTAATCCCAGCTACTCGGGAGGCTGAGGCAAGAGAATTGCTTGAACGTAGGAGGCTGAGGTTGCAATGAGCTGAGATCGTGCCACTGCACTCCAGCCTGGGCGACAGAGCAAGGCTCTGTCTGAAAAAAAAAAAAGTTTTTTTTTTTTTTTTTTTTTGTAGAGACGGAGTCTCCCTATGTTACCCAGACTGGTCTTGAATTCCTGGGCTCAAGCAATCCTCCTGCCTCCCAAAGTGCTGGGATTACAGGACTGTGCATCTGCGCCTGGGCTGTTTTTAATTCTTTATGAACGTATTTATTGTCAGAGCCTCCCATGACCGATGTCAAGGACTCCCAGAATTGGAATAGACGGAATTGGCAAATCAAAACGTCAACCAGCCAGCGGCACAGATCCTTTCTAGCCCCCACCCCAGTCCCATCTATGATTTTTCTCAGAGAAGCCTTGTCCCTTATGCTAGGGCACTCGGTGGTCATCTATACTAAGGGTCATGGGGATATTGGGGTGACTAATGATGGTAACTGCCACATTTGGAGGACACATTTGGTACTGTGTACCAGGTCCTATGCAGAATACTTTGGGTACATGTCCTCTCTGTAATCATTTCAGCAACGGCACAAAGTAGGGATTACTATTCTTCATTTACAGTTGATGCAACTGAGCCTCAGAGAGTGTCAACAACTCACCGCAGGTCACCCAGCAAGTAGGTCAGCCTCTTCTGTTAGGTAGATGGGCTGGGCTGCAGGCGTGCGCCTAAGGCTCGTGGGAACATGGTGGTTGCAGCCATTCTGGTCTACCCACAGAGGGTGCTGCTGCCTCACAGAACTACCCAGGGCTCCCTACTGGACCTTGCCAACCTGCCCTTAGAAAGGCCTTATCTAAACTCTCTTCCCTCATCCCATGCAAACCCCACCATATAATTAGACTTCTCAAAATATTCTCTTCGAGTGGGATGGGGACAATCATAGGCTACAGGCTTCTCCAATTTCAAGAGCAGCCTCTATGGAACTCCCGGAGCAAAAAAGTCATGAGCCACCCCCACTCCAGATGGGGCTGCGTTTCACACAGCTGAAGTCAGCTCAGCTGCTGGGACTTAGCAAGTGGTCCAAGGCCTTCTGGGGACTGTCATGCTGCTGGCCCTATAGCAGCACACACACACATACATTTGGAGCTCACCCACCCTGCTAACTTCTGCCTCATTCCCAGATGCCTGCCGTCACCAGCATACTCTCAAATGAGCAGTTAGTTTGTTCCTCTGGATGTGTGTGGGTGAGCACTTTGCAAACACCGTATAATGCCATGATCAAACGCCCTTTCCAGCCAAATCTGGCTTTTGAGCACTGTTTTCTATCAGAGACACAGCCATGCAAATGAAATGCAAATACGAATAGTGGGTAAATATTCATGCGTAGCGGCGAGATGCCAGCCGACTGGAAACAAAAGTCAGAGAGCTGCAGAACGTTAAAGGCAATTTGACCTCTTAGGGAGGCTGGTAGGTAGAATGGTTAAGTGTGCAGGCCTTTAGGGGTCTGAAACCCTGTTATATCAGCCATTTGCTCTGTGATCTTGAGCAAGTTCCTTAACCTCTTTGTGCATTCATTTCCTATTGTGTAAGACGGTGAAAAAGAAACAGTCGCCTTGCAGGGAGGAGAATTAAATGAGTTAGTGTCTATAGGGAGCCATCAATCTTAAATTGGTAGTGGAGAGCCCAGCTGGGGAAAGGAAAGAGGTAAAAGATAACTGTGCCTTATTAGGGGAAATAGATTATGCTTATCAGAATGGGAAGACTTCAGCATACATACAATGTCAAGGATTTCAGGCAGCTCTAAAAAATTATTTTAGAATACTGTACATATGTAATTAAATTCTCACTATGTAAAAATTTCAAGCAATATAGATAAAGCTTAAATCCCCTCAGTCACACTTCCTTTCCCAGGGGTGATTGCTATTGTCAGTTTCATGGGATTGCTTCCAGATTTTTTTCTTTGTATGTATTTACATATGTATGTTTCTACAGAAATCCATGGCTTTGCTTGCTGTTATTTTTCTATTTTATTTTATTTTATTTTTAGATGGAGTCTTGCTCTGTCTCCAGGCTGGAGTGCAGTGGTGCAATCTCGGCTCACTGCAACCTCCGCCTCCTGGTTCAAGCGATTCCCCTGCCTCAGCCTCCTGAGTAGCTGGAATTACAGGTGTGTGCCACCACACCCGGCTAATTTTTGTATTTTTAGTAGAGACGGGGTTTCACCATGTTGGCCAGGCTGGTCTCGAACTGCTGACCTTGTGATCTGCCGACCTTGTGATCTGCCTGCCTCAGCCTCCCAAAATGCTGGGATTAGAGGTGTGAGACACTGTACCCGGCCATTTTTATTTTTAGAAAATACAAACGATAACATACATGTTCTGCAAGCTGCCATTTTTTCGTCAAGTGCTGTGTCTTGGAGGTCTTTCCATGTTAGTATGCATAGATCCGTCTCATCATATATGCTGCAGAATATTTAAAAGCAGGGCTGTACCATGGTTTGCTTATCCCTCAGGAAATTTCTTAAAAATGTTTTCCCTATGAGTTTAATATCAGTGAAGAAATATGTTACTGTCAGCTTCCTAAAATACAGGATTGATCATGTGACCGCAGTGACCTCAAACCTTCAGACGGTTTCCAGGGCACCAACCCTAGTGTTTCCAGCATTACTGCAATCTATATTTTAGCTACTCACTATAATCACAATTTCCCAGACATATTACACACCTGGACCTCTTTGTGTCTCTACTCAGCTTGGCAACCCCTCCTCCCCTCTTTGCCTAATCATTCATTTCTACATTCACTCAGCAGTCATTCATCTTAGGACAAATGAACACCAGGCCATCCTTGGTCATTCTCCCAGCAGGAAAGGTGTGTGTGTGTGTACACAGATTTTTGTACCTTATTCATTCCTCCATTCAGCAAGTATTTATCAGGTGCCTATTCCATCAGTGTGCCTCTCTGCTCTCCTGTCTGTCTCCCTGACTCAGCTGTCAGCTCCTTGAGGGATTAGATAATGTCTCATGCACAGGGCTTTCCAGGGAGAACAAACACCCTGGTTTGCCGAGCATAGTTCCGGATTCTTCTGTTGCCCTGATGGAATTATTTGCAGGGCTCCTCTGAGATCTCAGAAGTGCCCTGGTTTAGATGAAAAATTGTGGGATCACTGGTTTTACACACAGTAGACACTTGGCAAATGTTAATGGAGAAAAGTGAACGGATGGATGAATGAATATAATTTGCTTTTCACGATTTAGACATGCCATCTTACTCCGAGCTGAGGAATAGAGAGAGCACATACTGAGCTACGTAGAGGTCATTTCATTATGGGCCTTATTGCCTTAGAGGGGTTTGTAGGAATCCTATAATCTCCAGACATCTTGCTTGCAGGTAGAGGGGATATCTTGTTGATAAGATTCTTCTAATAGGACACCTGACATGCTAAAAACTGGTGCAAAGATAAGGTAACATTTGTGAATGAAAGAATGCTAAACTTGGGTTAGAAAGCTGTTTCTTTTTTCTTTTCTTTTTTTTTCTTTTGAGACAGTGTCTTGTTCTGTTGCCCAGGCTGCAGTGCAGTGGCATGACCTTGGCTCACTGCAACCTCTGCCTCCTGGGTTCAAGTGATTCTCCTGCTTTAGCCTCTCTATTAGCTGGGATTATAGATGTGTGCCACCGCGCCTGGCTAATTTTTGTATTTTTAGTAGAGACGGGGTTTTGTCATGTTGGCCAGGCTGGTCTTGAACTCCTGACCTCAAGTGATCTGTCCACCTTGGCCTCCCAAAGTGCTGGGATTATAGGCATGAGCCATGGCGCCCGGCTAGAAAGCTGTTTCTGAGATGTAGTCAAGAGCAGGCGCTCAGTGGGTGGGCTCCGGAGCCAGACCACCCAGGTATGAATCCCAGCTCTGCCATTTCCTGCTGAGTAATCTTGAGCAAGTCACTTCCTGTCTCTGAGCTTCAGTTTCCTCATCTGTAAGGTGGGGATAACAACCTCACAGCTTAGTTTTGAGAATTAGATGAGATGACGAATGCAAAGCATTAGGTTGAACCAACAAAAATCGCCTCTATTTGACCATTTTGACCTTCCAAATGGGATTCCATATAGTTCCACCTGGTAGGAATGCAATCAATGTTTAAGAAATGTTTGGGCTGACTTTTCTGCTTCCATTGCCTAGCTGAACAGATGTTTCCTTCTTTTATTCAAAACACATTTGCTGAGCATCAACTATGTGCCAGGAATTGCCATCAGTAGGAAAACAAAATATTCCCTTTTTTTTTTGTTTTTTGGGATGGAGTCTCGCTCTGTCCCCCAGGCTGGAGTGCAGTGGTGCAATCTCGGCTCACTACAACCTCTGCCTCCAGAGCTCAAGCGATTCTCCTGCCTCAGCCTACTGAGTAGCTGGGATTACAGGTGCTCGCCATCACGCCTGGCTAATTTTTGTATTTTAGTAGAGACTGGGTTTCACCATATTGGCCAGGCTGGTCTCGAACTCCTGACCTTAGGTGATCTGCCCGCCTTGGCCTCCCAAAGTGCTGGGATTACAGGCATGAGTCACTGTAGCTGGCCGGAAAACATTCCTTTTAAAGATTGAACGTATCTCTTCAGCTCTTCAGTAACACAGTAGCCTGCGCATGGGGCCTTAGCATGCTGGTCAGAGACTGTTAGTCATCTTTGGGTATAACCAGGGCTGTCAGAAAGCAGACCTTTGCTTGTGGAAGGTGAGGGATTGAGGCCAAGCTGGCGTGGCCTGAACCCAGCAGTTTGCTTAGAGACTACCCAGAGAAGACCTTTGCTTTTTCAAAGATCAGGGCTGAAAAAGAGCCCAGCTGGCCAGGGGGATGGGGTGAAGGTCTTTCACATCAGCCAGGCTTGAGACAAGGCTGCAGAGCTGGGCTTTGTGCCTGGGAGCATTCTTTTTCTGCATGTCCAGCTGGAGAAAGGATCCTACATGCTGCCATTTGATGTCACTCCTATATTTAGTTGCTAATAACTTTTCCATCAGCCCCTTGGACCTGATACCACTTGCTTGAGGATCCTACATGAATCTCACTGGAGAGGCAGATTCATTCCTGGCTGCTTTTTGTTTCGGAGGAGAGACCTCCCCCCAACCACTTCCGTGGGGTTTTGGCTATGCCAAGGTGTGGCTCTGATCCCATCTGGAATGCTGGAGGAATCTGAGATAACGAGCTGCTCTCACCTGGGACTCCAAGTACACATTTTAGATTAAATGTAGAACCAGGCTGTATCCACAGGAAGAGTGAGGGGAAAAAGAGGACCTGGTGGGGGTTCCCATCTTGACAGTGGGCAGAGGGGACCTGGCCAAAGGCAATCACCTTGCAGAGAGAGAGGGGGGTCCTGGTAACTTGGCAGCAGCCATGGTTCAGACAAGAAGACTTTCGGAAGGGCAAGGGTCTGCATACCAAGGCCAGTGATGGCTCGTATCTGTTTTACATTTCTTTTTTCAATATGATAATAATAAACTTTTATTAACCATTGCAGTCAAACTAGTGGACTCTGGGGGTTTAAGGAATGTGCCTATTTCCACAATTGGCGCTCAGCCTGGCAGACAAGTTTCTAGAACAATACCTTCCAATATGATAGCCACTTGTAGCTATTGAGCACTTAAAATGTGGCTAGTCTGAATAGATGTGTGATATAAGTATAGAATACACATTAGATTTCAAAGACTTACTACCAAAAAATGAGAATGTAAAATATCTCATTGAAATTTTACACTTTAGATTACATGTTGAAATGATAATGATTTGGATAGATTGGGCTAAAGAAAATATATTATTAAAATTAATTTCACCTGCATTTTACTTTTTAAATGTGGCTACTAGGGAATTCAAAATCACATTATGTAGTTTGCATTATATTTCTATTGGAAAGTGCTGTTCAAAAGTCTCAAGGTAACACTCAGCGACCCTGAGGTGGGTGATTGGCCAAGATGTGAAAACATCACCAGGATGAACTTGTTGAACATCCCAGCATCCCTTGGGGAATTGCAGAACTAGATGGGTCAGGAAATCTATGAAAGATTGGCCTTGCAGTGGCTTGGACCACATTAGTTGGGTATAAAAGAGGATTTCGGTAGGGTGCTGGCTCACGCCTATAATCCCAGCATTTTGGGAGGCCGAGGTGGGTGGATCACAAGGTCAGGAGATCGAGACCATCCTGGCCAACATGATGAAACCCCGTTTCTACTAAAAATACAAAAATTAGCTGGGCATGGTGGTGCTTGCCTATAATCCCAGCTACTCTGGAGGCTGAGGCAGGAGAATCACTTGAACCAGGGAGCCGGAGGTGGCAGTGAGCCAAGATCATGCTACTGCACTCTCCAGTCTGGTGACAGAGCAAGACTCCGTCTCAAAAAAACAACAAAACAAAACCAAAAAAAGGGGATTTCAGAGGCCTGGGCCCCTGGGTTAAGCCTGGGAGTGAGTGAACCAGTGATTCTCATTTTGCAGTGGCCCCTTTAAAATAGTGGCACCAAGACATTGGTCCAGAAGCTCAAGATGGGACTAAGGAGTGAGAAGGGCCCCAGGTGTCTCCCAAAGAACTTGGAAGCAGCTTCTAGACTCAGCAACCAATCAGGTGACTCCATTTTAGGGCCTCAGGAGTTTGTTCACAAAGACCCTGTTAGATCATGGTTATGTTGTATGGATTTTCATACCATGGGTCAAATCACAAATACTTGTGTGTAGTAGCTGTTGATTAAAAGGACACAACATCACCCAGAGCAATGGACAAGGCTGATTCCCTGCCGTGGTTGCGGTTCCCTCTTCTGGTTGCGGCAGAACTTGTCACAAGCTTGTGACTTTGTTCCTAATCCCAGCTGTGATCTTTAGATGGTTGCCTATGAGCTCCTGGTGCCCCCTCGCCCATTCAGAGGGCCAGAGTCCCCAGAGCCAATGACTGGTGCAGGCGGACAAAGACTCAGCCTCCAGACAGGACAGCTCAGAGGTGCCATTTATGCTCCAGAGCTCTCCAGGGATCGGTCTGAGGCTTCACCTCACACTCTTGTATGGTTTCTTCCCTTTCCTTGGCCTGCTCCCCCAGTTACCATCTTGGTTTCCCCGGAGGCTCCTTTTTTTTTTTTTTTTTTTGAGACAGGGTCTTGCTCTGTCATGTGGGTTGGAATGTAGTGCAGTGGGACGATCGTGGCTCCCTGCAGACTCCATGTCCTAGGCTCAGTTGAGATCCTCTTGCCTCAGCCTCCCCCCAAGTAGCTGGGACTACAGGCATGTGCCACCATGCCCAGCTAATTTTTTAAATTTTTTATAGAGATGGGGGTCTCACTATGTTGCCTAAGCTGGTATGGAACTCTTGGGCTCAAGGGATCCTCCTGCCTTGGCCTCCCAAAGTGCTGAGGTTACAGGCATGAGCCACTGCGCCGGCCACTTCTCAATAAATCACTTGTTCCTGAATGCTCATCTCAGGCTCTGCTCCTGGGGAACCCCATCAGAACAACATAGTCAGACTTTATTGCGGGTACTGGTCTTGACCTTCGGTGGTGGCCATGTAATATGCAGTTGCTGAGTGTGTTGGGGATTCCGAACCCTCAAGATACCTATGCTGAGAGCCCAGACCCTGTGCCCAGAACAGCAAGGGCTGCAGGACCAGGAGGGCCCAGTGTGTGGCTTGCCTCACTCCAGGCCGTGTCTATGAAGCAGCAAAGAACATCACACCAACAGCCATATGACTTCCCCTTGGACCATTTATTTCATTGTTCTTTAGTCGAGCTCTTCCCTAAACATCTTTAGATCTCCACCACAGGCTCTTTTCCAGAAATTTGAAACTGTGTTCTTCTTGCCATCTTCACGACATCCCCTGCCCTCTTACATAAGATATTTCAACATCAAGGTGGAAGCAGGAACTTAGCTGAGTTTTGCAACAGAGAAGCGTATTCTAGGCCTACATTTATAGAAAGTGGGGGTGGGGAAGAGCCATGAGTCCACGGGGGTATATCCACACCGAGGGTTGTCACACTGGGTGGGCAAGTGAGATGGGAACGGGTGTGTGAGTCCTGGGAACTTCAGAAACATCAGAAATTACCGACATCATTGGGGAAAGCCTTAGAAAAATCTATAAAGACACACTGTCTGCACATGGGAGGCGCTCACTTCCCCCTAATGTAGACTAAAAAAAAAAAGAAAAAAAAGAAAGAAAACCCATAAACCCACATTAACCAAACACACACACACACATGACAAACTCTAAGTCTCCAGACAGACACCCTCAAATAGGCACTTGGTGTTTTCAGCTCTGGGGCTGGAGAGATCTGGGGCTTTGGCCTCCAAAGGCAGGAGCTGCTGTCCCCAGAGAGGAGACAACAGCTTCTGGAGGCTCTGGGGACTCATTGGATGGGTACTGGCTAGGTAGATGGGAAGGGGGCCTGTTTAAAGAAGACCCCCCACCCCCACTGCCCATTTCACCACAACAGTGACTTGCTGGAAGTTTTGTGCCCTGCGGATTTCTGAATATAGTGGACTGGCATTTCTAAAGAGCGCATCACTGAAGGGGCAGAGGCTGGCCTTTAAATGTGGGCTTTGCATGTTGGGGAGTGATGGGTTCCATGCCAGTAGGGACCAGGTCCAGACTGCTACTAACCACTGTGTTTGCAGAGCCCAACGCCGTGCCTGGCGCTTAGTGGCATACAACAAATGTTTGTTGAATGGTTGAAGGAAATAATCCCAAATGAAAATCTTGTTCCTCCAAGAATATAAATTACATTATAACCTTTTCATTGGTTATAAATCGGTTCTTCAAAATGGGATTATAATTCATTTATTCTTCTGGCCCTAAAGGAACTTTTAACGATTGAAACTGAGTCTTTTCAGTTGGAGCCAGGGAATGAATCTGGGTATGTCCAAATGAGAGGGTCTTTGGCAAAGGCACTGGTGAATTTCAATGGGATAATCAAACCACCCCTAAGTTGGCAGCTGACCCAGAACTGGCTGTTGGGCTGGAGGGTAGGCCAGGGTCCTTATGTGTTGGATCTGATGTCCGGAGAGGAGGGGCTGGTCACTTATTATGCCCCTGGGAAGGCCTGAATCTGGCTGCTGGCGAACAAGTTCTTGTCTAGCTGCCTGGACAGATGGCACCAGGAATAAAAAGGAAGAAAGTCAAGGCAGTGGAAGGAGGAAGGTCAGGGAGCGGCCAGAGAATCAAGGACCAGGCAAGAGAAGATGGATATGGCTGACCAGGGGCATCTTTACGCATTGAACTCTCAGGTCACAAGTATGCTGGTCTGGGGAGAAATCCCCATGCATGCGGGGGAGCCTGCATCCCTGAGACAGATGAGGCAAAAGGAGCATCCCACACGTGGGGAAACCTGCTCAGATGAAATGTTTCCAGGAAGGTTCTAAGCTAACTTACTGGACCCTCAGGGAGTGGGGAGGACTAGCCAACAGTGTCCACACTGCAGAGAGAAAGCCAAGAGGATTTGAGAGGTTGGTAAGGAATGAATAATTGGGGGTGGCCACCTGGAAACCCTGAGGGAGATGTATTTGAAATGACGATGGCAGTTCAAGATACGTCTAGGGTCCCGGGGTCCTGGGGTCCCTTTCCATGGATTCTACCTTGATTTTCAGAGCATGGCTGCTGGAAGAACTGGCAATCCCAGAATCTCCTTCCCTTCTCCCCTCATTCAGTGTCAGATTAGAGACTCAAAATTCTTTGGGGAGCAGTTTGGGCACATGGTTTGCTGTGTTTTGTTGTGTTCTGTTCCTTATGTCAGGGCTACAGAGACACTGGCCCAGCTATTTTCAGCAGGGACAGAGTCGAGGCTCACTGGGGATGGCTTCAGAGGACACTGAGGCCCCTCTCAGGGAGGGCAAGGCACAGATACCCCAAATTCCACCCCACGTCCCAAAGGTCTCCCAGCGGGGCTGTCCAGTCCATGTCAGCAGAAGGCTCTGGGCGTGTGAGGGAGGGTCTGGAGAACTAAGCGAAGGAGGCAAACGCCAGGGCCCCTGGCAGGTCAGGGCACCATGTGCCACCACTTGAAGGTGAAGGGCTTCCTGCGGACGTTGGTGCCACAGTGGACTTCCCCCAGAAATTTGTGGTAGGCAGAAATGTCGTCGATGAAGGTGCATTCGAGGCCCAGGGGCTCCAGGAGGCCACGCACGTGCATCTCCAGGCAGCATTCCTCCTCAACCTGTGGCCCGAATGGCTTGGGGATGCCCAGGTCCTTGTCCAGCACGATCATGTTCACCTGTGACGGGGGATTGCGATGGCAACAGCTTCCATTTAGTGAGCACCTAGTACACACATGCCTATCCTAAGCTCATGGAACCCTCACGGCAACCCTGTGAAGTAGTAACTGTGATTGGATAGGGACGGAGTGGGGCTAAGTCACTCACAAATGGCAGAGCTGAAGTGGAAAACCAGGCAATCTGCCTCTGTATGTATGTGTGTGCAAAAGCATTCACATATGTCTGTACATGTATGTATATGTGGCTATATATGCATGCATCAGTGTGTACATGTACATGTGTATGAATGTGCACACACGTATGGGTATGTATGCATTTATGTGTGCATGTGTATTTCTGTGTGTGCATGTGTGTATATATGTTCATGCGTGCATGTGTGTTTCTGTGTGCATGTGTGTGTATATATGTGTCCATGCATGCACATGTGTTTATGTGTGCTCATGTGTGTATATATGTGTCCATGTGTGCATATGTATTGTTCTAACCTCTTTTTATGTTATAGAAGACTCCCCTCTATGTAACAGAAATCCCTCCTGTACATAAAGGACTTCTAATCTTTTGCACAGCACTTTCCTATCTGTTAAGGAAAAGGGTTCCCAGTATCCCAGTGAAGCAGCTAGGATGAGCATATCACTCCTAGGAGGAAATGGAGGCCCAGAGAGGGCAAGTGCCTGAGGTGAGGTCACACAGCAGCTCAGCCAGGATTGGGACCTGGGCCTCCCCATTGGACAGCTTCAGCTGAGGGGTCCTTCTGGATCTGGCTGCCCTGTACTGGCATGGGGCGAGGGTTGGGGTCTGCAGGGCCTCACCATGTTTGGGAAGAAGGCTCTGGCACGGTGGTCCTCGTCCATCTTGAACAGAGCGGGCAGGTCAATGATGTCCTGCTCTGTCAGTCCCAGCTCCTTCTTGAGGATGTCACGGTTCCAGTCTAGGCAGCGCTGGGTAGGAGAAAGGATGGAGGGCATGCAGGTGAGGGGGACACACACCGGCCACCTTGTCAACCCCATCCCTGTCTGCAGCACCAGGCCAGGGGCCCCGGCACTCCAGAGAGACTTCTAGCAGTCAGCGGGCGCCTCTGCAGCCTCTCCCTGGCCCTGTCCACCGGGGTTCATGAACAGCAGTCGTAATAGGACAGAGGAAGGTCACAGATGCCAGAACAGCAGCTGCCATTTCCTGAGCACTCACTAGAGCCGGTCCCTGTGCTAAGTGCTTCCCACACAGCACCTCAGTGACCCCTCGGGCCACCCCATGAGCTGAGGATAACACTGATGATTTTGGTAATAACAAAAGCTAATGCGTACATGTGCTTAGTACTGTTCTAAGCGCATTACATAGATTGCCTATTTAAGCTCCAGCCCTGTAATATAGATGCTATTATTATTCCCTTTTAATTTTTTTTTTAAGACTGAGTCTCACTCTGTTGCCCACGCCGGAGTGCAGTGGCACGATCTCGGTTCACTGCAACCTCCACTTCCTGGGTTCAAGTGATTCTTCTGCCTCAGCCTCCCAAGTAGCTGGGATTATAGGCGCCTGCCACCACGCCAGGCTAATTTTTGTATTTTTGGTAGAGATGGGGTTTCAACATGTTGGGCATGTTGGCCTTGAACTCCTGACCTCAGGTGATCTGCCCACCTCAGTCTCCCAAAGAGTTGGGATTACAGGCATGAGCCACCAGGCCCGGCCAAAGTTTTTATTTATTTTTTTTGTAGAGACAAGTGTCTCACTATGTTGCCCAGGCTGGTCTCAAGCCCCTGGCCTGAAGCAATCCTCCCGCCTTGGCTTCCCAAAGTTCTGAGATTACAGGCATGAGACACTGTGTCTGGCCCCCATTATCCCCTTTTTAGAGATGAGAGACCCAAAGACAGCCTTAGTGAGTTGCCCATGGTCCTACCTCCCCAAGTGAGGGGGCGGCACAATTTGGCACTTCTTTAACCCTGGGACTTTAGCCCAGGAGCAAAGCAAGGAGGCTGGCTGGATGCTGGTGGAGGCTCTTCCCTGTGCTGCTGTGCTCGGGGTCAGGAGCTCCTGAGCCCTTGGCCATTCTCTACGGAAGCCCCAAGGATGTAAGGGCCTGAGCCTCATCCCTCCCAGGGGCCCTCTGGCCCTGCACCCCTGCCCTGCCCTCACCTGGAAGTACAGGTTCTCCTGCACAAGGCTCTCGTTGGACAGAATCTTGTTGATGGTGATTCGCTTGCTGCTCATCCCACCCAAGCCTGTGGGGTTCAAAGGACAGGGGATGGTCAAGCTTTAGATACCCAGGCTGAGTGTTCCCCTTTTGCCAAGATCCTCCAGGCCTGGGCTAACTGCTGGACTGGGACTGGGGAGATGGGACTGGGGAGAGGCTGGATCACAGGAGGGCACTCCCAGGCAAAATCAGGCCCCCCTCTGTCTGGGGAGGGCAGCACACACTCTTTTCTCCAGAGTTGACCATGACATCTGAGCCAGGACAGTGGTGGCAGCTGCCTTGCTCTTGCTTTGGCCAGTGGGATCAGGGGTGCTACAAGTAGCCCCCTGGTTCTCCCACCTACAGCCTACTCCTAAGGATGAGCAGCTGACCAGCATGAATGTGGCAGAAGCAGCATGGCCAAAGGGGACACCCTTCCTGTTTTCCAGAGCTGCCTCATCTTGGCTGCTGCTCTGGAGTGGCCTGCGTTTTCCTCCTGTACCACACGATGGCTTATGTGGCTTCCAGCTTGATTAGTAATGCCTAATGCTCAATGAGCACCTACTATGTGGCCGACGCTCTTCTAAACGCTTTACATTGAATTAACTCATGGATCCTCCCCACATTTCTATGGGGTAGTCACTACCCTGAAAAATGAGGAAACTGAGGCACAGAGAAGTTATGTGACTTGTCTCAGGACTTACATCTAGCAAGCGGCAGAGTTGGTGTGCAGATCAGGCAGTCTGATTCCAGAGCCTATGCTCTTAACCTATTATTTGTTTATTTATTTTGGCCTCATCTGGGAAGAGACTGCTGGTCCATTGCACTTCCCAGGTTTATAACTGGACAGCAGTAAAGATGCCCAGCTACAAGCCGGATGTAATCTTTGAGGCTTAGGGACTCAGAAGGGAGGGTCCAGGTAGAAACAGAAAACTTTAGGGATCTGTGATTTTCTAAAACTGATCCAAGTTCAGGAGATAGATTGATATAAGCATTTTTCTGGAGGGCAAGTCTGTAGTTTTTATCATCTTTTAAAGGGATGTGTTTTCCCCAAACATTGTGGGCTCTGGTCCAGCGGAGATCTTGGCTCTTTGGCATTGCCTGGTTCACCTTCCTCCCCAGGTCTCCTATGTGCTTCTACTCTCTGCTGACTGCACATCCGCGCATCCTCTCTCTGTCTGTCCCAATTACATGAATGTCTAAGTCCAGGAGATAATGTTTCACTCCTGAACTGACAATGACGATGCCTGACCATGCCTTCTGTCCATCAAAGTCCAGTTTTCTTCCTGTCCCCAAACTGTATTCTATCTATTTTCTCTCTATCTCTCTTTCTAAAATACAAAGAGAAATCTGGGGCACTGCTTGCCCCTATTTGTACAAAAATAATGGTCCCTATATCCTATGGGTAGTTTTTGAGGGTATGTTTAATATTAGAGAGGAAGCCTCCAGGAAGTCAGGACTCAAGCTTGCCAATCCAAGAACAAACTTCCCATCAGTGGGGAATTTAAAAAGGGTGGTGGTGTTAAATTGGTCTTGTCTGTCCTAGACACCAGTGACAGTCAGGAACACTGTCTTTGGATCTGAGGGGCAGTCATGTAAGTATCAACCAGCTGCGGGAACTCAGGCTTTCAGGCATGAGATATATTATGGATACCAACCTGAAAAGTGACAAAAGTAATTTAAGAAAAAAATAGGCCGAGCATGGTGGCTCACGCCTGTAATCCCAGCACTTTGGGAGGCCGAGGCGGGTGGTTCATGAGGTCAGGAGATTGAGACCATCCCGGCTAACATGGTGAAACCCCACCTCTACTAAAAATACAAAAAATTAGCCGGGCGTGGTGGCGGGCGCCTGTAATCCCAGCTACTGGGGAGGCTGAGGCAGGAGAATGGCTTGAACCTGGGAGGCGGAGCTTGCAGTGAGCCGAGATGGCACCACTGCACTCCAGCCTGGACGACAGAGTGAGACTGTGTCTCAAAAAAAAAAAAAAAAAGTATAACGGATATAGAGAGTGCTGATGGTTAGTCAGCATTGTAGATGTATTTAATGTCCCGGAACTGTGTCCTTACAAGTGGTTAAAATAACAAATGTGTTAGATTAGGTATATTTTATCACAATAAAAAACATGTTGGACATAAGGATGGCAATGGCAAACACTGGGGACTATTAGAGTGGGGAGGGAGAGAGGAGGGAAAGAGTTGAATGACTAACTGTTGTCTACTATGCTCAGTACCTGCGTGATGGGATCATTCATACCCCAAATCACACAATACACCCAGGTAACAAACCTGCACATGTACCCCCTAAATCTAAAATAGAAGTTGAAAAAGAAAAAAAAGAAGTATGAGGAATTGGCATGGTGTCTCTAACCTGGCTGGTTGTCTCCACCTGATCATCTTTCCCTCTTTCCGTGATTAATTCAAATGCAAACCTCATCCCGACTATGTCTGTCCCAATTATGTGAATGTCTAAACGTAGAAGATAATGTCTCACTTCTGGACTGACAACCACGATGTCTGACCATGCCTTTTGCCCACTAAAGTCCACTTTTCTTCCTGTCCCTAAATTGTATTGCATCTATTTTCTATCTCTCTTTCTAAAATACAAGCTCCTTGAATGCAGATTGCACATCAGTTTCCTTTTCTTTTTCAAAATTTTTATTATAGAGAGGCTGGGTGTGGTGGCTCATGCCTGTAATCCCAGCACTTTGGGAGGCTGAGGCGGGTGGATCACCTGAGGACAGGAGTTCAAGACCAGCCTGACCAACATGGTGAAGCCCAGTTTCTACTAAATAAAAAAAAATTAGCTGGGCATAGTGGTGCCTGCCTGTAATCCCAGCTACTTGGGAGGCTGAGGCAGGAGAATCGCTTGAACCTGGGAGGCGGAGGTTGTAGTGAGCCAAGATTTCACCATTGCACTCCAGCCTGGGCAATAAGAGCGAAACTCTGTCTCAAAAAAAAAAAAAAAAAGTATTATAAAAATGGGGCTCTCACTATGTTGCCCAGATTGGTCTCGAACTCCTGGACTCAAGTGATCCTCTTTCTTCAGCCTCCAAAGGTGTTGGAATTGTAGGCATGAGCCACCAGACCCAGCTGCATGTCAGTTTTCAACCATTTAACCCTCCACTGGGTCTGGTGCCATTTAAAGTATACGCTAGGGCTTGAAGATGCGCTATGCACTGCTGGTGACACTAAGGAGCTGTGGGCAGCTCACAGTCCACCCAGCCACAGCAAGGGTCACAGGAGGCCAGAGGTGCTTCCCAGCATGGCGACCTCACAAACCCCCGATCGGGCCAGACACCCAGGGAAGTGGAGCTGGGTGCTCAGGGACAAAGTGCTTATCTGCCCCACCCTCCCGAGGGTCTCTCTGGGGCCTCCAGCTCGCCACTTCCTGTCAAGGCCCTGTGGCCACTCACCTTTGAACATGATGGCCTCTCCATGGCCGTCCTTCTGCTTCTCTCGGAAGAGCTTGTAGCAGGCCGAGGTGCTGGCCATGAGTAGCAGGAATTTCTGCAAGAGACAGTCCAGAGGGACAGAGTCAGCAGTGGGAAGGCACCCAAGGAGCACGGGGAGGCCCTGCGCTGAGGACCCAGTGCCTTGCCTGCTCATTGCCTCAGGCCTCCCATGCCGAGTGGCAAAGGCTGACGGGGAGGGTGTTCTCTGCTTCAGAGGAATATTTCTCACCTTTCCTCTACCTCAGCAATGTCACCAGATCAAGGCTCAGAGTCAAAGGTGGACTTGGACAGGACATCTCCAAGTTGCCAAGCAGCCACACAATTTGCAGAGAATTTCCAGGGTATGAAGTTGTACCCATAAGAAAATGAAAGAACCTCTTTCCAGTGCCACAGGTGCATAACCTATTTCTCTCTAGAGCATTACCACCAACACAATAGCCACTAGCCTTATGTGACTATTGAACACTTGAGCTGTGGCTAGTCTGAATTTAGGTGTGTCATGTGAGTAAAATCTTTGCCAGATTTTGAAGATTTAGTATGAGAAAAGAATTTAAATCTCTCGTTAATAATTTTTAGGCTGATTATGTGTTGCAATGCTAACATTTTGGATTTATGGGGTTAAAATTTTACCTGCCACAGCAACAACATGCAAACCAGCTTCAGCCTACTTCCTCCTTCCTTTATGCTGTCGAGTTCCTCTAGCTCTTGCCCTCTGCTGGCAGGGGCGGGTAATATATTGGTTTGCTGCTACCCCATTCACTCCAGCCTCGGGAGGCTAGCTTACCTTTGTGCCGGGGATGGGGACAAAGGACATGAACTCATCCACGTGGCCCACAGTCAGCCAGTCTGAGTAGAGCTCCACGGGCGCCTGCACCTGCTGGGCCTTCAGGAAGTCACGCACCACCTTGGTCATCCTCCGACCACCAGACCTGGAGAAGGGAGGAAGAGGAGTTTCAGCAAATTACCCACCGCACCAGAGGGCCTGCAAGAGGAGTTTGGTCTCTGGGACCCACCTCGGACCCAGAGTGACATCAGCAGAGAAGTCCCAGGAAGGAGACTAGGTTGGGTTAAGAGACCCTGGCGCAGGCAGTAAGGCGTTTGAGTCCCAGGGGAAAGAGTAGGTGTGAGTTGCAGCTGCGGCCTGTGTGAAGGGCAGGGAGCCCAGGCTTCAGCCCTTGAGGGTGCCAGTGAGTGTGCAGAGGCTACCTTTTGTGTGCGGGAGTCCCACCTGGCCTGCTGGACGGGGCTAGGGCACAGGAGGGCTCCAAAATCTGCCCTCATCCATGTGCCTCTTTGCTACATTAACTTCTACTTACTTTAATCTTTTTTTTTTCCCCCGAGATGGAGTCTTGCTATGTTGCCCAGGCTGGAGTAGAGTGGCATGATCTTGGTTCACTGCAACCTCTGCCTCCCGGGTTCAAGCAATTCTCCTGCCTCAGCATCCTGAGTAGCTGGGACTACAGGCGTGTGCCACCACGCCCGGCTAATTTTTGCATTTTTAGTAGAGACAGGGTTTCACCATGTTGGCCAAGCTGGTCTTGAACTCCTGACCTCATGATCCGCCCTCCTTGGCCTCCCAAACTGCTGGGATTACAGGTGTGAGCCACTGTGCCTGGACTTACTTTAATCTTTAATCAGTTCAAGAGAAACCTCCTCCAGGAAGCCCTTCCTCATTTCTTTTTTTGTGTGTGTTTGTTTTTTGTATTTTGAGACAGAGTCTAACTCTGTCACCAGTGCAGTGGCATGATCTCAGCTCACTGCAATATCTCCCTCCCTGGTTCAAGCGATCCTCCTTCCTCAGCCTCCCAAGTAGCTGGGACTACAGGTGCCCACCACCCCGCCCAGCTAATTTTTTTGCATTTTTAGTAGAGATGGGGTTTTACCATGTCGGCCAGGATGGTCTCGATCTCTTGACTTCGTGATCTGCCCACCTCAGCTTTCCAAAGTGCTGGGATTACAGGTGTGAGCCACCGCTCCCGGCCAGCCCTTCCTCATTTCTAGACCCCCCAAGGTCTGCAATCTCTCCATTATCCTCCGAAGATAACCCTAGCTCCTTAGGGTGGCCAACAAATTCCTTTCTGATCTGGCTCCTGGCCAGCCCTCCTCCCTCGCTTCCCTCCCTTCCCCCGGTTCTGTCTGCTCCAGCCACCTGCTACACTTGCTATCCCTTGGGGCTTTTCCCTTTGCTGTTCCTTCTGTATGGAATGCGCTTCCTTTACAATCTCCTGATGGCTGCCTACTTCTTAACATCCAAGCCTCAACTCTAGTCACATCTTCAAAAAAACAACAGCTAAGGCACCCCTGTCCCCAGGAATGTTTTATCATGTCACCCTGTTTTATCTTCTCCATTGCATGTATCAGCATTCAGAATTATCTAATTGATTTACTTGATTCCATGTTTATTTTCTGTACTGCCCTTACCCAACTATAAACTCCCGGAGAGCTGGGACTTCATCTGTTCTGGTCACCGCTGTATCCCCAGAGCCTAGAATAGTGCCTGGCACAGAGTAGTTTCTCAATAAATATTTGTCTTTAAGGGCCGCCCCTGAGCTCCTCGAGGGGGTTCAGGGCCACTCCCTGGGCTGACCTGACTCCCTGTTATTCTTTCTATCGTTGCAAGTCCCTCCATTTCATCAGGGTCTATTTGCATGCCTGAGACCTCTGCTATCTCCTTGAAGGCAGGGGCTGGGCTTCCTGTTTGGGACCCTGTGCCTGACACAGGGCCTGGCACTTGGCTGGTGCTCAGGAAATGGTTGCTGAGTGAATGAGTGGCCACTGAGTGGAGGGAGAAGGAGGCAAAAGTGGGCAAACAGTCGCTGGCTGTGCCAGTGGCCTCCCCGCAGAAGGCTGAGCATCCCATGTGGCTCGGAGGAAACTGGCGGCCAAATCCTGGCTGACCCCATCTGTGCAGGCTCCTGGCAGCCCTTTTGTGACGTGAGAACCTAAGGTATTCACTCTTTCCCCAGCGACTGCCCTGACAAGGAAGAATCTGTCTTTTCACTGGCTGGTGGGTCAACTGGGCAGGGAGTGAGGAGAATCATGGACAGGCCAGGGAGCCAGGGACTCACATTTCTGGGGCAGGACCACGTCTGCTCATACCTCTTTTAAGTATGGTAGCCCTGAGGATTCATTGGTACGCTCCCACTCATACCTGTCAGTTTTCCTTCTCTGGACTCCTCCATCCCTTCCCCAGCTGATTTATTTAATATTTTATTTTATTTTATTTTGTTTTTTGAGACGCAGTTTCACTCTTGTTGCCCAGGCTGGAGTGCAATGGCGCGATCTCGGCTCACTGCAACCTCTGCCTCCTGAGTTCAAGCGATTCTTCTGCCTCAGCCTCTTGAGTAGCTGGGATTACAGGCATGTGCCACCACGCCCGGCTAATTTTGTATTTTTAGTAGAGACGAGATTTTTCCATGTTGGTCAGGCAGGTCTCAAACTCCCGACCTCAGGTGATCCACCCGCCTCGGCCTCCCAAAGTACTGGGATTACAGGCGTGAGCCACCGCACCAGGCCTGATTTTTTTTGCCAGAGTCTCTCTCTCACCCAGGCTGGAGTGCAGGGCATGATCTCAGCTCACTGCAACCTCTGGCTCCCAGGTTCAAGCAATTCTCATGCCTCAGCCTCCCAAGAAGCTGGGATTACCACCATGCCTGCTAATACTTGTATTTTTAGTAAAGACAAAGTTTTGCCATGTTGTCCAGGCTGGTCTCGAACTTCTGGTCTCAAGCAATCTGCTTGCCTCGGCCTCCCAAAGTGCTGGGACTATAGGCATGGGCCACTGTGCCCAGCCTATTTATTTATCTATTTATTTATTTTTGAGATGAGGTCTCACTCTGTTGCCAGGCTGGAGTGCAGTGGTGTGATCTCAGCTCACTGCAACCTCCACCTCCCAGGCTCAAGCGATCCTCTCATCTCAGCTTCCTGAGTAGCTGGGACTACAGATGCATGCCACCATGCCTGGCTAATTTTTGTATTTTTTGTAGAGAAAGGGTTTTGCCATGTTGCCCAAGCTGGTCTCAAACCCCTGGACTCAAGCGATCTGCCCACCTTGGCCTCCCAAAGTGTTGGGATTACAGGTGAGAGCCACCGTGCCCCACCAACCAGCTGATTTATAATCTCATTATACACCTTTCCACTTGGGGAAAAGAGTTGTTTATTTAGTTATATATTAGATCCTAAATCACACAAAGATATAAAGGCTAGCTTGATTTTCTTTCCAAGAGTGTCGGCCTCTTAACAGGAAGTCGTGGGAGGGAATAATTCCCCCAGCCACTTGCTCCATGTGTGAGCAACCCAGGCCACCCCAAAAGAGAAACAGTGACTTCCCCACTCCCACAGCCCCTAGCCCCAGCCTGGCTTCTCTTACAGAGGAAAGCTGCTCCCGATGAGGATGCGGCCAAGCGGGTATGTCTTGCCGTTCACGGTCACTGGGGGACTGACCTCCAGGTTTCCAAATGAGTCAAGGCTGGTGACAGACTCAAAGAGGGGCTCCCGGGTCACGTAGCCAAAATCTGGGCCCTAGGCAGAGGGCACACACCTGCGTTAGTCTTCTGCAGCCAGGGTCCTCAGCCCCCAAGCCAGCCACCCTCTTTTATCACCTTCAGTCTGGGTCTGTGGGCACCCAGTTTCCAGGTGGGTTGTCCACGGTCTTCCTATGATTAACAAAGAGCAGGGGCCTGGGCATGGGGAGGCTGAGTGTGTGAGCATCTCGGTGTAGTGTGAGAGTGCGAGTGAGAGTGAGTGTGAGAGTGAGTGTGAGAGTGAGTGTGAGTGTGAATGTGAGTGTGTGGGCATCTGCATTCCTGTGTATGCCTCTATTTCCCAAGCACAGATACATATTGGTGATTTCAGAATTAGTCCGCATTTTATGCTATGCACTTTCAGTTTCCCCATCTGTTGTTGTTTTTTTTTTTCTGAGATGGAGTCTTGCTCTGTCGCCCAGGCTGGAGTGCGGTGGCATGATCTCAGCTCATTGCAACCTGTGCCTCTTGGTTCAAGTGATTCTCCTGCCTCAGCCTCCCCAGTGGCTAGGATTATAGGCAAGCACCACCCCTGGCTAATTTTTGTATTTTTAGTAGAGATGGGGTTTCACTGGGTTGCCCAGGCTGGTCTCGAACTCCTGACCTCAAGTGATCCACCCACCTTGGCCTCCCAAAGTGCTGGGATTACAGGGGTGAGCCACTGCGCCCAGCCCGTTTCCCCATCTATAAGAGAGTTACCAGATTAGGTAACCTGAGGAAGGGGAGCAGCTAGTATTATTATTTCCAGAGATTTGCTACCCTCTGCGCAGTAAGAGAATTTTGCATCCTGACCCATTGCCATGTGACTTCTGGCATCTTCCTGCAAAAGGAATATACTTCCCTGCCCAGTGTCAGACTTGGTCACGTGACTTGCTTTGGCCAATGAAATGTGAGCAGAAGGGATGCATGCCAGTGAACAGCAGAAGCCACAGGAGCCCCCACGTGTGTCTGCCAACTCTTTGAATTCTCCCTGTGCTAGGAGAATGGCATTTCCCAGACTGGGGCTGCTCTGGCACCTTGAGCGCTAGAGTAAGGAAGGCATAAAGAAGCAGAGTGGCAGACCACCAGCAGCAATCAACATGGAATGCCAGCAAGACACAGGCCTTTGCTGTTGTCGGTCATGGAGATTTCGGGTTGGTTTGTTACTTGGTGAAGCTGACCAATACATGCAAAAGTGGCAGCTATGAATATACATGACATCTCAACCCAGTCTCAACCTGCCAGACTTGCCACTGAGCCCAGAGGAAGCCTCAGAACCCTTCTTCACACAGAGCTCCAAAAAATTGGAGTTAGCCCGCAAGTCATAACCCCATTGGCCCCTGAATTTTAACATTCCTCTCATGGCTTTTGGGGTACAAATATAGGAATCTTGTTTGGGAGCTTGCACTGGGGTTGGGATGAAGCTTGCCTTACAAAATCCAGTGGAGTCGGAGGATGTGGCTTATCCTGGCTCAGCTGAGAGGCTCCAGGGACAGCTGAGCCCATGGGGTAGATGGCAGCAGCCTAGTGCTTTCTCATCTTGGGGCCCCAGCTGGCAACATGGGAGCTTGCCAAGGCTGGGGTGCTGGGGCTCTGCAGCACCATACAGGTGGGCAGGTATGCAGCACAAAGCCGGGCCTGGCCTGGGCCTCAAGGAACAACGCAGCCTGGGGCCTTGGAACCAGGCCAGCCTGGAATACTGAAGGCAGGTGGTGACCTGGAAAGGCCTCGCTTCTCATGCCTGTGGCAACTGGTGCTGGTGGTTGGTTTGACTCTACTCATCATAGTGTTAGGGAAAGTGGACAATAAGCTCACTAAGGACAGGGCCCGGGGAATGATAACCATAACAACAGCTAATAATGGTCATTATATCAGACATGGCACTGATGCCTTATACAACGCCTTCAATCTTCACAACATTCTGTGAGACTGATATCATTTCTATCCCCATTTTAGATGAGGAAACTGAGGCTCGTGGAAGGTAATTGCTTGCCCAAGGTCACATGGCTGCTAAGAGGTGCAATTAGGACTCAAGACCGGGTCCACCTGACATTCCAAAGCTCTGTGCTGACACCATTGGCTCTAGCATCTCCTTGTGAACAGGGCACTGGGTAAGGAATGTGGGGCAGAACAGGTGTGAACCTGGCACAGGGTCAGCTCTGGGCAGCCCTGGCGTCTGACAGGAATGCTGTCCTGCATGTGACCTTGGGAAAAGTCCCCTGATCTATTCCAGTCTCTTGTTTCATGCCCTGTTCAAACCTCCCCCAGCCTGTTCAGGGCAGAAGAGTGCAGACAAAAGAAAGATTGGTTTCGGTTCTAACTTCACACACTAGGTTGTCAAGGGCCTAAAAGGGGACTGAGAATGGCTTCCAGAATGGGAGGAGTCAGATGACTTAAAAACAAACAAACAAACAAACAAAGAAACAAAAAACATGGCTGAGTACAGTGGCTCACACCTGTAATCCCAGCACTTTGGGAGGCCAAGGTAAGTGGATCATCTGGGGTCAGGAGTTCGAGACCAGCCTGGCCAACATGGTGAAACCCCATCTCTACTACAAATACAAAAATTAGCCAGGCATGATGGTGCATGCCTGTAATCCCAGCTACTTGGGAGGCTGAGGCAGGAGAATTGCTTGAACCTGGGAGATGGAAGTTGCAGTGAGCCACTGCATTTCAGCCTGGGCGACAGAGCAAGACTCTTGTCTCAGAAAACAAAAACAAACACACACATACACACGCACCAAAAACCATAGCCTCAAAGTGCTGATGAACTTGGAAGTTGGAACCATGACTTTTGACAATTGCATAACTATGTTTTTTTCCTCTTTGAAACTTAACTCATTTTGCTGCAATTTGGAGGGGAAGGGCAGCAGCAGGGGCCAGGGCCTCTGGAACTAGGTCTTAACTCTATTTCCCTTAGTTCCCATTTCCCACTAGAAAACTCTCTATGTTTTGGAAAAACATCAGTTATCAGAGCAGGAAAGGACCTCAGAGGCAGCTATCCCAAGTGGACTCATTTTGCAGAGGAGAAACAGAGGCTCTGGGCAGCAGATGAATGTGTCAAGGCGGCCCAGGGTCTCCTGACCACTCTGTCTTATGAGAATCTCCAGGATCATGCTCCACCCGCAAGTGGCCCTCAGCATCTTACCAGGAGCTCCTTCACAGGGAAGTCCTTTAGGTTTCCATCTCGGGGAGAGTCCAGCACCACGGGGAAGCCTTTATGGGGGGCCTCGATGTAGCCAAACTCAATTTCATCCTGCAGGGACACCAAGGAGAACTGTTAGACGAATCCAGGGGACAATTTGTGCACATGGGCAGAAAACTCGAGAAACACAAGAGCACAAAGGAAGAAGAACGTCTGTCTTGTTCCCCATTCCCTGGTCCCCCATCCTCCTCCCCTCACACTGATGATGGCAGCACAGGTGTCCATAGGCAGTCTCTGCACATCACAGGCAGGTTTCTTACCGATATCAGCCCCATTTTTTTTTTTTTGAGACAGGGTCTCACTCTGTTGCCCAGGCTGGAGTGCAGTGCCATGATTATGGCCCACTGCAGCCTCAAACTCCTGGGCTCAAGCGGTCCTCCTGCCTCAGCCTCTGAGTAGCTACGACTACAGGTGTGCACTACCATGCCAGGCTAATTTTTAAATTTTTTTTTGTGGAGTCAGGGTCTTGCTATGTTGCCCAAGCATGTCTTGAATTCCTGTTCTCAGGCAATCCTCCCACCTCAGCCTCCCAAAGTGCTGGGATTACAGGTATTATCCACCACGCGTGGCCTAGACCTCATTTTAAAAAACACAATAACCAGGCGTGGTGGTGCATGCCTGTAGTCCCAGCTACTTGGGAGGCTGAGGTGGGAGGATTGCTTAAGCCCGCAAGGCGGAGGTTGCAGTGAGCTGAGATCATGCCACTGCACTCCAGCCTGGGTGACAGAGCGAGACCTCGTCTCAAACAAAACAAAACACACAAATAGCAAGCAGCATCCTGAATATGTTTTCCGTTGAGTAACAACTTAACTTGAAGCACATCCTGTATCCATATTGAGAGACTGGCTTCATCCTTTTTAGCGGTTGCACAGAACTTCCGGGAAGGCCGTTACTCAGTCCTCCACAGATGGACATTTAGGTTGCTTTGCAATCTTTTGCTACTACAAGAAGCAGCACTGTAGTGCACTTGTATGTTTATGTCTTTGTGCACATGTGCAGATATGAGCTGACAGAAGAATCCCCATCTGCAGAGCTGCTGGGTGCCAGGCAGTTCACATGAAGCCAACTCTTCTTTGCTTGACCCGGGGGCCATGTCCTTCCCAGCCTGGACCTGGGCTCCTTACCTGGATCCAGCGATCGCCTCGGTTTAGGTACTGGAAGCAGACCTTCAGCTCACAGTTGGTTTTCTCCACAAGGTTCTTCACCTCTTTCAGGAACAGGTAATTATCCTTCATGCTGAGAAGTTGGGGGAAGAAGGAGAGGCCAGGAGAAAGGGTGAGGAGGGGCCAGAGTCATCTCCCTGAGATGGTGACAGCAGCTGGTATCTCTGGGCTGTGCCGGGCAGATCAGTCTACACCTGTGCTCACGGCCACCTTTATAAAGGCCGCTGGAATCAAAGGCCAAGTAAACCCACCCACTCATGTGGCGTTTGTCAAGGTCATGAACAAATAAAATGAGGGGGGGAACTCTCACCCCCACCTGTCCCAATGCCTTACACCTCTGACTCCACAGATTTTCAAAGAAGAGCTCTGCCTGGCATGAAGATGGGATGGACGTGAGGACCCCAAGGGTCCCTTTTGGGTTGCTAGCCATCTAATCACAGGCACTTTTTCCCTTGGTTCTCATCTTGCTGTTGTGGACCTAGCTCATAATAGGTGGTCAATAAAAGTCTGTTTAATGAATGAGTCAGATGAGCTGCATTTCCACTGCATAGGAGGTTGCTAACTGCCTGGTAGAGGGTTAAGCAAGAGAACAGAATGGCAGCTATTATTTTTAGAGCATACCCTGTGTGCTGGGCCTTGGATAAATGCTTTGCCTGCTTCATCTCATTTAATTCTCACAGTGACTCTACGATGTGGGCATTTCAGAGAGGCCAAGAGAGTTGCTCAAGGTAACACAGTGGTAAGTGACGGGGCCAGGAACTAGACTCATGTCCATCTGACTCGGCCCTTGGCCACTCTGCCACGCTGCCTCTCCAGGCTGGGGTCACCCCTTACCAGCACACAAACACCGACACGGGAGGCAGGATGTTGGGGGTCATGATCCACGGAGCAATCCGGAATATCACGGTGTCCGTGAAGATGGGAGTCAGGGGAATGTCCTGGGTGTGGGAGACAAGGCGTGGGGGATCAAAAGGTTTTGTCAGGTGCTTTCTTTGCCTGCCTTTCAAAGCGGGTGAAACTGATGACAGTGAATACATTTCCTCAGGACTTGCTATGCACCAAGCCTGTGCTAAGTACTTTCACATGTGCCAATTCTTTTCTGCCTTCCGACCACCGCAGGAGGTAGATACTGCTATGATCCTCACTTTTCAGATGGGGAAACCGAGTCACAGGGCTGTTAACCGCCCAAGGTCACATGGTTGGTAAGTGGTAGAGCCACCCGTGTGCTTGACCACATGGTAGGCTTTACACCCAGGCAGTCAGCTGCTGAGGTCACACTCTTAACCACTGTCCTATCTTGTCCCATCAAACTTCTCTTCCTGAAATCGCCCCACGCAACAGCTGAGCCAGCCCCCCACCTTCCTCTGTTTTTGCCCTTGGCACCTTGCCGTTTTCTGTATGTGGGCATTTTCGCGTTGTTTTGGGTCAGTTTTGCTATGTCCAGACTGTTTTGTTTTAAGGAATGGTCAAGCAGCTTGCCTGGAACCCAAGGGAAAGTGAGGTCTGATTCCAGGGTTCCTTTGTGGGGCTGGCTTTCAAAAGATATAGGAAATGGACCCCATCCTTGGTGGGGAGGTGCGGGGGTGGTGGGACTGTTGCACGGCTTGCCTTGCTTGCCGTGGTCTGCCTTTTGAGTCTCTGCGGGTGCCTGAGAGATCCTGGGGGTCAGGCTGCCCTGGGCATGGGTGCCATAAGAAGCCCCATCCCCGTCCCCTATCCTGTTAGCTTTGCCTTTTCCACTTCCCAGGGAGCTTGAGGGTGCTTTGTAAGTAGAACTTCACAAGTTTGGATGCTCACAACCACCCCCGGCAGCAGAAACTTTTGGACGTTCTGTCTTACAGATGGAGAAACTATGGCAAACTACCCTTAACTAAGGAAATTAACAGGAAGTTTAATTCATTTGCCTAGTGTCTCGTGGTGGTTAAACCAGGAGTTGAACCTGGGCAGTCGGCTGCCAGGGCTCATTCTCATACATCTCAGCTAGATCCAGCCTCACCTTTCTATAGCACCCATTGTATCCTTTCCCAAAGTGGCCTGGGGATAAAAATGAGGGGCTCTTGTGTTTGCGAGAGCAGCCAGGTCCTTCCCTTTTTTTCTGAGCGAAACAGGGTGGGCCTGAGAGGCTAGGGTCTGGGGATGAAAGGTCTTTGTGATAGAGATTCTTGTGAGCACAGCACGCCCTCAGTGATGGGGGCTTCTCTAGAGGGACAGGACCTCTTCTCCTCATCCAGTTTCTCCCCAAAGCAAGAGCAAGGCTGGCTGAGATGCCTGGCCCCAGGGTAGGGCACAACCTGAAACTGGGATTTGGGGTTCAGCCTGCAGTCAGAGTTGGTATAACCCACAGTTGGGGGAGGGGTCAGAGTGGGGCAGGAAGTACAGAGCGCGCAGTAGGTGGTCAGCAAACCCCACCTGGGTGGCTGCTTAGAGCCTCGCGCTAATCAGCAGGACTCTGGGCCTTAGACCTAGGCAGGGAGCAGGGCAGGCCAGGACACAGGCGTGGAGTGTGTCAGGAAACATTGCCCACAGGGAATCCGTGGGGAGCAGAAGCAGCAAGGAGACTGATCCCAGGAGCATGGCTCAGAGGACCCTGGCAGACACGTGCAGGCTTTGCTGGGGGGCATCGAGGTCTCCTAGCCTGGACCCACCCCTTTGGCGCTTTGAGCAGGGTGGAGCATAGCATAGGAATGGCCCACTAGTAGGAGACCCACCCTGGCCCCTGGGGTTAGCCCCCTGTGGTGGAGGCCTGGAGCCCTCACCTGGGCCATGTACTCCAGCAGGCTGACATGGATGGAGACCAGGCCTGAGAAGCCCTCGTCGGGGAAACAGAGGCCTTCCACGAAGAACAGCAGCTCCGCGGAGCCACCCGTGTACTTGACCACATGGTAGAGCTTCCGCCGGCCCAGGATGTGGATATAGCGTTGGCCGAAGAACGGGTCTGGAGGGAAAAGGACCAACGTCAGACTCCCACCCGCATCAGAAAGAGGTCGGTGGGGTGGGATCACCGATGGGGACAAAAGGGCAAAGTAACTTGTCCTCTAGACAGAGAGAAAAGCACAAGCAGAAAATGCCACCAGAATGGCCATGGCTAGGTCATTGTCATTGTCTCAGCACTGCTGTGTGCTGGCTGTGTGGCGCTTTGCCAGACAGTCACCCTCTCTGGCTTTTGGCTTCCCCATCTATAAAATAAGCAAGCTCTCTCGTGAACGGCTGATAGGAAATTGCCAGCTGAGCAGTTAGTGGTTCCAGGGGAGGATGTAATTGTTTCCATTTCACAGATGAGGAAACCAATCTCAGAAAGGAGGAGTGGCTTGTCCAAAGTCAGACAGCCAGTAAATAGCTGAGCTGGGACTCAGATTCAAGTCGAATTCTGAATCCCGAGCTCTCATCCCCTCTGTATAAACAAACCATAAATGTGCCCATTATACCAAAAATTCCCTCCATATCATGGAAGCCGTGTTGGTGTAAAGGCCAGTGCATGGGCTGTTCATTTTTGTGGCTGGGCGGAAAGATAGGTTCCTCCAGGGCTCCTGCCCTCCTGAAAGCTCCCAGTTTGACTTGTGCTCTCCCCTCTGCCTGAAACAATTGTGTCCCTTCTTCCTTCAGGCCTTGGTTTGTGTCACTTGCAACAATCCAGCCCAGTTTCCCCAGAGACAAAGCCAGGGGCTCTGTTTGGAGCTCCCACAGCCACCTGCCATCTCCATCACAGTCTTTTTATGTTTGTTTGTTTGTTTATTTATTTATTTATTTATTTTTTGAGACAGATTCTTGCTCTGTAACCTAGGCTGGAGTGCAGTGGCATGATCCTGGCTCACTGCAACCTCTGCCTCCTGGGTTCAAGCGATTCTCCTGCCTCAGCCTCCCAAGTAGCTGGGATTACAGGCGCCCACCACCACATATGGTTAATTTTTGTATTTTTTAGCAGAGACAGGGTTTCATCGCCATCTTGGTCAGGCTGGTCTCGAACTCCTTGCCTTTAGTGATTTGCCTGCCTTCAGACCCCCAAAGTGCTGGGATTACAGGTGTGAGCCACCACACCCGGCCTCATCACAGCCTTTTTAAATGTGGGTGACCTGTGCGAGGGTAGAGACAGGCCCAGTGGGGCCCAGGGCCTGCCCGGCACATGGTCATGTTTAACAAATGTCTACTGAACGAACCAATGACTCCCACAACATTCCCTGTGGGAGAGACCAAGGGGGAATTTTCAGGCAGATTGAGAGCACATGAATCAGGCAAGGACCTTCGGGGAGACAGAGGTGGTCCAAATGCAGCCTCTGTAACAGCAGTGCTCAGCTGATGATAAGATGGAGCAGATGTGGGAAGCGTCATAACGGCGGCTATGGGTGAGATCCAGTCTGGTTACTTGGGGTAGGGTGGGGAGGGCAGAAGAGGCACGGTGGGAAGCATTTGAGCAGAGGAAGGCAGCCTTTGAGATGCCCTTGCGGGTTGGCAGAAATGGGTGTGTTGGGGAGAGGAGATACTTGCATTGGTAAAGGCATGGAGGTAGGACCCTATGCAGTTCCAGAAGGAATTTCTTTATGCCCTGTAGAGCTGGAAGGGCAGAATCAGCCTCAGCTTAGTGCTTTCAACGACAATGATAATGGTTAATGACCAGATGCTCAAGGGTTAGAACACATAAGCCGAATAGCCTGGCACAAACTAGGTGCTTGATTAAAACGTGAGAAATAAGTGGATGAACCGCGAAGCCAGGGCTTGGGATGGCTCCTCCTGTGGGACAATGTGCCGAAATAGACCCTGGTTATAAATCTCACTAAGGGTGCTTCCCTTAGTGGTTATGACTTCCAATGTCAGAGGGACCTTGGTTTAAATACTTCTCTGGCTTTACAAGCTATAAAACCTCAGGGAGCCGGGTGCAGTAGCTCACGCCTGTAATCCCAGCACTTTGGGATGCTGAGGCGGGCGAATCACGAGGTCAGGAGTTTGAGACAAGACTGGCCAACACAGTGAAACCCCGTCTCTACTAAAAATACAAAAATTAGCCGGACATGGTGGTGCGTGCCTGTAATCCTAGCTACTCGGGAGGCTGAGGCAGGAATATCACTTGAACCCAGGAGGCAGAGATTGTGGTGAGCCAAGATTGCACCACTGCACTCCAGCCTGGGCGACAGAGCGAGACTCCATCTCAAAAAAAAAAAAAAAAAAAAAAAAACCAAGCCTCAGAGAATTCACTTAACCTCCCTGAGCCTCAGTTTACTCATCTGTTAAGTGGGAGATAATGATACCCACGCCACAGGTTCAATGTAAATGACACAGGCTCAGTAACTTCAGTAACCTCAGTAACCATGGGTAACCATCAGTAACACTGCTTGGACCTGTATTACGAGGATGTGAAGGAGTTTTCATTGAATAGTTTCCAAACAGAAGGCAGGGAAACCACGTCCCACCTCATCCTCCCTTGGGAGGGAGGAGTCCAAGAAATGAGGTGGAAAAATTCAGATACTGAAAGTCCCAAAGAATAGAAAGTGAGGTCCTGCTCACCCAGAAACAATAGTGTGCACCCTGCAGCCCTGTCAGTCAGTAGTTTCAGATAGACTGGCATCATGAAAACATTTTCCTCCAGGCACTCGGGCCCTCCCATGCCCACAGGCCCCAGGCTGCACTTGAACTGATGCTCAGGGGACAGTCAGGCTTAGAAGCCAACTTGTCCTGGCAGAAGCCACACAGCCAAAGCTTTCCCAGGGCTCAGAGCACCTGGGGGGCTCCACCAAGGTCTGGGGTAGGAACAGGGATCTGGCCAGGGGTGGTGGGGCAGGTGGAGGACACGTTCTAGTCCGTCTGCCGGCAGCTTTCTCCCTCCCGATGTGGCCCGTGGCCTGTGATTCACAATGCACCTCTATTCTGGGCTGCTTTCTGACAGTTGGGGCCAGCTCCGGGCGGACTGATTTCTTGGTGGGAACAATTCAGCCATTGTCCCCAGGAGCCTCCTTACCCCGTCCTCCATCCCTGGCTCGGTGCAAACCCCACACTGAGCGTGGCCAGCTTTCTCTGCAGGAACCAACAATGCCGCTCTATTGAGTGGTCCTCGTGCCTTGGGCTGGGCCCACTGACCACCGTGACCTCTCTGCCCCAGGCATTGGCTGGCACGTGGTTTGCCTTAACCTTTCTAGCTACTTTGGAATGATTCCACTTCCCAGCGAGACTCCTTGATAGTGTGACCAGCTGATTTGGTTTCCCTAGGACTGAGGGGTTTCCTGGCATGAGGAGCCCTCAGTGCTAAAATAAGGAAAGTCCTGGGCAAACTGGATTACCATTTCCTTGTATAAAGAGGTAAGGCCCCAGTGCTTGGTGTTTTGGGCAGAATTTGAGGCTAAGGCCGTTACCAGGTCTTCCTAGGAGCACTGAAGCCTTCTGTCCACTCCAATCATTGTAACTAACAGTCATCATCATAATCTCAACAAAAGCCATAATTGCCATTTATGGAGAGCTTTCCAAAGGCCAGCTACTGCACTCAGTGCCTGACACACCTTCCTCATTAGATCCCCACCACGATCCGGGACACCCGGGACAGTCGGAACTCTTACTACTCCCATGCCACGTCAGAGATGAGCACCCCAAGGCTGGGGCTGGTGAGAAGACTTGCCTGGACCCAGAATTGTAGCTCCCTGACTCCAGCACTCCCTATAGGGGTCCTTCAGTCTCCAACCCAGCCCCCTGGCCTTGGGGAGAGCTGGTCTGACCCTACCAGGACACCTGACATTCGCTCATCCACAGGGGTGCCTGGAATTTGACATAACTCCAAAGTGTTTGCCTGGAAGAAAAAGAGACTGTGCTCCTGGTCAATTATCTGTCGTCCTTTGCTTGTGTGTGTGTGTGTGTGTGTGTGTGTGTGTGTGTGTCTAAGAGTTTTCACCCAGTGACCCAGTGTCAGCATTATTGGGAAACTGTCTCTTCTGGGTCCCCACTGTCTCAGTCGTGGCTGCTCCCCACAGGATGGGCAGCCCAAATAAGAGGCTCCAAGGGACGTTCTCAAAGCCCTTGTGGTAGTAGTTCCTCTTTTTTCTTGTCTGCTCAGGACCCATCTCAGATGGCAAGTGATGAGGAGGGATGAGATTATGGAACCAGACCAGTCCACTCCCTTTAGCAAAAAGAAGAAACTTCTAGATAATGTCCAGACATCATTATTTGCAACAGGTCTCGTGTCACGACACCAAGGTCAAGAGGCCGAGGTTGAGGTCCTGCTTGCATCCCTCCTGCTCCCACTGGTGATCCCATCCTCCATGACAACCCTGGCCTGGATGGTGTCAACATCAACATCTCCGGCCCCCTGCGGCAGCGGAGCCAGCCTGACTCTGGGCACATTCCAACCTGTGTGAGGTCACTGCTTGGAGCCCAGGGTGGATCAGAAGGAAGACTGGTATTGGGTGGCTGCTGGCCACTGCCATCCTGGCTAAATATCTCCCTGATGTGAGGGTCCAGGGTCCCTACTCACCTCATGGTGAATGCCCTGGATCTAGTAGGCCTGTCTAGAGGTGGGTTCGGGGCTGGGCCAGAGATCCTGGCCCCCCTAGGCAGCTGGGCATGCAGAAGCCTCCTCCCGCCACCCCACGACCCGCCTTGTACCATGGCAAATTGCAATGCCGACTATTTTGCTGAGGGAGTTTTTAAAACACATACATCATTATTATGACAGTCCCTTGCATAAAACCCTCTAATGGCATTCCATTGCACTCAGAAGAAAATCCAAACCCAGTCTGCATGCTCTGGCCCCTGGCCGAGCTGACTGACCTTGACTCCCAGCCCTGCTCTGGGCTTCCATCTGCTCTTCCCACACTCTAAACTGGTCTCCTCCTCCAGGCTTTGCAGATGCTGTTGCCTCTGCTTAGAACACTCTTCCCTCAGCTCACGAGTGGCTGGTTCCTTCTTATTGTTCATCTGAGTCTCAGCTCAGATGTCACCTCCTCAGAGAGGCCTTTTCAGAGGCACCCATCTAGTGGTGCCTCTGCCCTGCCATTCTCCTCACTTATTCTATTTCATTTCCTCCAATTGTGGTACTGATTATGTCTCTCTTGCTAGACTGGCGGCTCCTTGAGGGCAGGGTGTGATTGTTGTGTTTACTGCAGAGATCTCAAAGCTGAGAACAGGGCCTGGCACCAAAGGGCTCAACACATATCCACAGACAGGGTGAGGCAGAGCCGGCAGCTACGAGGACTAGCTCCAGGGCAGGAGCCCGTGCCCTACACAGTGGGGGCCCAGGACATCTGTTGCCATCGAGAGGAGCAAGGGGTCAACTCTTCAAGGGTGCCCACTGCATCTTTAGGGGGTCTTTGAAAGTCAGAGATGGCAGAAAATACCTGGAGGTGGTGCCTGCCCTGCCTCAGGTATCCTGAAGGTGACATGACTCCAGAAAAGAAGTGCCCAAATGCCCTTCCTCCCCTGATTCGTAGGGAGGAAGGGCCTCTGGGTTCTACATAGACCCATGTCACTCCAGACTCCTTTGAGAGGAGGAGCGATGTGTCCCCATGGAGTCTTTCAACTTCACGGGACAACAGCATTGCCATGTTACAATCACTCAGAGACCAATCCAGGTCTTCCCCAGGCACCTGCACCTGTGAAGGCCACAACTGCTAAGGGGAGGAGGGTAGGTGGCTAGAAAGGTCTAGGCTGGACTGGGCTGGGATCACTCACTCTCCACGTAGAACACGCCCACTTTGTCTGAGTCTGACATGGAAATGTACAGAACTATCTCGTATCCGGCGGGGAGGCGGTCGGGGCCTTTGGTCCGCAGGATCATCTGGGACATGTCCTTGAGATCTGAGGGACAGAAGGTGAGAATGAAGAGATCTATCTGTTGCTGGAGCCTCAGCTTCCCAATGCCTTTTACTTTGATAATCAGGAAAAAATCCCCATGGATGTGTATTATGGAAACTATAGAAAAGCATAAAGAGGCTGGGTGCTGTGGCTCACACCTGTAATCCCAGTGCTTTGGGAGGTTGAGGTGGGTGGATCACTTAAGGCCAGGAGACAAACACCAGCCTGAGCAACATAGCAAGACCCCATCTTTACAAAAATAAAAAAAATTAGCCACGCATGGTGGCATGTGCCTGTAATCCTGGCTACTCAGGAGGCTGAGGCAGGAGGATGGCTTGAACCCAGGGGGTTGAGGCTGTAGTGAGCTATGATCATGCCACTGCACTCCAGCTTGGGCAATAGAACAAGGCCTTGTCTCAAAAAAAAAAAAAAAGAAAAAAAAAGAAAAAGAAAAAAGCAAAGCATAAAACAGAATAAAAACCAGTTGTCATTTCCAACACTAGAGATGATTAACCTTTTGGGAATTTCCTTCTGGTCTATTTTCTTTTTATTCTTCTTCTTCTTCTTCTTCTTTTTTTTTCTTGAGACAGAGTCTTGCTCTGTTGCCCAGGCTGGAGTGCAGTGGCATGATCTTGGCTCACTGCAATCTCTGCCTCCTGGGTTCAAGTGATTCTCCTGCCTCAGCCTCCTGAGTAGTTGGGATTACAGGTGCATGCCACCACGCTCAGCCAATTTTTGTATTTTTAGTAGAGATGGGGTTTCACCATATTGGTTAGGCTGGTCTTGAACTCCTCACCTCATGATCTGCCTGCCTTGGCCTCCCAAAATGCTAGGATTACAGGTGTGAGCCACCACGCCCGGCCCTTGTCTATTTCCTATGGTTTTGCCTTTGGCTTTAAGCAAGAGTGGGAATTTGTGTCCACCATCCCCAGGAGGCCTGAGTCCACACCTGCCTCACCCTCAGCCCAGCCCAGGACTGGGCATGAATCTTTTCACTCCTCTCATCCTGCCCCCCAAGTGCAGGGCCTGCTGGCACCTTCCTTGCTGTAGACCTTCTCATCACGGCAGTCCTCCTTGGGCAACCAGGGTGTCTCTCGGTCACAGTTCACCAGCAGGATGGCCCCCTGGCCCTCGGGGCCCCAGGTCCAGGATGCCTACAGTGGCAGGAAGAAAGGTCAGTGCCCTCTTCTCTATGCTTGTATAGACCCCATGGGACACTGGAGAGATAGCCCCAGGATGAGGGTAAAGAGTAGCCGCCACCCACTGGGGCAGCTGTGACCTGGCAAATGTGAATCTCAAGACTGATGTCCACAGAGGATGAATGTGGGCATCAAAGGCAAGTTCAATAGAGGCACAGAGACAGGAAGGCTGACTGAGGCATTTATGGGCCTCCTGTCTGGTGCAGCTGGTGTCTGGTGTGGGTGGAGGCAGGGAGGTGGAGGCTGGCCAGAGAAATGAGCAGACAGACATTCTACCATGGGTCCCTAGGTCCCTAGGGGAGCTCAGGAGGAGACGCCTGGATGGATGCCACCCAGCTGTTTCCAGACACGCTCCTAGTGCTCCGAATGGGACCTGCATGGTGCTCCACTTTCTACACTGCAGCCATAGCACTACTAGAACAAACTCGGGCCAGATTGTGTTGCTTCCCTGCTTTAAGCCAGGTCAGGGGCTCCCAGTTGAGTTGGCATGAAGCCCTGATTCCTTGCTGTGGCTTGGAAGGCCTGGTGAAACTTGCCTTCCTCTCTGTCTCATCTCCTCCGCCTTGCCCCTCGCTCACTCTGCCCCACCCATCCCGGCGCCTTTCTGCTCCCAAAAGACTCAAGCTCCCAGGCCTTTGCCTATGCCAGTCCCTCTGCTCCTGTCCTGCCCCTTTCCACCTGGCCCACTCTACCCTTCCTCGGTTACAGCATGACTGTCTCTTCTTCCTGGAGGCCTTTCTGATTCTCTAGGACAGAGCAGCTTCCCCGGGTCCACACCTGGCCCTGTACACATCCTTTTTGGGAGGACTTAGGACAACTGTGATGACACAGCTATCCGAAACACTCCATATTTAATGTGGACCATGGGCTCCTTAAGGCCAGGGCTGTGTTTCTCTTGTTCTTTCTGTGTCCCCTGGGCCTGACCCGCTCCTGGAACATAAAAGATGCTCAGCAAATATTTATGGGATGAGTGAAGAAAATGTGAAAACTTCACCGGCCCAGATTTAAAAATTCTGGCCAAGTTCAGGCTCATGGGGATCGTGTGACTTTCCCAAGACTGCCCAGCCCCTTGGGGGAGGTTGGAAGCTGTCGCCCTGGGGCTGCTGGGTTTCAGAGGCCTCTGTGGAGTTCATTCTCATATGGCTTGGCCATAGACTCAGAGAATGAGTGTGCAGGGCTGGCCCTGGTCTCAGGCAAGCCTTGCTCACGATCCTAGAAGAAGGGACTTCCCCACATGGCTGAGAACCCTCTCCTGACCTGCAGAGAGTCAGGGTAGCAGGCTGCTAGGACCCAGGCTTCTCATCAGGCTGTGTTTATTTTACTTCGTAAGTACCCCTCTATGTATACTTTACTCTAGGCTTCAGAGTGTTATTATAAAAGTCACATATGCCCATGGCAAAAATTGAGATAATACAGAAGGGCAGAAAATGGAAAGCAGTTAGAAGCAACAGCCTGAATGTACACAGAGCAAGACTGATGGAGCCTAAAAACTAGGTTGAGGGAAAAGTACAAAACAGAATGTGATGGAGAACACCATGCCGTCTGCACAAATTAAAAATACATGCACACCAACCACACCACATGCCTCCTGAGAGTCACCAGAGCAGAAAGAGACACATTAAACCCAGCAAAATGGTCCTCTGTGGGGGAGCAGAATGGGAGTGGGGAATGCAAGATAAAAGAAAATAAGTAAATGAACGAGGGAACAAATGAATGAATGGTGAATGAATGCAAGAATAAATAGAAAGAGGAGAGGGGCCGTGCATGCACCAGCAGAGATAATACCACGCCTGGAACTGAGAATGATGAATGCGACCCTCTGTCCTGAGGGTCTGTCTCCCCCACCTCCCTAGTCTTAAAAGAACAGGCAAAATAATAAGAGCAAATGCCTTCACAGTGCTTCCTCTGTAGCGGGCACATTTATCCTTCCCAGCAGTTCCATGAATTGGGCGTCCCCATCATGGGATGGAGAAACTGAGACTCAGGAGCCTGCTCTGTTGCCGTCTCTAGGAGATGCCTGAGCTCCTCTGTGGGTTCCATCATTGGTATGCTGTGTGTCTGGGAGCCTGTCTTGGGCTTTAGTCTCCTGAGCTGTGAAATGGGAATTGCCTGCGGGATCTGGGGCTGTGCCCTCGGAAGCCCTGGGTTCAGGGTGGTGCCTGCCCTGAAAGCTAGGTACCTTCTTTGGGTTGTTCTTCTCCACCACACCATCCCGGTCTGCGTCCACATCCAGGGAGATCTCTGGGGAGAAGAGACATGGGTGAGTTGCTGAGCCTGCCAGGCAGGGCAGGGCAGGGGCAAGAGGAAGACCTGTGGGATTTGGGTGCGTCTCAGCCATTCATTTGGTCACGGGAAAGAGAGGACCTCGCTGAAGTCATCTTATGCAACCCCCTGCCTCAACATCCCACTACCCACTGGAGACCGTCAGCAGACACCGTGTGGACCTCGTAGCTTACGGCTGCAAGAGCTGCCATCGGGGAGGTCTGGGACCTCCTACCACTTCATTGTTCTGGCTGGGGGTTGGGGAATGATCCTCGCTGCACAGATCTGGATGCCTCAGTTCAGAGGTGAAGTCGCATGCCCAAGATCACATAGGGACGCTAGCAGAACTGGGGTACACAGTGCGGTTGGTCTGATTCATAGTTCATATTCTGAAAACTTAACAGGGATAGCATTCCCAAACTGCCTTTCTCAGTCTACCCGGGCATGCGCATAGGTGTGCACATGTGCACCTGGGTGTGCGTGTCTCTTTCTCTCCCAGAACTTCCAGTGGGCTAGATCCCACCTTCAAGGACTGAGGGTTTTACTGTGGGTGGGAAGCTGTCTCTAACCCCTCTTGGTCTGAGGTCACCTGTGAGTCTAGATGGAGGATCCAGGGCCAGGCCCCCACTTATCCCTTCTCTTGGTGAAGGGACCCTCAGCATCCCTAGGCCTGCCATGGAGACAGGCTTTGTGGAGACTGTAGGGAAGTGAAAAGGTTTAGTATCAGACAAGGTGGGGTTTAGACCCTGGTTCTCTGCTTATAAGCTGTGTGACTTTGGGCAGGTTAGAGGACCTCTCTGAGCCCCAGTTTCCTCACTTGTAACATGGGGCCCTTCCTGGTTACAGCAGATGCATTAGCTGCAATGGAAGGCACTACTGACATTTTTGAGCCAAATAACTCTTTGTGTGGGGGCAGCCTGTGCATTGTAGGATGTTTAACAGCACTCCTGGCTTCTACCTACCAGATGCCAGTAACATCCCTCCCAGTCGTGACAGCCAAAAATGTCTCCAGATATTGTCAAATGTCCCTTGGGAGGCGAAATTGCCTTGAGTTGGAGACGGATGAGGTCGAGTAGGGATGTGGTTGGGAAGGTGTTGGGAGTGTCACACACATGACATGTGCCCGTTCCAGGTCCCCAGAGCTGCCCGAGTGGGCTCATCTCACGCTGAGCATGACTTGGACCTGGTGGGCGCTGGGTGGTAATGAATGCATTCCTGGTTAGTCCCCGTGGCAGGCACACCCTCTGCCTGGAGGGCATGGAAAGGAGGGTCCTGGCACACGAAGTGCACTGATGTCACCCTTCTCTGGGCCAACCAAGCCCAGAGTCCAGAGATCACATTCAGGTCCTCCCTTTGCCTATAGCCTGCATACCCTAGACCTGCATGTGACTTTTCCAGTCTAGAAGGAGGCTGCAAGGGCGCCTGGCCCTTGAGAGAGGCAGTCTTGTGTGTCCCAGCCTCTGCAGCTGTGCGGTGAGTTAGGTGCTGTAAGGCATAATTTGTAACCTCCTCCCTCCGATCGCATTCACTCCACATTTCACTGCTGAGGAGCTACTGCTCCGGGAGCTGTACCAGGCAACGGGCAATGGAGGCACAGCACCTGCTCTCAAGGCGTCCACAGTCCCATGAGATGAATAGCATTGCTCTCGTTTCACAGGGCAGCAAACCCAGGTTCAGAGAAGCCACTTGTCAGCAAATCGGGCTGGTAATCTGGGAGGCTGGTGCAGGATAAGGACCCCAGGGGAAAGAAGGGAAGGCGGTACCACCAGGGGCTAAGAGCCTGGGGTGCAGGGGCAGGAATAATACTGGTTTTGGTTCCTGGACCTTTGTGAACTTTCCAGCCGGTCACGTCCACTGAATGCTGCCTTTCAGGGAGCTGGCTTCCTGAAACTCCTCCCTCGGAAGGAGCCGCAGGTCCAGCCTCTTTAGGGAGCCACTCTGTCCTTTTCAAGGTAAAAATTTCTCCCCTGCGGGCATCCTGCTCTGCAGCTGCACAGCGTTTTCCAAGGTGTGTTCTCTCGGCCACTCCAGGGGAGGCGTGACCACCCCCACCCCCTAACGATACAGATGAGGAAACCCAGGCCCGCAGCAGGGAAGTGACCACCGAAGTTCCCAGAACGCAGAGCCAGGCTCTCAGCAGGGCCTCGGACTCCGGCTGCCTGCTCTCTGCTGTTCCCTGCAATGAACCCAGGCTGACCTCCCTGCAAGCTGTTTCCAAAAGCCCAGCCCAAAGTCAAAGACACAAGACTTGCTCCCTTGAAGGTCATTCCCAGAGGAAGTGCCCATTTCCCCACCTTGGTAGCCCTGCGGCCTTCGTCTCTAGGCCGTAAGGTGACATTACATTGGGACTCCTTGTGGCGAGTCCATTAAAGCAGTGGGGCCGTGGGCTAGGAGAGAAATTATGGTGCAGTCTATACTGCTTCATTTCATTATGAATTCTTAAATGGAAACATTTTATTCATGTAATATTTGGACATAGTACAAACAAAATCAAATAAAATAGTAACACACTGTTTCTAAAGAAAGACAGCAGTTCCTTGTCCAGCCCTTCTTCTCAGCTGCCTAAGGCAACCTCTCTCATGCTTATTGCGATTTCCTGATTTACTGAATTCAGACAGGTTTCGTTACCTTCCTGTTACGAAATGTGGGCATTTCACAGTGTGGCTCCCTTATCGTCCTCCCAGCCTCTCACAGGGCTTCATAACTCCTCTCTGATGACCCATGACCTGTCCCCATAATCCACTGAAATGACCTTCTGGCCCCTTCACCCTCAGAGACCGCCCACCCTGTAGTCATGCCCATGGGACTTCGCCCCTGCAAGGCTTCCCCCAATGTCTGATTTAACTAGATTCCAGTGGGATGCTGCGGGTAGGGGCAGAGAACAGGGCTGGTGTGACCTGCCCAGAGCATTGCCTCTTGGGATGGCTCTGCCTTCCCGAGGGGGAGGAGGGAGAGGAGCTCTGCTTCAGGGCCTCCAGGCTCCAGACGACATTTCCCAGAGGCTCTGGATCCCACCTCAGTTCCCCAGAATAGCCCCAAGGCGTCAGGTGGCTCCTGGGTGTGGGGCAGATTGACGGGAAATGTCCCTAGGATTGGGTTCAAGGCAGTCTGCCCTGAGAATGAAGACACTGAAGCCTCAGCTCTGACCGAGAGGCACAAGCATTTTGGAGGGTCGCCAGAGAGTGGCAGGGTGCCTGGCCTTCTTGCCTTACTAAGCAGCTTGAGATGTTATGGGAAGGAAGGACACCCTCCCCCACAGCCAATCAGGGCAAGTATCCCAGCCTCTGGGGAGAAGGCATAGGATCAAGCCCCTTAGGTTGATGTTAAAATTTTCTGGGGCCCGCATATGTGTACTCCTTCCACTGCCAGGACCTCAAATAGGGTGGGATTCTTCCTCCCTCCCCACACCTCACCTCTTGCTCTCCCCCATCCCTCCCAAAAAATGGAAGTCTTTGCAAATCAACCCTAACCAGGGTCTTGAAGGTCCTTAGGGATTAATTAGCTCAAACCCCTTATTTTATAGTTTGTAAAAAGTGAGTCCTAGTGGGGGTGGTTACTTGTTAAGGTCACACAGCAAGTCCTTGGCGGGATTGGGACAAAGACCCAGAGCCTGATCTGGCCAAAGGAATCATGAATTTGCTCCCAAATCCCAGAAGGAAGAAGGAGAGACCATACATTTCTTTAACTTCACCCAGGCAGAGAGAAAATGCGGCCACCTCAAGAGCAAGAGAGAAAAGCAGGCGGAGCATTGACTAAGCACCCACTCTGTGCCGGGCCCTTCGCACACAACATCCCACTGAATCCTTGTAAACACCATGCAAGGCTGCTCTGTGAAGCGCATTTTATAGATGAGGAAGCCAAGGCTCAGGGGGATGATGTGACTTGTCACAAGCTGGCTGGAGGGGACAGAGAAAGATCTTAGGCTTACTTCTGTCTACCCAGAAGCCAAGGCTCTTTCTGCTCAATGTGGACTCAGGATAGGACCAGGGTGAGAGAGATTCAGATACATTTTTGTGCCCAGGGGACAGTCCCAGCCTCTCAAGATATTGGGGTTGGGGGGGGGCTTGCCTCTGAGGCGCTGCCCCTGAGTGATTGATTACTCAGGATGACGGGCTCAAGGGCTCCTGGGGCAGATGCTCGAGAAAAGAGAAAACCTAGAAGGGACAGAGAGAACAGTGGTCCCCAAGGGAAACCAGATTTTCACCAGGGTCTCTGTTGGAACAGGAAACAGAAGTTCAATGGTGTTAGTTTCTTTTTGCAATTGAATGACTGTCTCTTATTCTGTTTTTTGTTTTGTTTTGTGTTATTTTTGAGACAGAGTCTCATTCTGTCGCCGAGGCTGGAGTGCAGTGGCACTGTGTCAGCTCACTGCAACCTCTGTCTCCTGGTTTCAAGCAATTCTCCTGCCTCAGCCTCCTGAGTAGCTGGGATTACAGGCGTCCACCACCATGCCCGGCTAGTTTTTATATTTTTAGTAGAGACAGGGTTTCACCATGTTGGCCAGGCTGGTCTTGAACTCCTGACCTCAGGTGATCCGCCCACCTCGGCCTCCCAAAGTGCTGGGATTACAGGCGTGAGCCACTGTGCCCGGCCATGACTGTCTTTTATTCTGAGATTATGCCTTGCCTATTTTTTAAGAGTTAAAATGATAGTGATAGTTGATAGCAAATTTTTTTTTTTTTTTTTTTGAGACAAAGTCTCGCTCTGTCGCCCAGGCTGGAGGGCAGTGGCACCATCTTGGCTCACTGCAACCTCCACCTCTTGGGTTCAAGCAATTCTCCTGCCTCAGCCTCCTGAGTAGCTGGGACTACAGGTGCGTGCCACCACGCCCAGTTAATTTTTGTATTTTTAGTAGAGATGTGGTTTCGCCACATTGGCCAGGCTGGTCTCAAACTCCTGACCTCATGATCTGCCCACCTTGGCCTCCCAAAGTGTTGGGATTACAGGCGTGAGACACCGCGCCTGGCCACAAATTGTTTTATTGATGTATTTTTTTTTCTTTTTTTTGCCAAGCATCAAAGTTGTTAGTGTTCTCATTTTTTGGGGGGTGGGGGCAGGGGACATTTGATTGGCCCATGGAATCTAAATATCTGGAACTTGTGGCAGTTAAATAAATAATTATTAACAGACCTCGGAAGGATGAACTTGGTCACTTGTCGTGGGCACATGTGGCATCTTTTGGGACTCAGCCATGCCGCCAACTCTGAGCGGGCTTCCTCTAAGCACAGCTTTGTCATCTCCTAGTGAGGAGGAAAAGTCCAGTCCTGCCTCCTTATAGACGCTTATTTTGCCATCTATCCTAAGTCTGTCTTGCTTTGGTGGAAGTCTTGTTAATGGTGCAGTCAGCCTTCTGGGATCATCCTCATTTGACAGGTGTCAGGCCCCTGCCCTTCCTGCCCCCGTCCTCAGGTGTCCCTATCTTGGTGGGATTAGGTTTCCTCAGGGACTGTCATCTGAGACTGCCTGGATGCTGTGTGCATGCAAGGTTCACACACGTGCCAGGGCTCAGTACAACCCAGGAGTCTTTGTTGATCATCTGCCACCCTCACCAAGGTCATCCCGAGGTTCCCTACCCCAGGGCTGGGCACCTCCTTGGGACAGAAAGAGGGACAGGGGGACCAGCAACCAAGCCCATTTGGGAATTAGCCAAGAATGAGAAGGGCCCTGCTGCTAAGCCTGTTTAAGCAGCTGAGAGCACAGGGCTAGAGAGGAAGGGGCTGGCTCGGGAGTTAGTTGTATCTTGGGGAGATTCTGAGACCCCCCCTGAGAATGTGGGATAACTGGAATGATTGGCATCTCACCAACCATTTTCTGGAGATGTAGCTGCAGGCAAGTATTTGTTTTACCTTTTCTGAGCCTTGATTTTCTCATCTATAAAATGAGGATGATAATAATAATATCTATCCTTGGAATAGTTGGAAGAAGAGATTGAAATCGTGACGGTAAAACATTGAGTACTGGAGCCTGGCACACCATAGGTGCTCAATTAATATCAGGTGTTTACCATTCTCCCCCTCCTCCTCCTCATCAAAGTGCCCAGTGCAGCTCTAGACACACAGTAGGCCTGCAATAAGCAGGCCGCATCATTATTTTGAAAGCACTCAGCATGCAGTTGACTCTCAATAACTGGTAGTTCCCTTCCTCTGCCATGCGGCAACTCTGTCAATGTTAAACCAAGGTTGGATGAACAAAATGACCCTCTGAAATGTCCTCTTGGCTTTAACATTCTATGATTAAAAAATGAAATAAAATAGCATAAAAGTAATGCCTCAGTTTCAGGGGGTGGAGTGATGGAAAATTCAGATGATCACAGCCAAGGGTCCTGTAGAGCCAGGCTAGGCTCCACCTCCCTGGCATGCAGGCCTGGCACCCAGCGCAGGGCAGTGTGATGCAATGGAGAGAACCTGAGACAGGGATAATTCTGGGTTCTGGACTCAACTTGCCACCCAGTTGCTGTGTGATGTTGAATAAATTCCCTAACCTCTCTGGGCCTCACCATCCTGTGGATCAAATGAAGGACTTGGACTAGGTGAGTTAAGGACCTGGAGGCTGCATCTCTGCACCCTCGGGGCTGAATCTGGGGAGAACCAGGGGGCAGCTGGGATTGTCAAGAACAGCTGCTAGTTTTATAGACTGTGGCCATTCCCCTCACCATGAGAGGGACACTCTTCTCCAGGCTGCAGGGGAGAGGCAGGGGGAAACACACTTCACCTTTTTCTCTTTTAGGGCCACAGAGCCTGGGAAGGGGACCTTGACACTTGGGGGGGGGTTGCTGATGGATCAGGGAGTGCCTCTTCCTGCAGATAAGCCCCCACCCCAGTATGGAAGGACCGGGGTGGGGCACATGTGACATCCCTCCCCAGGCCTGTGCCATTCAGAAGAAGCTCCAAGTGCCAGGTCAGCCGCACTGAGAACCGCCTAAGTGCCCCAGAGAAGGACAACAGTGCCAGGCCCTGGGTGATGAAGGCACTGAGACGGCAACCATGCCAACTCACCAATGGCTGTGAGGAAGAGCCCCGCCTGGTCGATGGGAATGCTCCCTTCCTCGTCATAGTAGTTGACGGTGACCTTGGTGGGGAGGGGGCACATTGGAGTAGAGAGAAAAGAGAGCAGAGATCACAGATCACAAGCAGGAAAACCTGAAGCAACTGCTGTCCCTCACAGCTTGTCAAGCCAACCCTCTCCAAACATCAGAACCCTCTCCTCCAGGAAGAACTCCTGGGTTGGTGGGCGGTTTCCCTCAGGTAACTGAACTAGACTGTGGACTCCCCTCCTGCTGGCTGAGAGGGCAGTTAGGATGCTGTCTGCCTTCCTGTGCCACTGTGTGCATTCTGCTGCCTGGGGTCCCCCATATCTGCCATGTTGCACGTCTAGTGCCCACTGAGGGGACAGGGCTGAGGCTATTTTCTTTGGACCATGTTCAATGCCATCACTGTGATGGGGCACATGGTAAAGTTCATAATTACGGAACCCAGAAAGGAGACAGTTCTGGTCTCAGCCTCACCACTTAGGCAAATCACCCATGGATGTTCAGCACCCCATTTTACAGATAGACCAAGGACACTTGTGACTGTAAGCTCCAATGATTCTATGGTTCTGAGCCTCTAAACTTTCTATCACTCAGCTGTCTATAATTTTCATCCTTTACGAAGCCATCGTTCCATGGTCTAACCCCACAACATCCACATGGCTACCGAGCACTGGAAATGCGGCTATTCTGAACGGAGGTGTGTTATAAGGTGTAAAACTCACACTAATTTTAAATTTGGTATGGAAAAAGAATATAAACTACCAGCCTGGGCAATATAGTAAGACCTGTCTCTAAAAAAAAAAAAAAAAAAAATTAGCTGGGCACGATGGCAGGTGCCTGGAGTCCCAGCTACTCGGGAGGCTGGGGCAGGAGGACTGCTTGAACCCAGTAGCTTGAGGTTGCAGTGAGCTATGATCGCACCACTGCACTCCAGCCTGGGAGTCAGAGTGAGATCCTGTCTCTTAAAAACAAACAAACAGGCCGGCCGCGGTGGCTCACGCCTGTAATCCCAGCACTTTGGGAGGCCAAGGTGGGCGGATCACAAGGTCAGGAGATCGACAGCATCCTGGCTAACACGGTGAAACCCCATCTCTACTAAAAATACAAAAAAAAAAAAAAATTAGCTAGGCATAGGGCAGGCGTCTGTAGTCCCAGCTACTCTGGAGGCTGAGGCAGGAGAATGGTGTGAACCTGGGAGGTGGAGCTTGCAGTGAGCCGAGATCGCATCACTGCACTCCAGCCTGGGTGACAGAGGGAGACTCCGTCTCAAACAAACAAACAAACAAAAAACAAACAATTTTGTTAATATTTTTTATATTGATAGCATGTCAAAATGATAATATTTTGATAGATAGGGTTAAGTAATAGATATTAAGACAATTAATTTCACCTGTTTCTTTTTGCCTTTTCTTTTTTTTTTTTTTTTTTTTTGAGACGGAGTCTCGCTCTGTCGCCCAGGCTGGAGTGCAGTGGTGCGATCTCGGCTCACTGCAAGCTCCGCCTCCCGGGTTCACGCCATTCTCCTGCCTCAGCCTCCCAAGTAGCTGGGTCTACAGGCACCCGCCCCATGCCTGGCTAATCTTTTGTATTTTTAGTAGAGACAGGGTTTCACCGTGTTAGCCAGGATGGTCTCGATCTCCTGACCTTGTGATCCACCCGCCTCGGCCTCCCAAAGTGCTGGGATTACAGGCTTGAGCTACTGCGCCCGGCCTCTTTTTGCCTTTTCAATGTGGTTACTGCAGAACTGAAAATGACACATGGCCCACGTGCAGTTTCTATGGGACAGGGCTGGTCCACCCTGCCTCTATCCTGGCATGGTCCCGGGCCCGCAGAGGCTGGACTTCCCGCCGTGGTACCTTGTCACTGCTGGCCTCGGTGCTCGCCTGGCTCATGGTGACCCGCAGGGTGGTGCTGGGCGAGAGAAGCCAGCGCTGCTTGCCATTGGTGGCCACCTCCTCAGCCTCCCCATCACGCACCACCTCCACCCACACGTGTTCCGAGTGCTTCAGGCTGAAGGTTTGGGCCCCGGCTGGGGCCGCGCTGTGGGGAGAGATGAGAGAGGGTTAGGGAGAGCCCTGGGGTAGGTGGGATGAGGGGCTTCAAGAGGAGACTCCTGCTTCCAGCACTTTGGGAGGTCAAAGCCCGAGAATCACTTGAGCCCAGGCGTTTGAGACCAGCCTGGACAACAGTGAGACCTTGTCTTTATATACATTAAAAAATTAGCTGGGCATGCTGGTGCACACCTGTGGTCCCAACTACTTAGGAGACTGAGGTGGGAGAATTGCTTAAGCCTGGGAGGTTGAGGCTGCAGTGAGCTATGATTGTGCCACTGCACTCCAGCCTGAGCAACAGAGCAAGACCCTGTCTCTTCTTTTTTGTGTGTGTGTGTGTGAGGCAGAGTTTCACTCTTGTTGCCCAGGCTGGAGTGCAATGGCACAATCTCGGCTCACTGCAACCTCTGCCTCCCAGGTTCAAGCGATTCTCCTGCCTCAGCCTTCTGAATAGCTGGGATACAGGCATGCACCACCACAGCTGGCTAATTTTGTGTTTTTAGTAGAGATGGGGTTTCTCCATGTTGGTCAGGTTGGTTTTGAACTCCCGACCTCAGGTGATCCGCCTGCCTTGGCCTCCCAAAGTGCTGGGATTACAGGTGTGAGCCACCACGCCCGGCTCTTTTTTCAAAAAAGAAGACTTCTGGAGGGGCAAGTCTGCAAGGGCCCCCACAGGTAATCTGATCTGGGAGACCCCAAAGGGGCCAGCTGCATTGCAGTCACCTGGCTGTGAAGAGGACATCTGTTGAACATGAAATCTCTTGGGCCAATCTTGCACCTCCTGAGTGTGAATGTATGAGGGTCGGGCCTGGGGATCTGAATTCTTAACAACCTTCCTAGTGCCTCTGATGGGAGGCCAGTTTTGGGAGCCACAGGGTCCTGTGAAGGTGGAAGATGGAGACCCAGGCAGGAATGAATTTGCTCCACTAGCAGAGCTGGGCCTGGAACCCTGTCTCCCTGCCCAGGGTCGCTGAGTAAAGTGCTGAGTCCTCACAGGGATGGAGCCCAGTGCCTGGGTCCTAACAGGGCAGAGGTGGGGTGTCTCTTGTTACAAAGATCCCTTCCTTCCTGCCACAGCTTTCTTGCCACCTGACATCCCCCACCTTCTGAGTCATTTCTTGGGGTTCAAAAGTGGTTTTCCATTGCAAAGCAAATACTTTTGGAATTCTTGAATTCCGAAATTCAAGAACTCCGAAAGTATTTCAGAGCAGGAGAACAAATGGATGTGATCTGGCTGCTGTGTACTGAATGTTTGTCTCTCCCCAAATTAGCATGCTGAAGCCTTCACCCTCAGTGTCATGGTATTTGGAGATAGAGCTTTTAGGAGGTAATTAAGGTTAGGTGAGGTCATAGGGGCAGGCTTCTTTTTCTTCTTCTTTTTTTTTTTTTTGAGATGGAGTCTCACTGTCTCCCAGGCTGGAGTGCAGTGGTGCAATCTCAGCTCATTGCAACCTCTGCCTCCCGGGTTCAAGCTGTTCTCCTACCTCAGCCTTCTGAGTAGCTGGGATTACAGGTGCACACCACCACACCCAGCTAATTTTTGTATTTTTAGTAGAGATGGGGTTTCGCCATGTTGGCCAGGCTGGGCTCAAACTCCTGACCTCAGGTGATCCACCCACCTCAGCCTCCCAAAGTGCTGGGATTACAGGCGTGAGCCACCCTGGCCAAGGGCAGGCTTCTAATCAAATAGGAGAAGAAAGATGAGAGAGGAGGAGGAGGAGGAGGAGCAGCAAGAGAGGGAGGGATAGGTAGATAGAGATCTCTCTCCATGGACTGAGGAAAGATCTTGTGAGGACGCAGTGACAAGGTGGCCATTTGCAGGCCAGGAAGAAAGCCGTCACCAGAACCCCGACCATGCCACCACCCTGATCTCGGACTTCCAGCCTCCAGAATTGTGAGAAGATGAATTTGTTTTTAAGCCACCCTGTCCATGGTGTTTTGTTGTTGGCTTAAGGAGAGGTGACAGGAAGGACAGGGGACTAAGGGAGGAAGGTGCCTAGGGCTGGCGGCTTTGCTAAATCCAGCCACTGGTCTGGAGGCCCAAGAGGGCTCAGAGGGACTTAGGTGGGATTCTCGTGGGATTTGTGACTAAGACATAGGTGTAAGCCTGTCTCAAAGGCACAGCTGCTATTTTGGGGGCCTGGTGCTCTTGGGTTCCAGGAGTTCTCAACTATGGCAGGCATCAGAATCATCAGGGGTGCTGTTTAAATCTATAGGGTGTTTTTCTTTGAAGGCTGTAGATTTGTAGATCCAGTCTCTGGAGAGGCTGGCTGGCATGGCAGAGGCTGAGGGTGCTGGGGCAGCTGAAGATGGAAACAGTGGCCAGGGTTGAATGACAAGTGTAGGCCAGCGGCTGTCAAAGTGCAGCAGCAGTGTCTGGGGCGGCGGCACCTGGAGGTCTTGTCAAAACAGACTGCGGGGCCCCATCTCAGAGCATCCAATTCAGGAGGTCTGGCATGGGGCCCAAGAATCTGCATTTCTAACATGCTTCCAGGAACTGTTGATGCTGCCGGTCCCAGTACCACACTTTGAGAACCACTGGTCCAGACAATCAGCACTGCGGTCCACTGCTGAGAGCCCTGGGCTGGCCAAGGCCGTGAGCGTGAATCTGTAGAGGCTGCCGGGCAGTGTCTGTCTGACCTGGGCCACAGACTTCAGGGGCTATGGGCAAAGACTACTGGTCTTGGGCTCTGGCAGGAGAATTGGGAAGGACTCGGCAGCCTGTGGCCAGTGCTGGGAGAGGAGCTCAATGAAGACACCCCAAGGTCACTCTGGTTCTTGTCCTGCCCCCTTCCAAACTCCACAGCCTGTCCTGGGATGATGTGAGACTGGACACTTCTTGGTCATGGCTTGCTGTCCCCTCTCCGCATCCATCACTTTTTTTTTTTTTTTTTGAGGAGGAGTCTCTCTCTGTCACTCAGGCTAGAGTGTAGTGGCGTGATCTCAGCTTATTGCAAACTCTGTCTCCTTGGTTCAAGCGATTCTCCTGCCTCAGCCTCTGGAGTAGCTGGGATTACAGGTGCCCGCCACCATGCCCGGCTAATTTTTGTATTTTTAGTAGAGTTGGGGTTTCACCATGTTGGCCAGGCTGGTCTTGAACTCCTGACCTCAGGTGATCCACCCGCCTCGGCCTCCCAAAGTGTTGGGATTACAGGCGTGAGCCACCGTGCCTGGCCACATCCATCATTAAGAGGGGCACAGAGTCTGGACAAAAGCCCTGGACTAAGGGTGCACGTGCAGAGGACCTGGGTTTGAGTCTAGTTTTGCCCCTGACTTGAGGGGGTCTGCACCTTCTGAATGTCCATCTGTTAGTCCCTACGCCTCAGGAGGACTGCCACCCTCCTGCCCATAGCTCTCGTCTCTCACTCCCCCTAGGGCTGGGGCCACGTTTTGCTGAGTGGTGTTGCCACGTGGTACCTGCCCTCCTTTGGGTTATAAGTCCCCTGAGGGCATGGTCCGGCCTCTCCCATCTTCATTCTTCAGAGCCTAGCACAGGGCTTGGCCCATCATACACCCAAGCAAAGAGGGCAGAGGTGAGTCGGACGGAAGGTAAGCCGTTCCCAAGGAGAGGTGTGAGTACACACCCTGGATGCTTTAGGTGGCACAGGGAGGAACAATCTACAAGAAGACTTATGTGTTTATCAAACACAGTATCTTTTTATGGTGACTGATAAAGTCTTGCCATTTATGGTAATGCTATAAAATCTCTGTTTAAAATAAAGTTATTAAGAAAAATGTGAGCTGGGTTAAAGAAAAGTGTTATAGTGAGACAGGTTGAAGATGGTTTTGGCCAAAGCCATGAGAGTCTGGGAAACTATGGCCTCAGGTCTGGGAAGCATTCCTCTCCTGCAAGTCTCAGCTTTGCCCATCAACATGCTGGGTGGCCTTGGGCCAGGGACTTTCCCTCTCTCAGTTTCATCCAGTGTTAGGTGAGAGGATGGAACCAGAGCAGAGGTGGCTGAGTCCAGAGAGTGCAGAGGAGAGGCCCTGGGCAAAGGGGTGAGGAGGAAGGCTCTGGAAAGCTGGGGATGGCTGGGTGCGGTGGCTCACACCTGTAACCCCAGCACTTTGGGAGGCTGAGGTGGGTGGATCACTTGAGGTCAGAAGTTCAAGACCAGCCTGGCCAACATGGCAAAACCCTATCTCTACTAAAAAAAATACAAAAATTAGCCGAGCGTAGTGGCGTGTGCCTGTAGTCCCAGCTACTCGGGAGGCTGAGGCAGGAGAATCACTTGAACCTGGGAGGTGGAGGTTGCAGTGAGTTGAGATTGTGCCACTGAACTCCAGCCTGGGTGACAGAGCGAGACTCTGTCTATTAAAAAAAAAAAAAAAAAAAAAAAAAAAGCTTGGGATATCTCCACTGGATTCCTGCCACTCCCCTCCCCACCTTAACCAGAGCCACTACTACTACTATTGTTTATTTATTTATTTTCTTAAACTGAGAGTCGTGCTCTGTCATCCAGGCTGGAGTGCAGTGGTGCTATCTCTGCTCACTGCAACCTCCGCATCCTAGGTTCAAGTGATTCTCCTGCCTCAGCCTCCCAAGTAGTTGGGACTACAGGCATGCACCACCATGCCTGGCTAAATTTTGTATTTTTAGTAGAGATGGGGTTGCACTGTGTTGGCCTGGCTGGTCTTGAATTTCTGACCTCAAGTGATCCGTTCGCCTTGGCCTCCCAAAGTGCTGGGATTACAGGAGTGAGCCACCATGCCTGACCCAGAGCCACTATTATTTCATCTGGTTTTATATATTGAGCTTCTGCACACAATTCTATTTAGGAAAAAATGTTTTACAAGATGATCTTTTAGGACCCTGACTCAGTTACTGTAAGTGATGCTTCCTGCCCACCTTCATTCCTCTGGACCAGAGAGAAACCAAAGGAGGCCTCAGAGGCTCCAGAGGGTTAACGCCCAGCCCACATCGCAGCTCCAGGGCCCCACACCCTCCTATTCCCCAGCACCAGCCCTGTTCTGAGCTGAGCAAACAGCTATTCTTGGAGTGGCCCTGGGCAAAGCAATAAAGGGGCCCATTGTGCCCCTGCAGATCCTGTTGGCTGCCTTCCTCCTCAGGAAGAACCCTTTAGAATCTCTCTCGCAGAAACCCGAGAGCCAGGGGCTTCAGGCACCTGGATTGTCCCTGGAGGCTGCAGGGAGGGGCCCAGGACAGTATTGAGGGAAAGGGAGGGGGCTTGGGGGTGGTTATGACCTTCTTGCTTATTAGAGAGAGGCTAAGGAGAGCATGGATGGAGGGACAGGCTGCCAATCACTGTGGCCATGTCTCCTGCCTACCATGGAATCCCAGAACCCAGGACATGGATATGCTCAGTGTAGTCTTTGGCAATACATGAATGAATGCACCTGCCCTTCTTGGCTTTCCAAGCTGTATTACACAAGTGATTTAAAAAACAAACGAACAAACAAAAAAAACCCAGAAATCAGGTCATGGGCTTTCTTGAAAATATTCACTGGCTCCTCAGTGCCTACCCATACAAGAATATCCAAACTCTTCATCCTGGTGTTGAACTAGGCACATTTGGCCATTGCAACTCAGCTTGACTCTCTGGTTTCATTTTCTGCGGTTCCTTCCACCACTTCAGCTCCCTGCATTGTTCCATCTACTGTGCATTTTGACATATGTTGTTCCTTTTACCAGCAAGACTTTCCCCTGACTTCTCTGCCTGGCAAATGTCCATCTCTCCTTGAAGACCTAACTCCATCCATTTGCCCCCACAGTTACTGGCCCTTTTGGCAGTTCACTCCTTGAAGGTAGGGATTGGATCTTCTTGTTTGTTTGTTTGTTTGTTTCAGCACCTGGCCTAGTATGGGCACACCGTAAGTATAAATGTTTGCTGCAGGAGGGCTGGAGGAGGCGGGCTTACTTATATGGTCGTTCATTCACTCAACATGTATTTACTGAGCACTTACAATGTGCCAGGCACAGTTCTAGGCATTGAGGGGTAGATTAGTGAAAAAGCAAACACATTCCCTGGGCCCATGGAAAAGACAGACCTTTTTTTTTTTTTTTTTTTTTTTGGGACGGAGTCTTCCTCTGTTGCCCAGGCTGGAGTGCAGTGGCATGATCTTGGCTCACTGCAATCTCTACCTCCTGGGTTCAAGCGATTCTCCTGCCTCAGCCTCCTGAGTAGCCGGGATTATAGGAGCCCACCACCACGCCTGGCTATTTTTAATTTTTGTATTTTTTAGTAGAGACGGGGTTTCACCATGTTGTCCAGGCTGGTTTGGGACTCCTGACTTCAAGTGATCTGCCCGCCTCAGCCTCCCAAAGTGCTGGGATTACAGGTGTGAGCTACTGTGCCTGGACAGAAAAGACAGACTTTCAATGGATTACATGATTACAGCTGTGATAATTACTATAAAGGAGGAGAGGGTGCCATGAGGCCCCAGTCTGGGGTTCAAGGAGGGATTCCCTGAGGAAGTGGCATTTGAACTAAGGTTTAAACTTTATAATCTAAAGGACAGGCAGGAATTAATTACACCATTGCAGTGCTGACTGTAAAAAAAAAAAATTAAACCAGAGATTCTTAAATTTGAGTGTGCATTACCACTACCTACAGGGCCTACTAAAATACAGGTAAATGGGCCCAGCCCCTGAGTTTCTGATCTATCGACTGTGGGGTGGGACCTGAGAAACTGCATTTCTAACAAGCTCCCAGGTAATGTTGATGCTGCTGGTCCCCCACAGTTTGACAACCACTGAGTTGGACAAGGAAGGAGAGGAAGAGGAGCAGAGATTTCCAAGCAACAGGACAGCTTGCGTGATGGCCTGAGGTGGGGGTTAGTCCTGCATGTTCGAGAAGCTGGAAAGAGGGGAGTGTGTCTGGAGTTTGTGAGCAAGGGGGAGGGAGAGTGGTGGGAGCAGGGATTTTAGATAATGGTGAGGAGCTGGCCTTCCTCTGATTGTAGAGGGAAGTCACTGAAGGTTTCTAAGCAGGGGTGGCATGATCAGTTTTGCACTGTAGATAGATCATCCAGGGTGCAGGGTTGCCCAGAATGCAGGGTGGGGGATGGATTTCAGGAAAGCAACAGAGGAAGTGGGGAGGAGGTGGCTGCAGCTGCCCACGTGAGCGATTATGGTGTCTTGGGACCAGATAGTGGCTGTGGAAATGGAGAGAAATGGCCACTAGGTTGGTGTCAAACAAACGACACTTGCCCAGTCCCACAAATGCTTTGTGGTCTCTAGGAGCCATGGTCCTCTCTGGTCTTGGCTCGGTCAGTGGGGAGGGTCACTGGCTTGGCCTTGCAGGGCTGGGGTGGCTCACCAGCCCCAGACTTGAGGGCATGAAGCGCCTGCTCCTTGCTGGCATCTGGCTTTCTTAGCTTGCCCGCCTGGCCTGGGCCTCATTAACACCAGCTGGGGCTCATCCCCAGAGTGACCCCAGCTCCTGGCAGCCTGGGTGTGACATCCTGCTCTTGGGGCTTTAGAGGAGTCTGGGGGGGGGAGTCGTGGGTGCCAGCCTGTCATGCAACCCCATGGCGAGCAAGAGGCAGGCAAGGACCAGCGGGGAGAATGACCTCAGTCCAGACCTCACACCTGGTGCTCGGCATGGTGGTGGCTGGGGCCCTGTGGGTGGGCAGCTGCCCTGAACAGGGATCAGTGGAGGCAAACAATGACGTCTGCCTTCAGCCAGCTTCCCTCACCACCTGGTGCATCCAGCTGTCCCGGGCCTCTCCTTAGGGAAGAAACAATCTGATCTATAGCTACTCCTCTCCTCAGAAACCTTCAGTGACTCCCTGCTACTTACAGAACAAAGTCCAATGTCTGAACGATGTATTCAAAGCCTGGTTAGAGCTCATTGACCCTCCAGCCTTATACTCCAGGCCTCTGAAGCTGTGCCCTTTCTGTCTCTGTGTGCCCCAACTTCCCTGCCAGTTATCTCTGCCCCTGAGTGGCATGTTCTTGGTCTCACTCTGAACCCCAGTCCATCCTTCAAGACCCAGCTCAGTTGCCACCTCTTCCAGGAAGTCATCCCTGATCTCATCAGCCAGAATATATCTCTCCCTCCATTTATTGGTGTCTCAAACAACACTTAATAAATTCAGTTCTAGATTTCTTTCCCATAAGTGCTATGAAGTCTTTGAGGAGAGGGATCAGGTCTCATTATTACTTGTTTTCAAAATAAACTCAATACTAATACATAACAACTTACTGAGTATTTACTATTATTATTATTATTATTATTATTATTATTATTATTTTTCTAACCACTAGACCACCAGGGAACTGAGTATTCATTATGTCTCAGGCACTGTACCAAGCCCATGGCCCACATGACCTCAGCCCATTCTTTCGATAACCCCATGAGGCCCATACCACTGTGATTTCATTTTACAGATGAGCACATTGAGGCCCCTAGAGGGCAAGCACCCGCTTCAAATCTCAGGGACAGTCATGGCCGAGTGTGAGGGGAACTCAGGCTCTCTGAGACCTGGGCCTGGCTGTCCCCTCCCTGGGAGAGAATTCAAAGTCTGGAGTCTTTCCTGAGATCCCCCAGGTAGGTGTGCCTGGTGTGGGGCAGAGGGGAGGATCAGGCCTGGCTCTGAAGAGGACCAAATGAGAGCCCCTTACTTATTTCACAGGTGGGAGTCTGAGACACAGAGAAGGGACACTAAAGACTGGCTTCCTGTCCTGGGCTCTTGGGTCAATGACAGAGAGAAGCAAGCCTGGGCCCATCAAAGCCTCTGGGTGCAAGGTCTGGCGTGGCTGGGCAGGAAAGAGCTGCCTTCAAAAGCTGCCTCCTCCAAAGTGCAGCAGGTATGTCTGGCCAGCTAGGGGTGGGCACTGGGGTGAGCCCCTGCCACTGTGCTCCCATCCCAACTCAGGGCCCTGCAGTCAATGAGGGAAGGTCTCAGGGACCCCAACTATGCAGGGACTGTGAGCCTGGTTCTCCTTAGAACACTCCCAACCCCAGGAAACTAGCCTGAAACCAGAGCCCTGGAGCAATTCCTGGCAAGGCATCCCGTTTGGGGTTGAGGGCTCTGGGTGCTGTTCTAATTTATGGGCCACCTGACCTGGCCTGAATTCCTCCCACCGTCATTCTCTCAGGAGCAAGCGCTGCTCGGGCCAAGCTTGGCCACATGCCCTTGACCTTCCACAGGCCCATCCAACGGTGCCTGTCCCTTGAGGCTGGGGGTGGGGAGCTCAGCCCCATGACAGGCCAGTCCACAGGCATCACAGGCCACATTCATTCATTCATTCGTTCATTCATTCATTCATTCAGGGAGCCCTTCATTGACTCCAGGGAGGATCACAAACAAGGAGGAGGCACGCCTGAAACATAAGTACCAGGAGGGCAGCCTGGCAGAGCAGGCAGGGGCCTGGGCTCTGCACCCCACAGTTTACTGGCTGTGCCATCCTGGACAAACACTCCTTCCTTCAGTTTCCCCAGCTGCGAAAAGGGGACAATAATTGTACCTAACTCATAAAGTTGTTGCAAGGTTTAAATACGTAAATTATTACATGTCCGTGAGATGAGCATGCAAAGTGTTGAGAAGCCTGCACAAAATAAGTGTTCAATAAATGTCAACTAGTAACATTAAGAAACGATGAGAAGTTGTGCAAAGAAAAAAATGTGATGAAACAGAGTTCTCGGGACTCAGGGTAGGGCACCACGACATGGGGTAGTCAAAGAAAGCTTCCTGGAGGAGGTGACATTGGAGCTGAGACTTGACTGATGAAAGTCAGGCTTGTGGGGATCTGGGGGATGGTGTTCCAGGCAGAGGGAACAGCAACTGCAAAGGCCCTGAGGTGGGAATGAGCTTGGCACAGCCAAGGGCTAACAGCATCCACAAAGCCAGCGTGGCCGGAATGGAGTGTGTGCTGAGGAATTGCTAGAAGAGGAGATCAGTGAGGTAGGGCCTGGCACACTATGGGGAGGGGAGCCCATAGCACCCCAGGCCCCCATCATGGAAAACTGGATCTCAGACCCTCCTGGCCTTTGTCCTAATGACACTTTTTAAAAAAGCAAATACATCTCTAGCCTTCACACCAACCAAGAGACAGAAAGTCTGGGAGTGAGTTTGTGCCAAAGTCTAGGAGCGCCTGCCTGATACCTTCTTCCTATCTTCTGCCAGCGAGTTATGGGCAAATTATTACTATTTACTTGATATTACTAGCTGACATTTATCTTCTTTCTGTCTTCTACTGGGACAATGGCTGGTCAGCCTCTGCCTTGGGGAATCCCAGGGAAGGGAATCCTCCCACCTCCACCTCACAGACGCAGCTGGAACCTCTGCACAGGCAAAGGGACAATGTTAAGATCATTCCAGTGTCCTGAAGCTCCTGCAGACCTCAGGATCTGGATCCTGGCTCCTGTACACCAGGGAGGAAAAGAAGAGCCCTGCCTTCTCGAGAACTCTCACTGACAGAGGCATAAGCCGAGGGAGGAACAGAAGAAGCCATTCCCAAGGCCCAGCTTGTGGGCAGAGAGTGACCACCCTGCTACCTACTTTACTCCGAGGCTGCCCTGTCCCTAATAATCCTTCCAGACTCTGGGAGTGTCCATGCCTCCAGGGCTCACAAGAGGTGGGTGGCCAGGATGGAACCAACCTAGGGACTCCCTCTGTGCTCTCTTTCCAACTTCAAGCCCAAATCAGATGGGGACCCAGGCCAGCCCCACTGAAGAAGTGACTGTCGGCTAAAGGGACCACCGGAGGAGATTGTGTGGGCCAGGTGTACCTGTGCCAAGACTAAGATGAGTATATTTGGGAAGAGCAGAAGGAAACAGCGAGTATCTTTAACAACAATCACAAAGTACAATTTCTAACAAACACCCTACTTCCTTCTTTCTATGTATCTATTCATTGCTTGCTGGAGACTAGCAGTCAGAATGAGGCTAGGTCAAGGCATCCATCCCCAGGGGGGCCAGTTTTGCTGGGAGAGCGTGGGTGGCCCAGAGCACCCCTGCCCATGGTGGCCTGGATGACCCCTCATAGGGCAGCATAGTGGTCAATTGTTCATCACTGTGACCCTGAGTGTACATCTTCTATTGAATACAAGATCCTTCCTCCTGTTCTCTGATCGACCCCCATTTGGGTCAGTGGAGACTCAGAGAAGTGAAGCGATTTGCTCAAGGTCACACAGCCCGTGGATGGAAGCTGGTAGGGCAGTGCCTGCCAGGACCACAAGGTCTATTGAGGAATGAGGCTGGGGAGGCCCCTGCTATGTGTCTGGAGGGGATCCTGTGTGCCAGCATCACAGGAAAGGGAGTCCAGAGCCCTTGGGAAAGGGAGTGGGTGCTGAGGCCGTTTCGCTCACCTTTGCGACTCAGAAGGAGTGAGGGTCAGGATGCCACTCCGTAATTAACTGGGCCCAGCACCCCCGGGCCTTGTTCCTTGGGGTCTACTTGGAGGCTCTGGGGGCATCACTTGGGGTCTTGAGCCAGGACCTGTGTCCGGGCAGCAAAGGACTCAGGGAAGAGTGGAGGGCCAAATGGGAGTTGGTGAAGTCTCTGGGGACAGTGGGCTCGTGGCCAGGGTGGAAGAGACACAGGCTGAGAGGGCCGTCCAGTTCAACCCGCTGGTTTTAGGGTCACATAGGACAGAGTGGGGTATAAGAGCATGAGTTCTGAGTCAAACAGACCTGGACCTGAGTCCTGTGTGACTCTGGACAAATGGCTTCATCTCTCTGAGCCTTACCTTCCTCATCTGTAAAATGGGATGATCAATGAACCCTCCAGGGTCTATGGTGAGGAAGAAAGGAGGTGGTGGGTTCAGTTCCTAAGTGCCCACTAATACCTCCTCCTGTTATCAATACTGGCAGTTGCTCTCATTACTACAGGTAACTCGAGTCACAATAGCAGTAACAACTCAAGCTCCTTAGTCCTGGAAGAGGCTTCCTTCCACTGGACCAGTGAGTCTCAGCTGGCTGTGATTTTGCCCCCTGCCAGGGGACTGCTGGCACTGTCTGGCAACATTTTTGGTTGTCACAATTTGGGGGTTGCTACTGGCATCTAGGGGACAGAGGTCAGGGATGCCACTAAACATCCCGCTACAACAAAGAAATATCGAGCCCAAAATGCAATAGTGCGAGATTGAGAAACTCTGCACTAGACCTGTTCTGTCCCGGTGTCACTGGCTCACGGTGGCCAGTGAGCACCTGAGATGCACTCAATCTACGCTGAGATGTGCTGAAGTGTAAAATGTGCACTGGATTACAAAGACTTAGCATGAAAAAAGGAAGGTAAACCATTTCCTTAATAATTTTTATATTGATTGCATGTTGAAATGATAATATTCTAAAATATTGGGTTAAACAAAATATATTATTAAAATTATGCCTGTTGTTTTAACTTTAAAAAAGTGTGGACTACTAGAAGATTTAAAATGCAATTGTGGTTTTGTTGTGGTTCAAACTGGACTTTTCTGGACAGTACTGGTCTAGAGCGCACTGCCCCTCTCTGTGGTGGTGGAGAACCTTAAGTGCCGGTGGGGGTTAGGGTCTTTGTGGTCGTTGAGACAGGACAAGGGGAATCGTCACACTGCTGCCCCCTGCTAGAGGGAGGCTGAGTCCATATCTGCCCCACTCTGTGCCCCTACCCCAGCTGGGCCTCTCTTTGCCAGGATAGAGCGATAGCAGGGCGCCTGAGCAGGAACCCTCCTTTGCTCCCCACCCCCGACTGGGAGGATCATGCCAGCTTTTCAGGCGGCACCAACCATGCCCCAGCAAATAAACAGGTGGGTATGGTGACAGCTGAGGCTTAGAGACCTGAGCACTCTGGCTCCGCGCCCACTCCCTAGCGGTGCCCAGTTCAGGGCTGGGGGTGGGGAAGGCAGGGGAGCTCTTGCACCCCACCAGAGCCTGGACCACCCTCCACTGCTGTGTTCTTGTTCTCAGAGACCACCCAGTCCACCTCTGAGGTTTACATGGGGGACAACTGAAGCCCAGGCCCAGGGGAAGGCAGAGGTTGAGGCCAGGGACAGAGGCATGGAGTGGGTCCCTAGTCCTGGGGCTTGTTGGTATCAGCGTGGCCAGTGCCTCTGCAGCGGTGGCAGGAGACTGGTTGGGCAGGTGGGAGGGCTGCCAGGGCTGTGTGGGGAGACACATGATGGGTTGGTGGGGGCCTGGGAGAGGCAGGGTGCTCCAGGTGTCAGGATGATTTGAGAGCCATAAACCACGATGGTGCCTCCGTGTGAGTTCAGCTTGAGGCAGAGAGGATAGGGGACTCATCCGGTGTCAGCACAGGGTCCCACCTCAGAGTCCTGCATGCTCCCTGCCCCCAGCACTGACCCCTCCAACCCTAGCAATGGGGAGGTTTTAAATGCTTGGAATAGAGGGGGCAGATCAAACCCCAGCATAACCCCACCCTTTCATTCACACCAGCCACACCTTTCCAAGGCCCCGTCCCATTACTCAGGGAGACAGATCATTGGACTTGGCTGCTTTCTGGGATTGCGGGGGGAGTGGTAGGGCCCTACCCTACCTTCAGCTGTCTCGGACATCCCGCACTCTACCAAGTTCTTGGACAGAGAGAAGGGGAGGGAGCAGAACTCTGAATCAGGATCCTTTTCCAACAAAGTACCCCGCTATACACCCCAAGTCCCCGTCGTCAGCTGGGTAGAATATTGTCCCTCTGTGGTCTCAGAATGAAGTCAGGGGAAGGTATCTGGGGACACGGAGCTCAGGGCCAGTGCCTGGGGACAAGCAACCACCAGCAGCCCCCACAGGGCGAAATCGGAGCCTGAGTAACCTCCAGGGCCGGATTCAGCCTCAGGGCAGCTCCCTTCGGGTCCTGCCCCAGTCCCCGGCAAGTCTCCGCGGAAGCTCCGCTGAACTGGGAGTGGGAAGCAGGAGAGGGGCTGGGTTGAGGTGGGTCCGAGGGGAAGTGAGGTGCGGAGGGGAAGTGAAAGGGGAGAGGACGGCAGGGAAGCTGAAGGGGTGTGAGGTCCCCCGGGAGGAGAACTGGAGAGGGCCAGACGGAGGGTTACGGGTGAAAGGGAGGGTCTGTGAGGGAGCTGGGGCTGAGGCTGTGTTAGGGGGTCTGGGAGAGTCTCAGGGTTTCTGGAAGGTGGACACAAGGTTCGGGGGTTGTCAGGTTTCTGGATGAGATTCTTAGGATTTCTGGGCTCGGGGGCTCGGGATGAGGGACAACTCGGGCTGGACAAAGGCTGTCCACGTCCCCGAGTCTGAGCGCGTCTCAGGATTTCTGGGCTCGAGATCTCGGCCCGGGCATCACGGTGGGCCGGCTCACCTGTAGACATCGGTCCAGAGGTAGGTGCCCAGCACGTACACCGCCTCCACGCGGCTCCCGTACTGCAGCCGCACGGTCCGCTCGCGCAGCATCCTCCCCGCCGCAGTGCCCGCGCTCGCTGGTCCGGGGCGGCCGGGAGCACCTGCAGCAGGTGCGCCTTCTCCAGCAGCCTGCGCCCCACGGCCCCGCGCGCAGCCTTATCCAGCGGCCGGTGGGCGGGGCGGCCCGCCCCAGTCCTCTCGCAGTGGGCTGCGGGCCTGTCCGTCAAGCGTGGTCCCGCCCCTAACTCGTCCCGCCCCGCTGAGGTCGTGGCGAAGTCATCAGGGACCAGTTTTGTGCTTTCCATGGTTGGATTGTCATTCTTTCATTCGACAAACCTTCGGTGGGCGCCCAGGTGTTGGAGGGCCCTAGCTCCCCTCCGGACGCCCCAGCCCAGTGGGGCTGAAAATGCAAATGTGGGAACACAAAGAGGGTGCCCTAACCCAGCCTGGGGGCCAGGAAGCCTTCCCAGAGAAGACGATCCTGGAACCTTCTTAAAGGAGGCGTTTGCAAATTAAAGGCGAGGAGAGGGAGCTGCCTGTGCAAAGCCGGGTGCAGCCCGGTACCCCCATCCCCCAACAGTCAGATGAACCTCACCATAGAGAAAACGGGAAGCGGTGGGGATGGGGAACCCGGCAGCTGAGGGAGACCAGGACGCCAAGCCAAGGCATTGGAGGGTGGGAGATGGGAGCCTGGAGTGGTTGTCTCCGCGAGCCGTGGTCGGGTGTGCTCGTGAAATGGGTCATTCTGGGCTGGGGAGGGGCAAGGAAGCCCCTGGCTGTGGCCAGAGCTGGAGAGGTGGGGACTGACCCGGCCACTGCTTAGGGACTGGGATTTTGGTGGCACCTGGTGACTGATAGGATGTGTGGGTGGAGGGAGAGGAGAGGGGTAAGGATTAGGGCCCCGGTTCTGGCCTGGGCCACCAAGGGAAGGGGGGTGCCACCCAGAGGTCATCGTGTGTCTCACAGAGGCTGAGATGTAGGATGACAATCAGTGTGGGCCTCGGCCAGCCCCTCCCATGTCCCAGCCCTTCCCCTGGGACCCAGTGGGAGTGCTGTTCAGACACATACATCAGCCCTGTGTGAGGAAGTGGTCTTTGGTAGGTGAGGACAGAAACTGAGGGGGGGTGGGCAGAGGCCGTGGGAGGGAAGGAGTGGGGCGGAGGGGATGTGTGTTTGGGAAGGAGTTAGAGCTGATGGAAGATGGAGCTCCAGGAACGGGTGCCCCCAGACAAGAGGGGTGAGGCCCACAAGTGCCCAGTGCTGATATACCCAGCCCTTGGACTCCAACCTTCTCCCTGAGGCGGCCCAAATTAGGAGGTGGTGAAGAGCCCAGCTGCTTCTGAGTGGCAGGGATTTGGGAGGAATGTGAGTGGGGAAGAGGGAAGGCCCGAGTTTTAGCCAGGAGGTCATTTGTCCCCCAAAGGCACAGCTCACAGACCCAGGGAGAGGCCAGTAACTGTTTTTTTTTTTTTTTTTTGAGACAGAGTTTTCCTCTTGTTACCCAGGCTGGAGTACAATGGCGCCATCTCAGCTCATTGCAACCTCCGCCTCCCAGGTTTAATTGATTCTCCTGCCTCAGCCTCCCAAGTAGCTGGGATTACAGGCAGGCACCACCACACCCAGCTAATTTTGTATTTTTAGTAGAGACGGGGTTTCTCCATGTTGGCCAGGCTGGTTTTGAACTCCTGATCTCAGGTGATCTACCTGCCTCGGCCTCCCAAAGTGCTAGGATTACAGGCGTGAGCCACAGCGCCCGGCCGAGGCCAGTAACTTCTGATGAACTCCAGGCACCCGGCTGAGCACATCCTCCAATCAGGAGGAATCTCTCGGGTGGCCACCTGCCAAACTGGGACAAAACTTGTGTAGCTTGGAGAGACTTCGAGGCGCCCCCAGAGGTGAGCTCGTGTCTGGGCACCCCTCTGCCACGAGTGACTTTGGAGCCCTTACTGTGTGACAGATAACGGGCACCCACCAGGGTTCTCACCTTCCTGGGGCTCTAACTTTCATTTGACTCATGGGGAGACTGGGGCCAGAGTGGGGGAGGACACTGTACCCCCCACTGACGGAGACCCCGGGCAGCTCATAACAGGACACTGGGCAAGATAGTGATAACATCAGACCGCAATACCCAGGGGAGCTGGAGTAAGAGCGGGCACTTACTGCTTTCTTTCTGTGGGTCAGGCACTGTTCCAAGCGGCTCTTTTCATGTATTAGAGTTAGATCACTGAACCCTCCCAGTAACTCCGCCACTTTACAGATGAAGAAAGTGAGCTGTGAGGAGGTGGGGGAATTGACTCTGGGTTGCAGAGCTCCTAAGAGTGGCAGAGGGAGGAGCTTGCAGGGCCACTGGGGTGGAGGCAGGGGGCAAGGCCGAGTGAGGGCAGGGGCAGAATGCTGTCCATGCTTTGTAGATAAGGAAGTCGCAGTTCTAGGCCCAGCTCTGCTTTTGTGCCGCCTTGGGCCAGGTACCCTGCCATTCGGAGCCCCATTTTCTGCCTCTGTGAAGTAACTGATCCCTCAGCACGGTGTAAGGACGGTATTAAACGAGACAACAAGGTGCAGAAAATACTAGCACAGAGCCTGGCACAAGGCTCAAGAAATGAAGCCCCCTCCCCTTAAAAACCCAATTCAGACCTGGCCACCCACACTCAGGACTCCTGCCCGGGCTCAGGCCATCATGTTGGGCCCAGAGCCTGGTTGATGAGACAGGAGTTTCCTGGTGCCCAGAGGTTTAAAATAGCTGAAGTAGTCACAGCTGTTGGTGGATTCAGGGCCGGAGGTCGCATGCATCACGGCTGCTCCCACCTCTCCCCTGGGATCCGGAAGAGCCACAAAGCATCTCACGGTGTCTTTTGGGGACTTAGCTTAGGCCAGTTCCTGGCACAGACCCGCACCCACCCCTCCAGCAAGCGCCCCTGCCAAGCCTGTGGGCAGGGTGCCTGGGCTAAGAGGGGCTCTTCTGAGCTGTTTTCTGTTAGGTTCCTCCACTGGGTGTGGGGTCTCCGGGCCAGGCCTTGGGGGAACCAGGGAGGCCACTCAAACTTCGACAAGCCTGCTTTGAGGAAACAGACAGCTTACTGAGAGCACTATACATACAATAATTTAAAAAGAAAGAAAAAAATGCACAAGTATTACCTGGTCATTGTGGAAAAGTTAAAAAAAATATGATCACCCATGACCCTAGTACCAGAGATCAGTCTGAATCTATGAGTATGATCTGGCCGGGCTGCCCACAGGCTGCTGTGGGGCAGCACACTTCCTGAGCCCTTGCGCCATGCCAGGAGCTGTTCAGAGCCCATTCACACACACATCTCAGCCTGTTTAATCCTCACGACAGCCCTGTGAGGTGAGAGCTATTATTATCTTCCATCTGCACAGAGGCACCAACCAGCCTGCAGTGAAGAGCATGGACTTTGGTCTTGGTGGACCTGGGGTCAAGTCTGGCTCTGCCCCTCACTAGCTGGGGGCCTCTCTGGGCCTCAGTTTCTTCTTCTATAAAGGAGATACTAGGAATTGTTATAAGGAACAAGGAATAACAAGATGATATCCAGTAAGGTACTGCACATCGTGGCCTGGCACAGACCCAAGTTCCAGTAGACGGTAGTTATTTCCTATGCGTATATAGTTATTTTAAGTTTTTGTAAACATGGGCTTCTGACTACATGCTGTTTGATAACATACTTCAAAGCTTCCACAATGTGAGAGGCTGGGCTGGCTGTGGCCAGGTCACACAGAGCATTGTAAGTCGTGGAAAAGGCTTTGGGGCTTTATCTTTATGGGGTCATGGGGGAAGCCTGGGAAGGACTTTGGAAGGTGTCAACGGCACGATGTACACTTTAGGAAAATCACTCTGGCTGCTGTAGGCAGCTAAATTTGACAGGAATTCTGGCAGGAGACCAGAGAAAGGAAGAGGTCGGGGTCTGGGCCATGGATCCCCAAAGCAATCCTTCTGTGGCCAGGGATCGCCCCAACCCCTGACTCTGCACCATGGGGACCTGCAGTCATACCCTCAAGAGCAGATCCCCATAACCCTGGCCCTGCCTGGCCCCGTCACATTCCCTTTCCCCTGGCAAAGCCCACCCTTTGGTCTCACTCCCTTGAGAAGAGTCTCTGGGATGGGGGCGTTGATTCAGCCTCTGCCTCAGCTCTCGGTCCTGAGAGACATCGTGCTCAGAGGCGGGGAAGGGCTGGGGTGCTCCATTGTTCTAATACTGCGTGAGTTCAGAATGAGGAAGTCATGTCTCTTCTGCGTGCTGCTGTGGCTGTACCCCACTCGGGGGTACATTTATATATGCAGAGAGAGAGATTTATTTTAAGAAATTGGCTCACATGGTTGTGGGGGCTGACAAGCCTGAAATTTGTAGAGCTGGCCAGTCAGAAATGGGAGAAGAATTGATGTTGCGGTCTTGAGTCTGAAATCTACAGGTTGGAAACAGCACGGTTTCTATGTTGCATTCTGGAGGCTGAATTGCCTCCTCTTTGGGAAACCTCAGTCTTTGTTGTTAAGGCCTTCAACTGATTGGATGAGGCCCACCCACATTTTGGAGTGCAATCTACTTTACTCAAAGTCTACTGATTTAAACGTTGATCACATCTGAAAAATATCTTCACAGCAACATCCAGACTGATGTTTGACTGGATGATGGGGTGCCATAGCCTGGCCAAATCGACACAGAAAATTAACCATCACCATGCTGAAAGATGGGCTAAGGCTTTCATTCATTAGGTCACCATTTATGGAGCATTTATTCCCTGCCAGGCACCTGCGCTAAGCACTGTGTGTATGTTATCCCATTGAATCCTTGCTACAACCCCAGAAGTAAGTATTTTTCTTACCCTTATTTTATACATCCAAGGGTAAGATGACTTGTCCGGGCCAGGGTTCTACCCTTAGTCAGTGAAGCAAAGCTAGAAAGGTGAATTCTGGAGAAGATGTAATAAGCCAGTTGTCTGAGGGGCTGCCAGGGGGCCAGAGTAAGCCTGGGAGGTCCTAGACCCATGCTTTCCAACATGTAGCCACTGCCAGACAAGGTTTATGTGGCTAATCTGAACTGACACATGCTGTAGGTGTAAAACAGTGGTCCCCAACCTTTTTGGCACCAGGGACCTGTTTTGTGGAAGACAGGCTTTCCATGGATGGGGGTGGGGATGGTTTCGGGATGATTCAAGCGCATTACATTTCTTGTGCACTTTATTTCTATCATCACATTGTAATACATAAGGAAACAATTTTACAATTCACCGTAATGTAGAATCAGTGGGGGCCCTGAGCTTGTTTTCCTGCAACTAGATGGTCCCATCTGGGGGTGATGGGAGACAGTGACAGGTCATCAGGCATTAGATTCTCATCAGGAGCTCACAGCCTAGATCTCTCACCTGCGCAGTTCACAATAGCATTTGTGCTCCTATGGGAATCTAAAGACAAAACTTCCCTTGCTAGCCCAATGCTCACCTCCTGCGGTGTGCCTGGTTCCCAACAGACCACAGACTGGTAATGGTCCATAGCCTGGGGGTTGGGGACCCCTGGTGTAAAATACAGATTTCAAGGAGTTACAAGGAGAAAAAGATGGTAATTTTAAAAATAATTGACTCCATGTTGGAATGATAATATGGTGAATGTATTTCATTAAATGCAAATGTATTATTAGCTGGATGTGGTGGCTCAAGCCTGTAATCCCAACACTTTGGGAGGCTGAGGAGGGAGGATCACTAACATTCAGGAGTTTGAGATGAGCCTGGGCAACATAGCAAGACCCTGTCTCTACAAAAAAATTTAAAAATTAGCCAGGCATGGTGATGCACCCCCTGTACTCCCAGCTACTTGGGAGGCCAAGGTTGGGGGAATCTCTTGAGCCCACGAGGTTGAGGCTGCAAGTGAGCAGTGACCGTGCCACTGCATGCCAGCTGGGGCGACAGAGCAAGACTCTGTCTCAAACAAACAAACATCAAAAAGCCCAAAGACGTATTGTTAAAGTTAATTGTACCTATTTATTTCAGCTTTTAAAAATGTGGCTACTAGAAAATGTGGTTACCTGTGAGGCACACATTTGTGGTTGCCATCATTTTTATTTTTCTTTCTTCCTTTTTTTTTTTTTTTTTTTTGAGACAGAGTCTTGCCCTGTCACCCAGGCTGGAATGCAGTGGCATGAGCTTTTCTCACTGCAACCTCCGCCTCCTGGGTTTAAGTGATTCTCATGCCTCAGCCTCTGGAGTAGCTGGGACCACAGGCACGCGCCACCATGCCCGGCTGATTTTTGTATTTTTAGTAGAGACAGGGTTTCACCATGTTGGCCAGGCTGGTCTCGAACTCCTGACCTCAAGTAATCTGCCCACCTCGGCCTTCCAAAGTGCTGGGATTACAGGCGTGAGCCACTACGCCCGGCTGGTTTGCATCATTTTTCTATGGGTGGTGCAGATCCAGACGCCTCTAAATGGTTAGGCAGGGACTTGTTCATGATTTTTCTGGGTCGAGCCTGGGTACAGCTGGGCACAGTAGATAAATATTTGGTGAAGAGAGTGGAATTGCTTCAGAGTTCCCAGAGGGCAGCAGTGGGGTTAATAGCAAGAGTTAAAACAGGGAACACGCGAAGGCCGCAAGAGGCGGAGACCACAAGGTGGCGCCAGATCCCCATCTTGGAAGCAGGGAGGCGGCGCTGGCCGGCCTGAGCCCGAGAGATCAGAATGCCTCCGCCTCTGTCCCACCCTGCTCAGCACCTTCCTTTAGCTTTTGGGACCCTCTTTTTCCTGGTGGTTTGGGTCAGAATTCAGGGGCCACCTTTGTGTGAGGTCAGTGGCAGGTCCCTTAGAGTGGGAACTTCTCGCTGGACAAAGGGGCGACTGAAGCTCAGAGAAGGATGAGAGGGGCCCAGAGAGGGGCAGTGACCGGCCGAAGGGCGCAGAGCCAGTTGGTAAAAGAGGGAGGTCTTTTGTGTCTCATCCTTCAGGCCTGTCCTGTTACCTCAGTGCCTTTGTCCTGTGAGCCTGGGTCGTTGATTCGTTTTAAAAATCACTTGATAAACAAATCACAGAGTCAGGTGCTGTGCGGGTGGGAGTGGGGACACAGGTCCATCCTTATGAGCAACCTAGCAGGAGCAAAAAACATGCACGGATGCTCACAAACACATGCACACACACAACATGCACACACGCACATACACGTGCACACACACACGCACGCATGCACACACATGCACACACACACACCCTTGTGTAGGAAGAACATCACGCAGTCATTTACAACCACATTGGAAGAAGGCGCTATAATCATTTCTGCCATACCCCATGATGTGGTCACATTTTCCATCTCGAGAATCAGTCCACCTGGATTGACATCCTAGCCCTTCCTGGCTTAGGAGACCTTGGACAAGTCATCTCACTTGAGTCTCAGTTTTCTCATCTGTGAAATGGGGGTTAATCATGGCACCTCCTTCCCAGGTGGTTGTGAGGTTTAAACAAGATAATGGGCTGGGCGCAGTGGCTCACGCCTGTAATCCCAGCACTTTGGGAGGCCGAGGTGGGCGGATCATGAGGTGAGGAGATCGAGACCATCCTGGCTAACACGGTGAAACCCCGTCTCTACTAAAAATACAAAAAAAAATTAGCTGAGCGTGGTGGCGGGCGCCGGTAGTCCCAGCTACTAGGGAGGCTGAGGCAGGAGAATGGTGTGAACCCGGGAGCCTGCAGTGAGCCAAGATCATGCCACTGCACTCCAGCCTGGGCAACAGAGCGAGACTCTGTCTCAAAAAAAAAAAAAAAAAAGATAGTAGGCTGGGTACGGTGGCTTATGTCTGTAATCTCACTATTTTGGGAGGTCGAGGCGGAGGCAGGCAGATCGCTTGAGCTCAGGAGTTGGAGGCCAGCGTGGGCAATATGGTGAAACCCCGTCTCTACCAAAAATGCAAAAAAATTAACCAGGCGTGTTGGCGTGTGCCTGTGGTCCCAGCTACTCCGGAGGCTGAGGTGGGAAGATTGCTTGAGCCTGGGAGGTAGAGGTTGCAGTGAGCCGAGGTCGGCCACTGCACTCCAGCCTGGGTGACAGAGTGAGACCCTGTCTCAAAAAAAAAAAAAAAAAGGATCTCCTTTGGTTTTCAAAAATTATTATTCCACTTACTGTCATTTCAAATTCAACAATCCCACTTTAGCTTTGAGTTCAAGTTAAAAATCTTCTCTTAAGGACAAATTCCACTTTTTTCTTTTATTTGCTAGAGATGGGGTCTCACTATGTTGCCCAGGCTGGTCTTGAACTCCTAGGCTCAAGCAATCCTCCCACCTCAGCCTCCCAAAGTGCTGGGATTACAGGCATGAGCCACTGTGCCTGGCCTATATGATTCCACTTCAATGAGGTACCTACAATAGTCAGATTCACAGGGACAGAAAGTAGAAAGGAGGTTGCCCTGGGGGCTGAAGAGAGAGGGGAATGGCAAATTGTCGTTTAGTGGGCGTAGAATTCTAGTTTTGCAAGATGAAAAGAGTCTTGGAGATTGGCTGCATTTAACAATGTGAACGTACCTAACACTCTGCTGAACTGAACACTTACAAATAGCTTACATGGCACATTGTATGGTATGTATATTTTACCACGATTAAAAATTTAAGAAAAAATTTAGGAAAAGTATTCTTTTAAAATATAACAACTTTAGTGGGCCAGGCATGGTGGCTCATGCCTGTAATCCCAGCAGTTTGGGAGGCCGAGGCAGGTGGATCACCTGAGGTCAGGAGTTCAAGACCAGCCTGGCCAATATGGTGAAACTCTGTCTCTACTAAAAATACAAAAATTAGCTGGGCATGGTGGCGCATGACTGTAATCCCAGCTACTTGGGAGGCTGAGGCAGGAGAGTCACTTGAATCCGGGAGGCAGAGGTTTCAGTGAGCGGAGATTGCACCACTGCACTCCAGCCTGGGCGACAGAGCGAGACTCTGTCTCAAAAAGAAAAAAAAACTTTAAAAATTATTATAAAATTATTAAAATGATACAACTGAATATTTGGTTCCATTGACAATCTTGGCTAATTAAACATGCATGAAAATATAATTTAAAATCTGTCAGAACCCCCGACACACTTCAGCCTTGAGAGAGCTGTGACTGGGATCTGAGTCATGTGCCTTTTATTCCTCAGATTGTAGATTAACTCACTTTCTTATTTTTCTTATTCTGTACAATGACCAGAGAGAATTAAAGAACAGCAGGGACAAAACCCTCCTGCCTTCTTAATTAATGACCCTGTGACTCATCTACTTCCCCTTTGTTGTCCTGCTCTGCGTAGAACAGATGACAGGAAACGCATAGCTATCATACCCTTCACAAAAAATGTGAAATATGCCCTCCGCCAAAAGAAACACTGCCCATAACCAGTCAAATGGCTGTAACTATGCGCCAGCCTAGTATGAAAAATGTTGTTATCTGGCTAAAAATTCCTCTGTCCCTGCCTCTATAAATGAAAACTTCACTTCCCTACTTCGGAATGCTGAGTTCATTACTTTGGAGTTGAGGTTTCTGGGTGGCCGTTCTCAAATCTTGTGCTTGAATAAACTCTATTTTATTTTACTTTGGTGTATTTTACATTTTTTTTTATTATTATTTTTTGAGACAGGGTCTCGCTCTGTTGCCCAGGCTGGAGTGCAGTGGCACAATCACAGTTCACTGCAGCCTCAACCTTCTGGGCTCAAGTGATCCTCCCACCTCAGCCTCAGTAGCTGGGACTACAGGTGTGGGCCACCACACATGGCTGATTTTTAAAATTTTTTGTAGAGACGGTGTCCCACTACGTTGCCCAGGCTGGTCTCGAAGTCCTGGACTCAAGGGATCCACACAGCTTCCCAAAGTGCTGGAATTATTGGCGTGAGCCACTGTGCCTGGCCTAAACTCTTTTTAAATTAGACTCTGACGCTCCTGGTTATTTCAGGTTGACACACAGTTAAACATTTTTAACTGCATGTATAGATTTAACATATTCAATTTCTTTTAAAAATACTTCAGTTGCCTTAATAACAAACACAACTTTCTCAAGCACTTAAATTATTCTTAGAAATCTGGTAACTTATGCTTATCATGAATTCAAATTTTTATAACTTTTTAACACTTCTGTCAAGCATAGTAAAATTTCAACTTAAAATATCACAAGTCTAAATCAATCAATGATTCATTTGTGCATTTTACTTTATTTTTGAGACGGAGTCTTGCTCTGTCGCCCAGACTGGAGTGCAGTGGCATGATCTCGTCTCATTGCAACCTCCATCTCCCAGATTCAAGCGATTCTCCTTTGTCAGCCTCCCAAGTAGCTGGGATTACAGGCATCCACTACCACGCCTGGCTAATTTTTGTATTTTTAGTAGAGACAGGATTTCACCATGTTGGCCAGGCTGGTCTCCAACTCCTGACTTCAGGCGATACGCCCACCTCGGCCTCCCAAAGTGCTGGGATTATAGGCGTGAGCCACTGTGCCCGGCCTCATTTGTGTATTTAAATTAAAACCTTAAGACTGACTTTTTATTCACACAGACTGGGGTGTGCAATCTTTTGGCTTCCCTGGGCCACGCTGGAAGGAGAAGAATTGTCTTGGGCCACACATAAAATACACTAACACTAATGATAGCTGATGAGCTAAAAAAAAAAAAAAAAAAAAAAAAGAATTGAAAAAAAATCTCTTAATGTTTTAAGAAAGTTTACGAATTTGTGTTGGGCCGCATTTAAAGCTACAGCTGCATTCAAAGCCACTGGCCAAGGGTTGGACAAGCTTAACATAGCCCATATTCTCTTAAATATTAAAAATATTTCAAATTCCAAAGTTGAAATTGTTTGATTCTCTGAAACATTTCTTTGCTCAATTCTTGTCAAGCTTAAAAAATGAGAGCCTACTAAGGCAATGATGTTGTCACACCAAGAAAATTTCGAGCTTAGTTTTCCAACCCATTTTTGGGGTTCCTACCTCCTCTAAGATTCCTTAATGTCCACGGAAACTTCAGGCTTGGATGGAGGTTTTGTCCAAGGTCTTGATAGGACACAAGTCCTATTGTTAGTCATTTAAACAGGATTTCCCATAACCTAAAAAGGGTGGTGGCATAGTCTGTGTCCCCAGGGTTCAGCATATGCATTTCCTATTTCTTAAGTCAGATCTGGGGCTAAGTAATACCCTCCCAGGTAGCTTCACCACTTGTTTGGTTTCAATTGGTGTTTTAGTCCACTTTGCATTATAAGGAATGCCTGAGGCTGGGTAATTGATAAGGAAAAGAGGTTTATTCAGCTCATAGTCCTGCAAGCTGTATAAGAAGCGTAATGCCTGGATGACCCAGCCTTGGCAAAATACTAAAAGCAAGAAAAAAATAAAAATGAAAAGAAGCATTGGCAGGGTGCAGTGGCTCACGCCTGTAGTCCCAGCACTTTGGGAGGCCGAGGTGGGTGGATCACCTGAGGTCGGGAGTTTGAGAGCAGCCTGGCCAACATGGTGAAACCCCATCTCTACTAAAAATACAAAAATTAGCCAGGTGTGGTGGTGGGTGCCTGTAATTCCAGCTACTCAGGAGTCTGAGGCAGGAGAATTGCTTGAACCTGGGAGGTGGAGGTTGCAGTGAGCCGAGATTGTGCCACTGCTCTCCAGCCTGGGTGACAGAGTGAGACTCCGTCTCAAAAAAAAAAAAAAAAGACAAAAAGAAATATGGCGCTGGGATGGAGCCCCAGAAGACAGACTCTACTAAGGCAATGGTGAGGGGAAATGTGGGGTTGGAGCCCCCACAGAGAGTACCCACAAGGGCACTGCCTAGCACAGCTGGGAGAATGGGGCCACTGCCCTCCAGACTCCAGAATGGTAGAGCCACTGGCAGCTTGCACCCTCAGCCTGGAAAAGCTCAACTCCAACCTGTGATAGCAGCTACGTGGGCTGTGCCCACCCAGCAAAGCCATGGGGCTGGGGCTGCCCAAGGCCTTGTGAGCCCACTCCTTGTGGCAGAGTGCCCTGGATGTAGGATATGGAGTCAAGGGGATTATTTTGGAGTTTTAAGATTTAATGTCTGCCTTGCTGGGTTTTGGACTTGTATGTGGCCGTTCCCCTTTCTTTTTTTTTTTTTTTTTGAGATGGAGTTTCGCTCTTTTTGCCCATGCTGGAGTGCAGTGGCACAATCTTGGCTCACTGCAACCTCCACCTCCTGGGTTCAAGCAATTCTCCTACCTCAGCCTCCTGAGCAGCTGGGATTACAGGCATGCGCCACCATGCCCGGCTAATTTTTGAATTTTTTTTTTTTAGTAGAGACGGGGTTTCTCCATGTTGGTCAGGCTGGTCTCGAACTCCTGACCTCAGGTGATCTGCCCGCCTTGGCCTCCCAAAGTGGCCTGTTCCCCTCTGTTTTCGCCACGTTTTGCCTTTTGGAATGGGAATCTTTACCCAATGCAAGTACCACATTGTATCTTAGAAGTAAATAACTTGGTTTTCATTTTATAGGATCATAGGTGGTAGAAACTTGCCTTGTGTCTTAGATGGAACTTTGGACTTTTGAGTTGGCAGTAGAACAAGTTAAGACTTTTGGGAACTATTGGGAAGGGGTGATTGTATTTTGCAATATAAGAAGGACATGAGATTTGGGGTCCAGGGGCACAATGATCCAGTTTGAATATTTGTTCCTTCCAAATCTCATGTGGAAATGCGATCCCCAGTGTTGGAAGTGGGGGCTAGTGGGAGGTGTTTGGGTCATGGGGACAGATCCCTTATGAAGGGATTTGTGCCCTCCTTGTGGTCATGAGTAGTTCTCACTCTATTGCCATGTGACATGCCCGCTCCCATTCGCCTTCTGCCATGATTGGAAGCTTCTTGATTCTGCCATGATTAGAAGTTTCTTGAAGCCCTCACCAGAAGCATGGCGCCAGCAGATGGTTTTACTGCTTGATTCTATTCTGGATTCTGTTCAAAGACTTTTTATCTCTTGGGGACCACTCTGCTACAGGTATTTAAATGACATCCAATGGAATCTCCTCACTTTGGTTCCTGGGGACATTTCTAAGGTTTTTATGGGGACAGTGAGTCACAGCTTAAGCAACCAGGACTCAGCTAAAGAAATTGGGTGGTGCACACCTGTGCTGTAGGCCCACCTACCCTGGAGGCTGAGGCAGGAGGATTGCTTGAGCCCAGGAGATCGACGCTGTAGTGAGTTATGATCACACCACTGCATTCCAGCCTGGGTGACAGAGACCCTGTCTCAAAAAAAAGAAAAAAAAGAAAAGAAGGGCTTGGTGCCCTCCTCGTGGTAATGAGTGAGTTCCACACTCTTTACTGATAATGAGCTGGGGGAGTGGAGGTGGACTCCGGGGTGGGGGCCTCTTTTCCATTCAGGTTTTGGCTTCTCTGGCCACTCCTTCACTCTCTAGCCTCGATTATTTTCCTCAGACTATGTCACCAGCTGAAAATATCTTATGTAGGCAAAGAAAAACATGAGGCACCCAGTTACATCTGAATTTCAGGTAAACACCAAATAATTTTTCCAGGTTCAAAATATTGCATGGGACATTCATCGTTTCTTCAAGATGCACATTTGACTGAGCTCTCTGTTGTTTATCTGGCAACCTTACTTATGTCAATGATTGCCTGTTCCACATTCTCCCCAAATACCCCATAAGCCCACGAGGGTTCAGTCTGTCTCTGTCATGTTCATTGCTATGTTCTTGGTGCCCTGTGAAGGACCCAGCTCATGGTAGGTACTCTGTGAATGAATGAATGATTTCAGAACCTGAGAGAGGTCCCTGTTTAGCAGCTGGTGCAGAGGGAGTGCTACAGGGAGGCAGGTTTAGGCTCTTCCCAAGGTCAGGGATGTGACTGAGAAGCCAGCTGCCTCTGGAGGGCATGTGTCCCCCTGGGGCATTTCTGGCTCAGACTGGTCCTCCCTTTTTGGGGGGGTTGTCCTTGGCGATCTATGAAGACATCAGAGTGAGTCTTTACTGAGTTCAACACTGAATTTTCTTCTTGAGGCTGCCTGGGCTCTGACTGGGTTTTACCCCATAGAGGTACAACCTGGACACATTTGTTGAGTTGGTTTTTCCAGTGTCTTACTGTGTGTGGTTGGGACCAGTGCAGACCCTGGCCCGGGAGGCTCTGCGGTGCCTCTGAGCCCTGACACTCTGTCTGCCCCACCGTCCTGAGGTTGAGATGGCCCCACAGCCAAGTGGAGTGCGTCCCTGAGTCCTGTGGAATCCCAGTGCCCACTCAGGGCATGGCTTCTGGAGGTCCAAGAGAGGACACAAAGGTCACACAGGTGGGCTGCAGAAATGTGTCCTCCCTTGGCATCAGGAGGGCGACCTCCTGCCCTCACAGGCTCTCACGGGCTCCAAGCAGGGGCCCCGGGGTCTCCTGTGGGGCTGAGCTGCATGGAGTCACCTTTTGTTGACTGAAATAAAGAAACTGAGGCAAAATTAATATAGAGAGTTTATTTGGGCCAAGGTTGAGGACAGCAGCCCAGGACACACTTCTTTTTTTTTTTTTTTTTAGATGAAGTCTTGCTCTGTCACCCAGGCTGGAGTGCAGTGGCACGATCTCCGCTCACTGCAAGCTCTGCCTCCTGGGTTCATGCCATTCTCCTGCCTCAGCCTCCCGAGTAGCTGGGACTATAGGCACCCACGACCATGCCCGGCTAATTTTTTTTTGTATTTTTAGTAGAGACGGGGTTTCACCGTGTTAGCCAGGATGGTCTCGATCTCCTGACCTCGCGATACACCCGCCTCAGCCTCCCAAAGTGCTGGGATTACAGGTGTGAGCCACTGCACCCGGCCACCCAGGACACACTTCTAAGATGCCTTGGGGAGTGCTCCGTCCAGCCTTCATTACGAGCAGGTTTTTGAAGCAGATACAGTTGTTTGACAGGCATTCTCACTGGGTTGCAGAGATGACATTGAGCTGTGATTGGCTGTGCATTGTTGAATGATAGGGTATGAAGTATGGTGTCCAGATGGCATTTTATGGCTGCCTGGTGTCAGTCAGTCCACATAGCAAGTGGCTTCAAGAAGTCATTATTTAGCTCAAGGCAGGAGAGAGACATGGCTGCTGTCACATTTCAGTGCCTCTCTGGGCCTGATCGTTTAAAGGGGCTCACATTCCTCAGATACAAAATTTCTCTTTTTTCTCACCTTGCTCCCCAGCCAGGGCTTGCGGTGGATGCCTGGCCTGCAGCTGAGGACTGGCAGCAAGGCCTGGATTCCCAGAGGTCCTGTGAGGGGTCAGAGCCTCAACCTCAGCCTTGATGGAGCTGACTGCGTGCACAGATGTGCCGACACTCTCACCCGGCCCAGACACACATGTATGCATGCACACACACACACACACACCCCTTGGGGGCTACCTACACAACACCTGTGCACACACGCCCACACACCTGTGCACCCCCACATGCACACACACACATCCCTACCTACCCACACACCTGTGCACCCCCGCATGCACACACACATATGCACACACCCCTACCTACCCACACAACACCTGTGCACACACACTTACACACCTCTGTACCCCCCACATGTACACACACTCTCACACATACACACATCCCTACCTACCCACACACCTGTGCACACACACACCCATACACCTGAGCACCCCCGCATGCGCACGCGCACACACACACTCCTATCTACCCACACACCTGTGCACTCACCCACACGCCATGCACCCACATGCACACACAGATGCACACGCACACACACACTCCTACACCTACTCATAGAACATCTCTTTGCACAGCCACACACCTGTGCAGCCCCACCCACATGCACATACACACACACAGCCCCCTACACCTACTCACAGAACACCTGTGCACACACTCACACACCCATGCACCTCCTCCATGCACACACAATCTCTTCCTCCATCCTTCCCAACCCCCCGCCCACCCCCACACAATTCCCACACACAGCATGTCCTGCCTCAAGCCTGTTGAGCTCCAGGAAGTATGAGCTCCTGGTGGCCTCCCTGACATACTCTTTGTGGCCTTTCTCCAGCACCTTGTGCTGGTTCTCAATGGCCTTTAGCTCAAAATAGTCTATGTGCCGAAGAGACATATTTTGGGGTGGCTAGCACCCCTCTAGGAGAGCTTGCCTCCCCTATGGCATGAGCGAGGAAATGATCCTTTTCCTCCACCCACCTTAGGCTTTCTGGCTGGGGCCCCATAAGGGAGACTCGAAAAAGACAGATGAACAAGAGAAAAACAAACCGAAGTTCATTAATAAGTGCATTGTGTATACACATGAGAGCACCCAGCGATCAGTAACCAAAGGGGTGGGTGGGACTGGGGTTTAAATATCAACAAAGGAAAAGGGGTTTTGAGTTTCTGGGCTGGGGAGGGCTGTTCTGGGAAGGGGTCAGGAGGAGATGTAGGTAAATAAGAGTTATCTTGTTCTGCAGAGAAAAGCCTCAGGTGACAGCAGGGCTCCCCAGGAGCAGCTCTCTCCCACGTATGAGACATCTTTACACGTGGAAATTTCCCTTACAAAAGGGTCTATTTGTACAGCTGCTCCATGACTTATGATGGTGCCTTTTCGACTTACAATATTTTCCATTTATGATGGGTTTATTCTGAGTTAACCCATTGTAAGTCCAGGAGTGTACTGAATGCAACATCACAGCCGAAAAACCCCAAATTGGACCATGGTAAGTTGGGGATTGTCTGCACTCAATTTTTAGGCAGTTAGGAGGAGATAAGGAGCTTTTCCTGTGGTGGCTGGTTCTCAACGGCCTTTAGCTCAAAATAATCCATGTGCCAAAGTGGCCTATTTTAGGGTGGCTGGTACCCTTTGCCAGCAAGCTGAAGAGCCAGGGTGCAGACTAGGCTTTCCGCTCCAGAATCTGTGCCCCAGATGTTCCACTAAGCTGCCAGCGGTAGCCCCATACAATCCGCATACAACACCAACACACGCATGAAATATACACGAGAGGGGTGCATCCCCATCAAGGTCCTCATGCACACACAGGCACGCCTATGCACGCATACCTCACTCTCCTCCTCCCAGTCCCCCTGCATCCACCCATCCTCACACAGGTGCATACACCCACACACCTAGTATGCATAGGCACAGATATACGCACACACGCGCACGTGCTCACTCTCCCAGTCTCCCACGCACAGGCAGAGTCACGTTCTTTGTGCCTGGAAAGGAAGCTGAGTCTGTAGAAAAGCTTGTAGCCGGCTCTGACTCTGACCCCAATCTCATGTCATCCTTCCACCACCTGTGGGGATCTTCAGAGTGACCCCTCCATCCTCTCCCAGGGCAACCCAGCACTCACCATTGTCACGTGCCTCTCAGGTGGCTGTGGGTCAGGGCCCTGAAGCAAGGGATCTGGAGGGGAAGGGGGACCCAGCCAATGGTTAATGGAAATAGGGTAACACGAGCCCCAACCCTCAGGATCTGGTAGGCAGCAGGGGAAGGCGGGCCTGAGCTGCACAGACTCGGCACTGTACCCTGCCTGCCCTGCAGAGATGAAGCTCCCCTCCAGAAAGGAGATTGGGGCACTGGGCTTGCATTTAGTCTTTTTTTTTTCTCTTTTTTTGAGATGGAGTCTCACTCTGTTGCCCAGGCTGGAGTGCAGTGGTGTGATCTCGGCTCACTGCAACCTCCTCCTCCCAGATTCAAGCGATTCTCATGCCTCAGCCTCCTGAGTAGCTGGGATTACAGATGAGCGCCTCCACGCCTAGCTAGTTTTTGTATTTTTTTAGTAGAGACGGGGTTTCACTATTTTGGCCAGGCTGGTCAAGTACTCCTGACCTCAAGTGATCCACCCACCTTGGCCTCCCAAAGTGTTGGGATTACAGGCGCGAGCCACAGCGCCCAGTCACATCTGGGTTTGAACCCTTGCTCGGCCGCCTGCCAGCTGGCTGGCCTTGCACAAGTTACCTAACCTCTCTGAGCATCAGTTTTTAAAATCTATTACATGAGGATGAGGACTATAAATAAATAAGAAGAGCTACTGCCTATGGAGCACTTACTATGTGCCAGACACTGAGCTAAGGAGATTAGATGGATTAATTACTGTAATTCTCCCCAAAACTTTCCAGGACAGATCTGTGTGAAACTGCCATTATTATAGGTCCAAAGAGTCAAATGTTGACAAATTTACCTGGTTTAGCCTAATATTATTATCCCTGTTGAGAGGATTCAGAATGTACTACCCCAAAATATGGTGCTTTGGATATTGAATATTTGAAACTGAAAGAATTTGAGAAACGGCGGGTGCAGGAAGGACTCTCCGAGCTTTCCTCTGAAGCAGATCACAAGACCTTCAGGTGAGAGGAGCCCTCCCTGTACCTGGAGGAAAGAAGCATCTTCACCTCTGAAGATAGAGGGACAGGAATGCCGAGAGGAATCCAAACAAGCCACCCTGCTGGGTGTTCCCAGTTCACTGCCCTTAGCTCAAATTCTTCTGTCCTTCACATTTTCCCATGACTCCCCACCCTTCATCCAACCCAGCAAAAAAAGGCTTAGCTCGAACCGCTTCTGTGGGTCTTCATTTTCTTATGAAGTCTCCTGTGTCATGTAAAATTTATATTAAATAAATTTGTGTGCTTTTTCCTTGTTAATCTGTTTTTTATTACAGGGGCTCCAATCAAGAACCTAGAAGGACAGAAGGAAAAGTTTTTTCCTTTGCTACCCTACGTTACAGATGAGGAAACTGAGGCTCAGAGAGGGGAAGCGACCTGCCCAAGGTCACACAGCCAGCACAAGGTAGAGCTGGAATTCGAACCCGGTCTACCTGGCTCTTCTGTTACACTTTCAGTCCCGATGCTAGCTTTGGTGTGAACCAAACCAGAACACGTCAAGTGTTTAGCACAGCACCAGGCAAACAGTAAGTGCTCAACAAATGCATGGTTCTTTTCCTTGTTTTCCTTTCTTGACTTTCAGGACAAAGCTCTTAACCCCTCAATGGGCTCAATGACTGACACTGGCTTGATGATTGACTCCGCCCACCACCATGTGTCTCTTACTCCAGTGCTGGGATGAAATCACGTGCTGACCCCTCCCCACATCTCACCCTCATCTTCCTCCATCATCCAAATAGTTCCTGGCAGAAGCAATCCATCCTCTTTCAGGGATTCGTCCTGGATGGGCACCTCCCTGCCAGGTGCACACTTCCCTTCTTCCTGGGCTGAGGCTCAACAGCTCATTCAGTTGGTTCTGCATTTGCCCATGGATGCCCTGATCTGGTGCAACCAGCCAGGGCTCTGGAGCCAGCATGCCTCCTGAGGTCTTTAGCTCATGTTGGCTGAGCACCTCTCCTGTGTCAGGCCCTGGGCTAAGTATTTTCTGTGTTACCGAATTTCATTCCCACAACAACCCGTTGAGGGGCGTACTTTTCTTCTTCTCATTTGACAGAAGCTGAGACTGAGGCTCTAAGACTTGAAGGGATTTGCAGACATGAGGTGATTTGTAGGCATGAGGATAAAGGAGGGCTGTGACAGCCACTCAGGAACACAGGAGCACATCCCTGTGCAGGTGATGTTTGGGGAGACCCTTGACAAGGGGCTAGCCTCTCAACAGGGAGAGGTGGGGAGGTGAGGAGTGAAGGGAAGGGCAAGCTGGGCAGAGGAGACCACGGGAGCAAGGCAGGAAGACAGGTCTGGCTTCTGGTGTCTTTAAGGAGTGGATGGAGAGGGTGGAAGGAAAATAGGGCTGGGCTGTGAAGCACCTTGGGCAGCAGCCAGTGGCCAGAAGACAAGGTCGCAGCAGCTAGGAAGCTCAGAGCATGCCTGAGCAATAAGACCCTTGGACGGGAATCAGGCAGGGAGAAGAAGGCTGCTGGGGGTCAGAAGGGATTTGTGCCCCAGATAGGACATGTGTTCCTGGCTTCTAGAAGATCCCCTCCACCCAGGACATTCTGATTTTCCATGGTTCTAAGAATCTGCAAGTTTAACACATTCTGGTTAAATAACTCCACCATTTTAATGGTTTTTATATTTTAACAATTTAGCACCCTAAGATTCCCTAATTCTAACATTTTCAGGGCCTAAGTTCCTGCATTTCTTCCATTCTAAACTTATACTAAAAGACTTAGGAGAGCTGGGTGCGGTGGCTCACGCCTGTAATCCCAGCACTTTGGGAGGCTGAGGCGGGTGGATCACTTGAGGCCAGGAGTTCAAGACCAGGCTGGCCAACATAGTGAAAACCCATCTCTACTAAAAAAACAAAAATTAGCCAGGCATGGTGGCACATGGCTGTAGTCCCACCTACTTGGGAGGTTGAGGCATGTGAGTCGTTTGAACCGGGGAGGTGGAGGTTGCAGTGAGCCAAGGTCATGTCACTGCACTCCAGCCTGGGCAACAGAGGGAGTGAGACTCTATCTCAAATAAATAAATAAATAAATAAATAAATAAATAAAAAGGAAAAAAAGAAAAAGAAACAAAAAGCTTAAGAGAACTTAAAAGCTCAGAGCTTGTATAATTCACACCTTCTGCAGAGTCTGAGCACTTCAGATCATGTAATCTGAAGATTCTATGATTAATTTCAGGAAGGTGCTGAGCATGTGGGTGGGGAAGGCAGGGGGACAGGTCTGGGTGCATAAGTATCACCCTGCCTCTCATGTCAACTTCCCAAGGGCTGGGTACAGAAGAGGCATCAGGAAGTATTTACAGAAAGACTGTTTGGGCAAGAAAGGACAGGTGTCTTAGTCTGTTTTCTGTTTCTTATAACAGAATACCTGAATCTGGATAATTTACAAAGAAAGGAATTTATTTCTTACAGTTATGGAGGCTGAGACGTCCATTGCCAAGGGGCTGCATCTGGTGAGGTCCTTCTTGCTGCTGATGACTCTCTGCAGAGTCCCATAGTGGTGCAGGACATCAGCTGGTGAAGAAGCTGAGTGCTCACAGGCTAGCTCAGCCCTCTCTTGCTTTTCTTATAAAGCCACCAGTTCCTCTCCCATGATCACTTAATGGATCAATTGATGGGTTACCTATTAACCCATTAATTCACTAATCCATGACTGGATTAACCCATTCATAAGGGCAGAGCCCTCATGACCCAATCACCTCTTAAGGGCCCCACCTCTCAGTACAGCCACATTGGGGATTAAATTTCAACATGAGTTTTGGAAGAGACAAATATTCAAACCATAGCAACAGGCCTGGCTTGTGGGTGGAGATGGGGGTTAGGGGTGGTTCTGAGTCAGGTTTGAACGGGAAAAGCTGGGAGGAAACAGTCAAGTGCATTTGCAGGGAAGCCCACACAAAGTTTCAGATAAAAGTTTGAGCATTTGAGTTGGTATTTGTTGGCATGCAACTAAGTGGGACTACAGGTCCAGTTCCATGACTGCTATGAAGCCAGGGTAAAACAAGAATTGGGTTGGCCAACTTTTTCTATAAACAGCCAGAGAGTAAATATTTTAGATATTATGGAGCGAGACATGTATTAAAATCTTTTGGCACAGATGCAGTGTCATTGCCTAATAAGCACAATGTCTTGCTATCTAACTGGATAACAAAATAATGCACACTTCGCTGGGCCTTAAAAATGTGACACTCCACCATTGATGGATAAATAGATAAACAAAATGTGGTATATGCATACATAGAATATTATTCAGCCTTAAAAAGGAAGGAATGGCTGGAAGCAGTGGCCAACACTTCAGGAGGCTGAGGCGGGTGGATCACATGAGGCCAGGAGTTTGACACCAGCCTGGCCAACATGGTGAAACCCCATCTCTACTAAAAAAAAAGACAGAAAATTAGCTGGGTGTGGTGTCACACACCTGTAACCCCAGCTACTTCGGAGGCTGAGGCACGAGAATCGTATGAACCTGGCAGGCGGAGGTTGCAGTGAGCCGAGATTGTGTCATTGCACTCCAGCCTGGGGGGCAGAGCGAGACTCTATCTCAAAAAAAAAAAAAAAAGAAAGGAAGGAAGGGAATTCTGACACATGGTATGATGTAGATGAACCTTGAGGACATCATGCTCAATGAAATAAGCCAGTCACCAAAGGATAGATATCATAGAATTCTACTTCTATGAGGTACTTAGACTAGTCAAAATCATAGAGACAGAAAGTAGGGTGAAATAAAATTTACTGGAGGCCATTGTTTTGGACTAAGCTCCTGTACTAGACCCCAGAGTGGAGTCACTCATGTTAGGTGCCACGTAATCAAACTGACCCTTAAAACAGTCAGCTTTAAAAAAAACAAACAGATTTACAGCAACCAGCAGAGAAGGTCCCAGTCAACCTGAGCTGATGTGATAAGGAAGTCCCCTCTGCTTTCATCCTACAAGAAAAGTAACTTTGAAATGCCCAGTCTACTCTTTGTTCCTTGTTTCTGTTCCCCTTCTGCCACTTTGTGCCCCCAAAGACAACCCCCTCTTCTCATTGGGATGTCTTTTTCTATTTCATCAATGGGATGCTGCCTAATTAATGAATCAATAATAAAAGCCAATGAGTCAACTCAATTCATTGAAATGTTATTTTTTGACAGTGGAATGGTAGTTGCCTGGGGCTGGAGGAGAGGGGAGAATGGGGAGTTCTTGTTTAATGGGTAAAGGGTTTCAGTTTTTCAAAATGAAAAGAGTTCTGGAGACGGATGGCATTGATGGTTGCACAATGACGTGAATGTACCGAACGCTGCTGAGCTATCTAGTTAAAAATAGAGAAGATGGTAAATTTTATGTTGCGTGTATTTTGCCACATGATTATCATGTATTTTTAAAAAGTACAACATTGGAAGTCCACTCTTCTTGTTTTGACATGACGTGTATGCACTGGTTATAAAAAAAGAAAATACTGCCCCACAGCGATGTGCATGCTGTCGACTTGGAGCTGTGGCATGTGGTTCGTAGTGTGCTGAGCAGCCACACAAAGAGATGAGAGCAGTGACTCTCGGTGCCTACTACTGAGCTCTGCCATTGTAGCAGGAAAGCAGCCCAGATAAATGTAACACACGGGCCTGGCTGTGTCCCCATAAAACTTTATTTGTGGACACTAAAACTGAATTTCATTTAATTTTCATGAGAATGTCACAAGATTTTCTTCTTTCAGTTTTTTTTCTCCAACCATTAAAAAAAAATGTAAAAACCATTCTTAGTTCATTCACGGTAGTTGCCGACCCCTGGTCTAAAACATCACATTTCTTGATCATTTGGCCAATTTTTTTTTTCTGAGAATTGACTGTAATTCTATTTAGTAGGAAGGCTCTTTGGAAGGGGTGATATTTGAAGGGAGACTCAAAGGAGGAGGAGAAGAAAGCAGCTTGAAAAGCCAAGAAACCAATATTCCAGGCAGAGGGAAGAGTAAGACAAAAGTGTTTATGCCAGAATGAATCTACCAAACTCAAACTCAGGGACATTCTATAAAATAACTTGCCTGGATTCCAAAAATGACAAAGTCATGAAACAGACAACTGAGGAACTGTTCCACATTAAAAGAAACTACAGAGACATAATGATTGGAGGCAATATATGATATTGGATTTACTTTTGCTAAAACGGGCACCATGTTGACAATTGGTGAGATCCCAAGGAGATCTGTGGATTAGATAGTAGTATTGTATCAGTGTTAATTCCTGACTTTGATTCTTGTACTTTGGTTATCTAAGATAATTCCATACTTTTAGGAAATATACACTCAAGTATTTATGGTAAAGAATATCATGCCTGCAATTTGCCACTAAGTGGTTCAGAAAAATATATACATATGTAGTATAAAAGTATAAAACTATTATATATGCACATGTGTGTATATATACACACATATACGTATGTATGCATACATATGTACATATATCCATATGTATGTGTATGTATGTACATATATCCATATGTGTATATATACACACACAGATACATACATGTGTGAGTGTATATATATATATTTTGGGAAGAGAGAGAGAAACAGAGAGAGAGGGAGAGGGAGAATCCTAGTGTAGTAAGATGATATTTGGGGAATCTAGGTGATGTGGATGATGGGTAGGGTATCTGGGAATTCTTTGTATTATTGTTGCAGTTTTTCTGTAAGTCTGAAATTATGTCAATAGAAAAGATTAAAACAAAGTATAGGATTGATCATTCTATTTTATATGTCTCTTGATCAATATTGAGAAAAAGCCTTCTAAAAAAAGATGGTACTACTTATCTTCTCACCAATGGCAAATGAGAGTGTTTGTTTCTCTATATCTATGCCAATACTGAGTATAATTAATCTTTTGAATCTTTGCTATCGTGTTAGATTAAAAGTAGATCTCATTTGTCTTAGTGGGCATTTCTTTGGTTATAATTGGAGCTGAGCACAATTTTCAATGTGTACTGGCCATCCATATTTTTTCTTTCATGTAAATAGGGAAGCGAAGGGGGCTAGGACCAGACCCTAGGCCCCTTCTACACTTAGAGGAGGAGCCGAGACAGTGTGGTGTCATGGAAGCCAAGGAAAGAAGATGCTTCAAGAAGGAGGGAGGACAACTGTGTCCAAAGCTGCCAAGAGGGCCAGTAAGATGGGGACAGAGGAGTGACCATTGGATTTGATGGCCTGGAGGTCTTAGTTGAGTGTTGGGATGAATGCTTTGTTAGAGTGGGTGGAGGAGAGAATGAGAGGTGACATTTTGAAGAGACGGATTGTACCAACTCTTTAAGGAATTTTGCTATGAAAGAGAGTGGAGAAATTGGGCAGGCACTGGAGGGGGAGGTGACACCAAGGAACAGTGACGCTCTATGTTTGCTTATGGGAATGATTCGGAAAAGAGAGAAACTGGTAATGCAAGAGAAAGCAGAGATAACAGGAGAAATGAAGTTTTTCAAAAGAAGAGAGGGGATGGTATATTCTCCTTAGGTGACCTCATTCAGTTCCACAGTGAAAGTCCCATCCAGGCACCAGGGACTCCCAATTGCAGATTCCCTCTTCACCCTGACACTCCCCTGCACCTCAGTGGCATGCACACACCTGCCTGTTGGAGCTCTCTTCATGAATGGTTGTCTTAGTGCGTTTGTGCTGCTGTAGCAAAAATACCTGAGACTGGGTAATATATAAAGAACAGAACTTTACCTCTCACAGTTCTGGAGGCCAAGCAGTCCAAGATCCAGGTGCCAGAAGATTCAGTGTCTGGTGAGGACTGCTGTCTGCTTCCAAGATGGTGCTTTCTTGCTGTGTCCTCACATGACAGAAGAGTTGGAAGGGGCAAATCAACTCCCTCAAGCCCTTTTGTAAAGATGCTAATCCCATCCTGAAGGTCCCGTCTCTTAATACTATCACATTGGGTCTTAGGTTCCAACATGAATTTCAGAGAGACACATTTATACCGTAGCAATGGTCAGTGGGCACTCAAGCCCAACTTGGCCAAAAATAAAGACTCATGACTTTGGATAAGTTAAGTATTCTGGGCCTCAGTTTCCACATCTGTAAAATGGGGATACTATCAGCATGGACTTTATAGAGTGGTTGTGAGGATTACAGAAGAGAATCCATGTAGAGCAGTGTTCTCACCAGGAATGATGAGTGGGCCTTTTGGCAGTGTCTGGAGACATTTTTTGGTTGTCCAACTCTCTCTCTCTCTTTCTCTCTCTCTCTCTCTGTGTGTGTGTGTGTGTGTGTACGCTCACACATGTATACTTGCATGCACACTAATGGTGTCTAGTGGGTAGGGGCCAGAGATGTTGCTTAACACCCCACAATGTATAGGACAACTCCACAGCAAAAAATGATCTCATCTCAAATAGCAACAACGTAGAGATTGAGAACTCCCTGATGTAAAGCAAGCCAGGCACAGAGGAAAAACTTGGTAAATGTGAGCTCTTACTATTATTTTGAAACTTCTCTCCAAACCAGCTCCTGCCCATCTTCTGCCATTTTCCCACCTAAGAAGAAGTACCACCATCTACCCACCAATTTTTCAAGGCAAAAAATATGTATACACAGTTTCCTTGAGACTTAGTTTCCTCTCATCCCCAATTCCAGTCCATGATTAGCAAATCCCATCAATTTCTATCCCTAAAACATCCTGAATGCTTGCACCTCCACCTCCACCCTTTCCACTTTATGCCAAGTGTTTGTCAATTCTCCCTTGGGCTAATTCAGGGGCCTCCTAACTGGATTCCCTGCTTCTGCTCTCATTTTTGTCGACTCTCCACACAGTGGCCAAAGTGATAGTTTGAAAACGTAACCAGATCACACCCTTCTCCTGCTTAAAATCTCCCAGGTCTTCCTGCCTCACTCAAATCTCAACTCTGTCCCCCGCTTACAGTCCCGCACGCTCCAGCCGGTCCCGTACTCTACACTTTCCTCCTTGCCCACTTCTCTCCAGCCACGCTGGCCTCCTCTTAGCTTCTTAAATATTCCTGGCTCACTCCTTCTTGGAGATCTTGCACTATCTTTGCCGGTCCCTCCTCTGGAAGGCTTTCCCCCCTGGCCATTGCATGGCTGCCCATTCTTGGCATTCAGTTATCAGCACCTCCTTGCAAGACCTTTCCTGACCACCCCTTCTAGAGTAGCTGTGTCACCTCTATCAGATCACCCTATTTTACTTTGCTCCATATACCTGCCATAGGAGAGATATATGTTTATTTGCTTGCCTGTTTCGCCTCACTAGGCCATTCCATGAGAACAGGGACCTTGTCTTGTTCATCATGTACCTCCAGTGTCTAGAGCCATGCCTCGTATGCAGTAGTGGCTCAATGAATCATTGTTGAATTGATTTTACATTATGTGGCTTGCCTCTTTGTGACTTTTACCTATTTTCCTACTGAGTTACTACTCATTTATCTATAAGGTTTCCTTGTTTATTAAGAATATTAACACTTTGTCTTTTGATTCTTTCTTTCTTTTCTTTTTCTTTCTTTCTTTCTTTCTTTTTTTTTTTGAGACGGAGTCTCGCTCTATCACCAGGCTGCAGCGCAGTGTCGCGATCTCGGTTCACTGCAACCTCTGCCTCCCGGGTTCAAGCGATTCTCCTGCCTCAACCTCCGGAGTAGCTGGGGCGCCAACATGCCCAACTAATTTTTGTATGTTTAGTAGAGATGGGGTTTCACTATGTTGGCCAGGATGGTCTTGGTCTCCTGACCTCGTGATCCACCTGCCTCGGCCTCCCAAAGTGCTGGGATTACAGGCGTGAGGCACCATCCCTGCCCTTGTCTTTTGATTCGTAAAAGGTGTTTGCTGAAATAAATGGTGCAAACTTTTAACTGTGATCGTGTAAGTTCCTAGCTGTAGCCACCTGGGTGAAGTGTTCCAGCTTTGCAATATAAACAGTGAAAAATCATTAATGGACACTTAGAGTTGGCCATCTCATATGCAGGATCAAAGGGAGGGACCATTTCCCCTCCTTGGAATGCTGAGGAGCTTGGACTCTTAGGTTCTTGCCCTGACTTGGCCAGTGGTATGAGCAGATGACTTTTCGGCATGTCTCTTTGGCTGAGCTGAGTCACTTGCAAATTGGGGATAATGAGGTTTGTCTTTGGCTCATCAGCTTGGTGTGTTTTCAGCTTTTCAGGTGGTAGGGTTTTAATCAACAGGTCCACACATATTTAGTGAGTTCCCTGTCTGTGCCAGGATGGTGAGGATCCTGATAGAATAAGACATGGTTCTGCCTTCAAAGAGTTTACAGTCCAGAGAAGGAGAGAGACAAGTACACAAATCACTATAGTGGCTACAAGAAACAAATGTGTGCACAGGCACAGATGTACCCAAGAAGAAGTGGGTGACCGTCTAGAGGGAGGGCAAGGAAGACTTCCCAGAGGAGATGTCATCTGACTAGGGTTTGAAGAACTGAATAGGAGTTCGTTAGACAAGGCCGGAGAAGGTGGGGGGTGGGGGGCGTGTGTGTGCAGGGGGTACTGTCATAGCAGAGGGAACTGCATATGCAAAGGCTTGGAGATAACAGCATAATGGATATGGGGAAACCACAGTCCTATGGGATTCTTGTCTGGCTGACCCAACACTTCCATTACTTCTTTCCTTTCCCCACTTTGTCTTGAGCCAATGTGGTCCTGGGGAGGTGGCTGCTGTTTGATTGCAGGAGGGCTGAGCCTCCTTAGGAAGGGATAGGAGATAGTGCTGCTAGAAGGCACTGCCTGGGAGGAACAGGTCTTCAGGGGGCTTGTTAAGCATCCTTCCTTTGTACCACAAGGGAAGAGGCAGAAGGAGGCTCTGCCCCATGTCTCTCTGGCTTGTCTCAGTAGTGTCACTCATCATGGGGGAGGATCTTTTCCAGGAGCAGAGAAACCACAGGGCTGGAACCCTGGGAGAATTGGAGAATATTGGGCTGAATGGCAAAGCTAGGGAGAACCTGAGCTACCTTAGTTTGGAGAGGACAAAATATTTCATCTTCCCTAGCACCTCTACCCTTGGTGCTTGGGGACTGCTAGTTTTGTTTTAAGAAACAGTGCCTCACTCTGTCACCCAGGTTGGAGTACAGTGGCTTGATCATGGCTCACTGCAACCTCAAACTCCTGGGCTCAAGTGATCCTCCCACCTCAGCTTCCTAAGTAGCTATCACTACAGATGCGCACCAGTACGCCAGGCTAATTTTTTTACTTTTGTAGAGACGAGGTCTCACTATGTTGCCCAGGCTGGTCTTGAACTCCTGGCTTCAACCAATCCTGGGAGTTAGGTACTTGAGGCTGAAATGTGTTTCAGCAGGAAAGTGTGCCATGATCAATGAGCAATATCTGCCATGAGTGCTGGAAGGGAGCATGCTTGCATGCACATTAATGAAAGGGAGAGAATGGGTCTGCATGCCATCTCTGCCATCTCCAACCTTGTACGCGTGGGGAATCTGAGGGGCAGAGCATGCAAGGTCTTATTTATTGCTCTGTCTCCAGTCCCAGAACAGTATCTGTCACACAATATCAGGAAAGGTCTGTGGAACTGAGTTGCATTACCCAGTTCTCCCAAGTGTCAATTTTGGGACTCTATTAAAATGAGACAAGTGGCTGTTTGGTGCGAAAACTCTTGCACATTTCAGGGGAGATTTTTCTGCAAAAGAACAGACTCCAAAGGAGGCTAGGAAATCAGAGTGGTGCCTTCTCCTGGTAGCTTTGTGATGCCTGGGCACAGAGGCTGGGAACAGACTGAAGAACCATAGCATAGCAGATTTGGCCTTTTTCAAAAAGATCAATTCAAAAATATTAAATATTGCAGCAGAGCCACAGAACCTCGAGTCTGAAAGCTCTAAGCAGACATTTAGTTCAATTCGGCTGAAACAAAACAAAACAAAACAAAACAAAACAAAACAAAACTCTGTGGACTGAGGTTCAAATCTCAGCTCCATCTATTTCTAGCTGCAGGGCCTTGGGCAAGTGACTTAACCCTTCTGATTCCATTTAGTTTCCTCATTTGTAAAACAAGGACAATGTGATCTCTAGCTCACAGGATTAAATGAAATACGTAAGCAAACTGCCAGCCCAGTGCTTCATGTGGAAGTTTCATAGGAGTTTCCATTTTGCAAAGTGATAGCAAAAAATGTTAAAAAGAAAGAAAGAAAAAAGGACTCCAAAGAACACTAGGAGCTGTATTTCCAGCAAATATTCTATAACAGAGGCATATTTTACTGTCTATTCTATACCTTGCAGAATATTTCACCCCTCACTTCTCCACTTGCCTTCAGGCCATAGTCTTGTCCTTTTCACCATTTCAATATGGCGTTCTGGGCTGACTCCAAAGGGCCAGATTCATTCCTTTACAACTCAACACCTACTATGTTCCAGGCCCCGGCCACAGCGCTAGGGCACGAGTTTTGTCCTCAAAAACCTCCTTTATTCCAGAGGGGACAAGGTGATGACAGTCAGGCAGCCGGCTGTTCAGGGCGGCCATAGAGAAGTCCAGCTCTGCTGGCCCTGGGGAAGTTCCTTCCCGCTGGGCCTCGGTTTTCCCATCTGTGACATGGGAACGTGGGCCTGGACCAAGAGAACTCCGGAGGCCCTTCCCGCTCGGGCCCGGGGGTTGGGGAGGGGTGAAGTTCGTAGCGTGAGCAGGGTGAGAAAGGCGCGCCCCGCCGGGCCCTGACCCGTGACAGCCCGGCCCGGCCCGGGAGTGAGCCTGCAGCGAGGGATTAGCGCGGTAATAGCCGGGATTAGCGCAGGCTGCGAGCGCGTTAGTCACTAAACTGCGCGTTCGCATCCCGAGCCACCTCCCCTGGCCCCCGAGCTCCAATCACAAGCCAGGTCTCCACGCGCTGCCCGGGCGCGGGAGAAACTCCGGAGCCCATTGGCTCCGTGACCTGCAGGAGGGACTGGGGACATGCGGTGGCCCCTCCCTATAACCCAAAGGCCCCACCTCCCTCTTCGCGGAGGTCTAGCTCCCCAAAGCGAGCCCGTGTTTGTCGGTGGTCACGGGCATCCTGCACATTTGCGGCAGCTTGGCCTAGAAGTGCGACCATGGGCTTTGGGTTCGAATCCCACCTGAGCCGTTTGCCTGCTCCGTGACTTTGACAAGTTAAGCTCTCCAAGCTCCCAGTTTCCTTATGGGGTCGTGGTAAAACTCATGATTAATAATAACAATAGCGAAGAAAGGGAAGGAGTAAGAAAGAGAGAAGAGGAGGATGCCTAGGAATGGGAGCTATTTCTAGAACTTCTCTTCCCCGTTTTCCAGGTGGAGTAACAGGCTCAGGGAGGTTAGCTGCCTTTCTGCGAATCCCACAGCCAGAAGCAGAAGGCGCCCATGCAGCTGCGCCCTGTAGGGCTCATCCCTCCCCCAACGCTCAGGCTGCACCTGCCTCAGGGTCAGGACCTGGGGCCCTGCCCTTGTTTCTTCCGCTCTCTCCCAAGACTCTCCCTTAATCCTACTGCTTTGGCCCTGGCCAGGGTGAGGCAGCTCAAGGTCAAAGGTCTGAAAGAAGGAATGGGGACGTGCAAGGCCAAGTATTAGGCTGGTGCAAAAGTAATTGCAGTTTTTGCTATTAGAAGTAATGGCAAAACCGCAATTATTTTTGCACCAACCTAAAACTCAGGCTTCCTCGCTGAGGCACGGGGCAGGCTTCCTGTGGCAGGCAGAGGGCGGAGCCCCTTGCCCGGCCTGGCAAGAGAAGAGTGGGGCCCCTCTGTAATCCTATATTTGAACCCAGGACTTCGTGATTTCAGGACCAAGCTCACAGCCTCTAGTTTTCAGATGATTCCATGGAGGTCAGGGCTACACCTCCTATTTACAGAGGAGGGAGACAAGGCTCAGTGTTTGTATTAGTTTTCTTGGATGCTGTAACAAATTAGAGCAAATCTGGTGGCTAAACAATATAAATTGATAAATAACAGAAACTTCTTATTTTCTTTATTTATTTATTTGAGACAGAGTCTCGCTCTGTCCCCCAGGCTGGAGTAGAGTGGCACGATCTCAGCTCACTGCAAGCTCCGCCTTTCAGGTTCACGCCGTTCTCCTGCCTCAGCCTCCTGAGTAGCTGGGGCTATAGGCACCCACCACCACGCCCGGCTAATTTTTTGCATTTTTTTTTTTAAGTAGAGTTGGGGTTTCACCATGTTAGCCAGGATGGTCTTGATCTCCTGACCTCACGATCTGCCCGCCTCGGCCTCCCAAAGTGCTGGAATTACAGGTGTGAGCCACCTTGCCTGGCCAAAACTCTTTATTTTTAATTAAAAAGAAAAAGAAATTTGTGAGACAGGGTGATATGGTTTGGATTTGTGTCACAGCCCAAATCTCATGTGGAATTGTAACTGCCAATGTTGGAGGTGGGGCCTGGTGGGAGGTGACTGGATCATGGGGGCTGTTTCTCATGAATGGTTTAGCACCATTCCCTTCATGCTGTGCTCGTGACAGAGTTAGTTATTGCGAGATCTGGTTGTTTAAAAGTGTGTATCACCTCCCCCCTCACACTCTTCTTGCTCCTGCCCTGGCCATGCAAGATGTGCCTGCATCCCCTTCGAAGACATGCCTGCTTCCCATTTGCCTTCCATCAAGATGGTAAGTTTTCTGAGACTTCCCCAGAAGCCAAGCAGATGCCAGCATCATGCTTCCTGTACAGCCTGCAGAGCCATGAGCCAATTAAACTTCTTTTCTTTATAAGTTACCTAGTCTCATGTATTTCTTTATAGCAATGTGAGAATGGACTAATACAGAAAATTGGTGTCTCATGTGTCCATGTGAAGAGACCACCAAATAGGCTTTGTGTGAGCAACAAGGCTGTTTATTTCACCTGGGTGCAGGCGGGCTGAGTCCGAAAAGAGTCAGCAAAGGGTGATGGGATTATCATTAGTTTTTATAAGTTGTGGGATAGGCAGTGGAGTTAGGAGCAATGTTTTGCAGGCAGGGGTTGGATCTCACAAAGTACATTCTCAAGGGTGGGGAGAATTACAAAGAACCTTCTTAAGGGTGGGGGAGATTACAAAGTACATTGATCAGTTAGGGTGGGGCAGAAACAAATCACAATGGTGGAATGTCATCAGTTAAGGCTATTTTCACTTCTTTTGTGTGTCTTCAGTTGCTTCAGGCCATCTGGATGTACACGTGCAGGTCACAGGGCATATGATAGCTTAGCTTGGACTCAGAGGCCTGACAATTGGTATTAAAGAGGGGGGCATTGCTGTAAAGATACTTGAAAATGTGGAAGCAGCTTCGGAACTGGATAACAGGCAGAGGTTGGAAGAGTGTAGAGGGCTCAGAAGAAGACAGGAAGATGAGAGAAAATTTGGAACTTCCTAGAGACTTGTTGAATTGTTGTGACCAAAGTGTTGATGGTGTTATGGACAATGAAGACCACTCTGAGAAGGTCTCAGGTGGAAATGAGGAACTTATTGGGAACTGGAGTAAAGGTCACTCTTGCTATGCTTTAGCAAATAACCTGGCTGCATTGTGCCCCTGCTTTAGGGATCTGTGGAACTTCGAACTTGAGAGTGATGATTTAGGGTATCTGGTGGAAGAAATTCCTAAGCATCAGTGTTCAGGATGTGACCTGGCTGCTTCTAAATTCCTATGTGCATATGTGTGAGCAAATAAATGACCTGAAACTGGAACTTATATTTTAAAGGGAAGCAGAGTGTAAAAGTTTGGAAAATTTGCAACCTGGCCATGTGGTAGGAAAGAAAAGCCTATTTTCAGGGGAGCAATTCAAGCTGGCTGCAGAAATGTGCATAACTAAAAGGAAAGTAAGTGCTGATAGCTTGGAACACTGTTCCCTGCATCCCTGCTGCTCCAGCTCCAGCTGTGGCTAAAAGGGGCCCAGGTACAGCTTGGGCCACTGTTTCAGAGGGTGCAAGCCATAATTCTTGGTGGCTTCCACGTGGTGTTAAGCCGGTAGGTGCACAGAATGCAAGAGTTGAGGCCTGGAAGATTTCAGAGAATGTATGGAAAAGCCTGGATATCCAAGCAGAAGCCTGCTTCAGGGATGGAGCTCTTACGGAGAACCTCTAATAGGGCAATGCAGAGGAGAAATGTGGGGTTGGAGCCCCCACGAAGAGTCCCTAACTGGGGCACAGCCTAGTGGAGCTGTGAGAAGAGGGCCACCAAACTCCAGACCCTGGAATGGTGGAGCCATGGGCAGCTTGCACTTTGTACCTAGAAAAGCCGCAGGCACTCAATGCCAGCCCTTGAGAGCAGATGCAGGGGCTGAACCCTGCAAAGCCACAGGAGTGGAGCTACCCAAGGCCTTAGGAGCCCACCCCCTGCATCAGGATGCCCTGGATGTGGGACATGGAATAAAAAAAAGATTATTTTTGAGCTTTAAGATTTAGTGACTGCCCTGCTGGGCTTTGGAGTTTCAAGGGGCTTCTAACCACTTTATTTTGGCCAATTTTCCTTTTTGGAATGGGAGTATTTACCCAACACCTATACCCCCCTTATATCTTGGAAGTAACTAACTTGTTTTTGATTTTACAGGCTCATAGGCAGAAGGGACTAGCCTTCTCTCAGAAGAGACTTGGATTTTGGACTTTCAAGTTAATGCTAAAATAAGCTAAGACTGTTGGGAAAGCATAATTGTATTTTGCAATGTAAGAAGGATATGAGATTTGGGAAGGGCTGAGGTGGAATGATATGGTTTGGATCTGTGTCCCTGCCAGTGTTGGAGGTGCGGGCTGGTGGGAGGTGATTGGATTATGGGGGCAGTTTCTCATGAATGGTTTAGCACCATTCCTTTGGTACTGTTCTCATGATAGTGAGTTTTCACAAGATCTGGTTGTTTAATGAATAGCACCCACCACTCACACTCTTCTTGCTCCTGCTTTGGCCATGTAAGATGTACCTGTTTGTCCTTCACCTTCCATCATGATTGTAAGTTTTCTGAGGCTTCCCCAGAAACCAAGCAGATGCCAGCATCATTCTTCCCATACAGCCTGTGGAAATGTGAGCCAATTAAATCTCTTTTCTTTATAAATTACCTAGTCTCAAGTATTTCTTTATAGCAATGTGAGAATGAATTAATACACAGGGTCTTGCTCTGTTGCCCAGGATGGAGTGCAGTGGTTCAATCATAGTTCCCTGCAGCCTTGACCTCCTGAGCTCAAGCAATTCTCCTGCTTCAGCCTCCCAAGTAGCTGGGACCACAGGTGTGCACCACCACACCCAGCTAATTAAAACAATTTTTTTTAAAAAATAGAAACAGGGCCTCACTTTTTGCCCAGGCTGTTCCCTAACTCCTGGCCTCAAGTGATCCTTCTGCCTTGGCCTCCCAAAGTACTGAGATTACAGGTGTTAGCCACCATGCCTGGCTGAAAAGAAACTTTTTATTTGAGGAATGTGAGCTCACTTATTTCTAAAGCCCAGAGAGCACTGACGTGTGACAGCATGTGATGGCAGCCATGTCTCACTCCCACTTTGAGCCAGATAATGACTTCTTGAAACCACTTGCTGTGTGGGGTCTAGACTGACTGATGCCAAGTAGCTATAAAATGCCATATGCTGGACACCATAACTCCTACTCTATCATTCAACAAGGTATTGCCAATCATGGATCAATGTCATCTCTGTAATCCAGTCAGAATGCCTGTCAAACAACTGCGTATCCACTTTAAAAACCTGCTTGTAACAAAGGCTGGATGGAGCACTCCCCCAGACAACTTGGAAGTGTGTCCTGGGCTGCTGTCTTCAACACTGGCCCAAATAAACTCTCTATATTAATTTTGCCTCAGCTTCTTTCTTTAGGTCTACTAAATTTGTTATCTTACATTCTGGAGGTCAGAATCACATCTTGTGTCTCACTGGGCTAAAATCCAAGGTCGGCAGGGCTGCATTCCTTTCAGGAGGCTCTGGGGGAAAAATCCATCTCCTTGCCTTTTTCAATTTCCAGAGACCACCCACCCTCCGGTTCTAGCTTCCTTCCTCCAGCCTCCAAGTCAGCAATGTTGTGTCTCTCTGAACTTTCTTCCATAGTTGTGTCTCCCTGCAACCACAGCTGGGAAATTTCTCTGCTTTTAAGGATTCATATGATTAGATTGGACCCACTTGGATAATCCAGAATCATCACCTCATCTCAAAATCCTTACCCTTAACCACATCTGCAAAGGTCCTCTTGCCACGTTCACAGGTTCCAGGGATTAGGACGTGGATATCCTTAGTGGGCCATCATTCTGCCTTGCACAGAAAGAGTAAGCATTCTGCCCCAAATAACACAGCCCAGAAGTAGCAGAGCCAGAACTTGAAGCCAAGCCCCAAATCCCAGTGACCTCTCCCACCGTGCTTTTCTGCCATTCTGGGTCTAACTTCTATTGATCAGGTGAGGGTTCACTCGAAGCTCACAGGAACTCTCTGAATTAATAAATCACTTTACAAATGAAGATGTCTCAGTAGGTGGTTGATAGATATGATTAGGGAGGACATACCTAAGGACATGCAGAAATGCCAAAGCTAGGAAACTGTCACGGCTGCCCATGGAAAGTCTGTCTTTCTGCCAGGGCTGGCCAAAAGATAGGGATTTGTTTCCCTATCTTTTGTTTAGCTGTGGCTCCTTTCAGTTGGAAGAAAACTGGCTGGTCTTGGCCAGTGTCCTCCACTGTGGGTTCTTTAGCCCTACCTGTATGCTTAGCCAGGAGACTCTGGGGCTTCACTGCAGATTTGCATTTGGGCAGATAACCTTGAGGTGATCAGCTAGCAGAAACTATGGAGAGAGGTGGAAGTATGGATGGAGCTGGAGGATGAGTAACCCCCACTTCCTGCTCTTCTACAATCCACTATAATAACAAGTGTTGTGGGAATCAGGAGGACCAGAGAGACCTTGGGGTGTATACAGGAGGATCTTTATTGAGTGCACTCAGACCCAGCAGACTTAACATCCAAAAACTGGGCCCAGAACAAAGACAGCACTTGACTTCTATACACACTTCAAAAAGGGGGTGGGCTAGCTAGAAGCAGGCTTACAGCGGCACAAAGGCAAGGACACAGAGGCAGAACAAAGACAGTTAATCAAGTTGTGACAGGTTCATAACTCAGGATTACACATGACCATTGCTATGCAGCCCAGATGTCTGTTATCTAGATTTCCTCTAGTGCCTAGCACAGACTTATCCCATAACCTTCACTATGGCAGCCAGGTGGCTGTATCTCAGGCCTGCTCAGATGGTTTATGACCTTCACTCCACTGCTTAGATAAAAGAGAATACTTCAAGTTACTAGTTACAGAGAACAGGAATCTATAAACTCATACCGTAAGATAAAGGAAAATCTGTTTTTCTCCTCCCTATGTTGAGGGAGTGCTGGGAAAATCTCCAGGGCACATTCCTTTGTGTCCTGGCTTCTTAGATAGTATCAAGACTTTTCCTAGGTCTGGGCTGTGCCTGTTGCTGCCTCTGGGGCAAGTCAGCCTAATACAGGAAAGCTTATTTCTCCTTTTTAAATTTTATTTTTCTTTCTTTCTTTAATTTCCCGCCTCACAAGTAGTGAGGCAGGAGAATAGGGTCTGGAGGCAGGGAACCTAAGGCCAATTCACACTAACTTCCTAGAACTAAATCAAAAGGAAAACCCCAACTTTCCACGCCTAAGTAACAAAAAGACCAGAGGCTACTCCCTTTGCAAACCCACACCTTTTCTGCCTGGCAAATGGCAAATTGAAAGTATCTCTGATTGGTTGCTTTCTTCAACCAATCATATGTTTGCATAGGAGTGTAATTTTTGTAACTTCACTTCAACCTCTGATTGGTTGTTGTCTGCAACCAATCAGACTGATTGCTGGCCAAGTCTTCGTGTGCATAGAAGTGCAACTTTGTAACTTCACTTTAACCTCTGATTGGTTGCTTTCCCCTGCTCAGGCTGCTTCCACACTGGAGTGTACTTTCATTTTCAATAAATCTGTACTTTCGTTGCTTTATTCTTTCCTTGCTTTGTTTGTGCATTTTGTCCAGTTCTTCATTCAAAACACCAAGATCCTAGACACCCTCCACTGGTAACAGTAGGGTTATGAGACCTTTATAAAAACAGTCAACTGAATTTCTTATGGGTACATTGTTGAAACTGTTTATATTTGTCAGGATACTGAATTAGGCCATTCTTGCATTGCTATAAAGAAATACCTAAGACTGGGTAATTTATAAAGAAAAGAGGTTCAATTGGCTTAGAGTTCTGCAGTCTTTATAGGAAGCATAGTGGCGTCTGCTTCTGGGGAGGCCCCAGGAAGCTTTCAATCATGGCAGAAGGCAAAGGGGGAGCAGGTGCATCATGTGGCAAGAGTGGGAGCAAGAGGGAGAGAGAGTTAGGTGTCCCACACATTTAAACAACCAGCTCTTGGCTGGGCATGGTGGCTCACGCCTGTAATCCCAGCACTTTGGGAGGCTGAGGTGGGTGGATCACGAGGTCAAGAGATCGAGGTCATCCTGGCTAACATAGTGAAACCCCGTCTCTACCAAAAATACAAAAATTAGCTGGGTGTGCTGGCACATGTCTGTAGTTCCAGCTACTCGGGAAGCTGAGGCAGGAGAATCACTTGAACCCAGGAGGCAGAGGTTGCAGTGAGCTGAGATTGCACCACTGCACTCCAGCCAGGTGACAGAGCAAGATTCCACCTCAAAAAAACAAAAACAAACAAAAACAAAAAAACCAGCCAGCTCTTGCGAGAAGTCACTATTGTGAGGACAGTACAGGGAGATGATGTTAAACTATTCATGAGAAAACCTCCCCCATGATCCAACCACCTCCCACCAGGTCCCATCTCTGATACTGGGGATTACAATTCAATACAAGATTTGGGCTGTATCAGATACTTTTCAGCAGCTACAAGTTGTAGAAAACCCAGTTCAACTAAAAATGGGAATTTATTGGCCCATGGAACTGAAGTCATGGGTAGGTTGGCCTTCAGGTACAGCATGATC